>NC_000016.10:73956439-74259469 GCF_000001405.40 Homo sapiens | reverse complement strand
TTTGGAGTTCAGGAAAGAAGTTGAGAGTAAAGGTATAGATTTGAGTAGGTACAGCAGAAGCCAGAGGTGTGGAGGAGATTCCATTGGAAGGATGTTCAGAATGAAAAGAAAAAAACAGGATTGGCACAGATTTCTGGCATGGGATTTGAGGATGGTTGAGATTTTGGAGTGGGTTGGAGAGGGACAGAGCAAAATAAGTTAGCAGATATTACTTAGTATAGTCAGACAGTGATACCAATAGTGAACGTGATAGAAAATACACTATGTGTTCCACCATTCATTCACTCATTTAATCTTCTTAATAACTCTTAGGGAGGTAGTGTTATACTTCTAACTTTCAGATGGGAAAATTGACATATGGAGAAGAAAAGTAATTTGCCCAAGGTGGCAAAGCTAGTAAATGATAAAACTAGAAGAATCTGAACCTAGATAATTTCATTCTAGATCTCACAATCTCCAAGGACACACAAAAGCAAAATCAGAATAAATAAGGGCGAACAAGTTGTCTCAGTTGGTATTCAGGTGATTGATGTTCTCTATTTTTGTCTATTTATTTTATTATTAAATTTTTAAACCAACACCGCATGGTATTTTTTTTTTTAGCAAGAATAATTCCGCAGGTGTTCAGAAGCCAAACGGCTGTGAATTGAGTCATGAAAGTGTATTGGTCAGGTTTTGCTGCCATCATACTGCTTAACAAGCAACTGCTTGTTACTTTCATAACAAGCAAGATGTTGGTAGGTTACAGCCATAAACACTTACTTTTTGGTCATGGATATGTGGTTTGGCTAAAGAGGCTCTGCTTTAGGCTATAAATTGGGCTCAGGTCTGCTCTACACATGTGTTAGCTTCTAGGGCTGCCATGACAAGATACCACAGAGTGGGTGGCTTAAACAACCGAAATTAATTTTCTCATGGTTCTGGAGGCTGCAAGTCCAAGATCAAGGTGTTGGCAGGGTTGATTTCTTTGGAGGCCTCTCCACTTGGCTTGCAGATGGTGCCTTCTTGCTGTGCCCATGTGTCCCCAGTGTCTCTGTGCGTGTCCAAATTCCCTCTTCTTGTAAGAACACCAGTCAGATTGGATTGGGACCCACCCTAAAGGCCTCATTTTTACTTAATCACCTCTTAAGGGCTTTATCTCCAAATACAGTCACATTCCGAGGTACTGGGGCATAGGACTTCAACCTGTGAATTTTGGGAGACACAATTCAACTCATAACAATGTCTCTCCTCTTCCTGGGACTTAAGGCTAAGTGGGGCATACTCTTCTCCTGGCAGAGGGCAGACGTGCCAAGAGGAAGAAAGATACGATGCTGCTCAAGGCCTCAGCTTGGACCTAGCTCTGTCCTGTCCACATTCTATTGTTTAAGACAGGTCACATGACCAAGTCCAACAGGATCTTGCTTTGTTGCCCAGGCTGGTGTGCAGTGCGATCCATGGCTCACTGCAGCCTTGACCTCATCGTCTCAAACCGTCCTCCCACCTCTCAGCCTCTCGAGTAGCTGGGACTACAAGTGCACACTAACATGCCTGGCTAATTTTTGTATTTTTTGTTGAGACGGGGTTTTGCCATGTTGCCCAGGCTGGTCTTAAACTCCTGGGCTCAAGTGATATGCACACCTTGGCCTCCCAGAGTGCTGGGATTCCAGGTGTGAGCCACTGCATCTGGCCAAGAAGTTTTATAAATGTAGAAAGATGGGCTAGTAGCCATGCAGAGACACCCATTCCCATCGACATGTCAGTGTTGTTTAGCTGAGGGGTTTCATTGACCGTTCCCCAGAATAAATCTGCCAATGGGATGGAATGGAACAGGACTGCCCCTCCCCTCCAGCCACAATGGGCTCCTTGGCTACTCCTAACTGTCCGCTCCTTGCTCATGCTGTTGTCTCTGCTGAATGCCTTTCCCCATTTTTCTTTTCCTGGATAATTGTTATTCATCCTTCAAGACTCAGTTTAATGGTCACTTTCCCACGATGCTTCTCTTTCCCTGAGGCAAAACAGGTACTTCCTTTTCTGTTCTCTCACAGCTTCTCTGTATCAGCTTTTATTACTTTTTAAATTATAACTTTGTGTAACTCAGAAATCAACTTTCCGCCGTCCTCTGGGTCCAACATCATCACACTCAGTTTATGCCCTGGGCCCACGAGGATTTGAGGTTCAGCTCTGCTCGGTCACCACCACAAAACCCCAAACGATGCCGCCATTGGCACCTGCTAGGTGGAAACAGGAACCAAGAGTACAAAGTCAGGTTCACTTATATGAAAACAGTAAAAGAGAAGTTGATTTTGGAGGAGAGGTGGAAGAAGGGTTTATGTCATACTCCAAGGCAAATAACTACAGAAATCCCTTCTTGACATTTCTGCTCTCTCCCCATATTTCTTCTTCGCCCCTGGGGTTTCTTTGACTGCTTGGCAATGTCCAGTCACTCTGGCTTTTGCAGGGCTGCTGGGTTGTACTGTGTAGGGGTGCCGTTCACTCCTTAGAATGTGATGTGCATAGTGCCCCTTGGAGTTGTGCACTGTGGCCCTGGGCCAGTTGTGTCTTCTCTCTTGCACACCTGCTTGCACCTTTGGAACCCTCAATCTCTGTTTTCTGTTATGCATAACAATTTGGCTAGCTCTTCCACGTTATAGCAGCACTCAGCCCAGAGGAGGGAATATAGGAACTGACTTCAGAAGGCTTAGTGAGCATTTTTTGTTATTTTAGGATGCCCTTTGGTAGACCCATGTTCCTAGTGGCTCATTTTCTAAACACAGGCGATGTCCCCTCATAAGAAATTCTTACTGTAGCTCTTGGGACAATGCTTATCCTTTCTGTCTGTCTGTCTGTCTGTCTTTCTAGATAGGGTCTTGCTCTGTTGCCCAGACTGCCAGACTGGAGTGTGATGGCGTGATCCCAGCTCCCTTCAGCCTCATCCTCCTGGGCTCAAACGAATCTCCCACCTCAGCCTCCCAAGTAGCTGGGACCACAGGTGCTTGCCACCACACCTGGCTAATTTTTGTAGTTTTTTTTCCACAGAGCTGGGGTCTTGGTATGTTGTCCAGGCTGTTTTCAAACTCTTGGGCTCAAGTGATCCTCCTGCCTTGGCCTCCCAAAGTGCTGGGATTACAGGTGTGAGCCAGCATGCCCAGCTGACTATGATATTCAAGGCAGGAATTTTGCTCTATTCATTTTTAATTTCCACATTCAAGACAGTCCCTGGAACATAGCAAGGGCTTCAAAAATGTTGCCTGAATAACTAATTGAGTACAGTTCAATGTTCTTCATTTTAAATTATAATCAAGAAGCCAAGGGAATGTGAATCAGAAACCAGTAAGTATATTTCCACATTCCCAGAACTGAACTAGAATTGTTATTAAACCTGAACTTCAACTAAATTGAAACAAAGCTTCTTGATATTTTCATTGTGAATTGGTTGCTTACTGGCTTGAGCCAGAGATAAACTGCAGTACTGCTGAACTCAAAGTAGTACTAATCTGAGAAATGAACTGGTTTGATTCTTTAGTTAGGTACTTGGACATCCTATGAATATGAAACTACTATTTTGTTGACAGTGAATAGATTAACTCATAGGTGAGATCTTTTCCTGTTTCTTCAAGTGAGAAACAGAAAAAGGATCTCTTTTTTTTTTTTTTTTTTTTTTTTTTTTTGAGACGGAGTCTCGCTCTGTCGCCCAGGCTGGACTGCGGACTGCAGTGGCGGAATCTCGGCTCACTGCAAGCTCCACTTCCCGGGTTCACGCCATTCTCCTGCCTCAGCCTCCCGAGTAGCTGGGACTACAGGCGCCCGCCACCGCGCCCGGCTAATTTTTTGTATTTTTAGTAGAGACGGGGTTTCACCTTGTTAGCCAGGATGGTCTCGATCTCCTGACCTCATGATCCACCCGCCTCGGCCTCCCAAAGTGCTGGGATTACAGGCGTGAGCCACCGCGCCCGGCAGAAAAAGGATCTCTTACGAGATCCTCTGACCTGAGTGTGATTATTTTAGGGATCTCCAGAATATTGAGGATAGTCTTATCTCATTCATCTATTCCATGATTCCTTATCTTATTGACAAAAACCTATTCTAGAATAAGATGAAAATCAATTAGTGGGGAAATCAGGAGATAGGAGTAGGGGATCTTCTAAGGCACAGAATAGCAAACTAAAGATAGGGGAAAAAAATAAAGCCAGGAAAATCTTTGTATCTAAATATACGCCCAAAAGTCTTACTCATTTTGCTAAATGACATTATAAGCTTTAACAAAATAAAAACAATAAAAATAATAAAGGGTATTTGGAAGCAATGGTAGTAATATGCAGTCAAACTGGACTTGCTAGAAGAAAATTGGATAAATTATGAGGAAAAAAAGTTTCAATTGTACCTACTTTTCTTCTTGATTGGAGAAGAATTTATCATTGGTTTATTAGTCAAAAAATACTATTTCTTCCCCTTCAGTTATTTGAATTTGCTGTCAAAGCAAACTAAAATCCAGTGAGTAATTTCAGAGCTGTGTACTTTAATTTGTCTACATAGATCAGTCTATGGAAAATATTTCTTAAAAGTGTTTGCCTTCCATTAAAAATAATATGTATGGCTCCAAATATTCTTTATCATGAAATAATACACTGTCTCATTGGTTCTTACAATCTGGCGATAGCTCCTTTAGTTTTCCCATGATTTTATTAGAGTTTAGAAAAGGTTAATTTGTTATCCACTGATCTTAGTGGAAGAAGATTTTTAAAAAATATAATATTGCAAACCATCCTAGTAGGGTATGAAGGTAACACCACAAGGGGGTACTATAATTTTATCAAATTTGTCCTGGTAAGTTGGCTCAGAAGGTGAAATGATTAGGGCCTGCAGAGTTAATTTTAATATGCTAATACATCACAGCAAGTTGGGAACTTAAATAAAATGATACAATTAATATACTTTTATGGGATGTAGAAAGACTTAGTAAGGTCATTTGTAGATTATATTAGAGCTGCATTTAGACTTATTGGGTTTAAAATTCAGCATTCTTAAAAAAAAAAAGCAGCAGACGTCTGACGTATGCATTTTGGTGACCTTTGAATGAAGAAGTGAATGTCAAATTGTGTGGATCTTGATCCGGGTTCTTAAAATAAATTAACTCTCTGGTCTCTCCTCTAAAAATAGCTAGGATCAAGCCTTTATATCTTAATTTTCTTAGTGTCGCAACACAGAAAATGTTGGAGGTTGTTAATCCTGGAAGGGATTTTTTGAAAGAATATTTAATCATACAAGACTTTAGTTTCTTAATGTGCCTCTGAAAATGATTCCACAATTTTGCTTGGTAATAAATTTGAGTGGTTTGAAGCCCCTCTTGGCTGGACAACTGAAATCTTTGAAGGTGCTTCCAGGGCCAAAGGATTTCTTTTTTTTTTTTTTAATTTTTAAACATAACATCCTGGCACCCTATATGTTTATATGCTAATTTTAGCAGATGTTCACTTGCTGAGCAAGGTGGACCGTGGGTATTTGAAATAAGCTAATGGTTTATCTGTGTGGAAGAACAAGTGTTTACAGGGTACAAATAAATAGACTGTTAGGTATTCCATCTTTTCTTACCTACTTACCCAGTGGCGTAGACAGGATGTTGAACCAATATTTAGAATCATGCTAGGATTAAATGAGATAATGTCTGTAAACTGCCTAGCACAGTAGCTGGGACAATGGTGAGTAACCCGCAGCCTTAGGGCTGCTGGAGACCTCCTTGGCTCTGCCACGTGGCTCTCATTCTCACTGCAAAATGCAAAGATTGGAGCACTGCCTCTGTGTCCCCACTTCTCGAATATGCACAAATGTTAGAATGCTGTGCTTGAGAAGTAGAGCTGTTTTTCTTGGCATTCTACTCAGTAAAGTAGGCAATTGAAGCTTCAAGAATTTGTGCTTAACTCCCATCCCAGGACTAAATACAGCTATTTTTATTTTGTACTTTAAAAAAAGCAACCCATAAACCTTTTCATGTCTTGTAAATTATTCCAGCCTATAGAAGGTTGCCCAAGACTGTCCAAGGACAATTTGGCAAAGGTTTTTTTTTTTCCTTTCTTTTTCCCTTTGTATCTCTAACAAGGGATCGGTATTTACCCAAGGCCCTGACTGCCTCCACCCTTAGAGCGATTCAGATCTGGAACAGCAGCAGCTGTTTCATATGATGTTTTTATTGGTATCACATTTTCTTTTTGGCTGTTCATTCCTCATGCTTCTTTCTCAAGTCCTTTGCCTAAATCCAATCTCTTCTAGTTCATACTGCCCCACATTCATTTCCTTCTGTTCTCCATTCTCTTAGCCTGATTCCCTTTATTAAAAAAAATATTTTTTAGAGATAGGGTCTTGGCTTGTTGCCCAGGTTGGAGTTCAGTGTCATGATTTTGGCTCACTACAGCCTCAAACTCCTGGGCTCAAGCTATCCTTTTACTTCAGCCTTCCAGGCCTACAGGGGGGTGCCACCATGCCCAGCTAATTTTTGTGTTTATTTTTTGTAGAGACAGGGTCTTGCATTGTTTCTCAGGCTGGTCTTGAACTCCTGGCCTCAAGCAGTCCTCCCGCCTTGGCCTCTCAAAGTGCTGGGATTACAGGCATGGGCCACTGCGCCTGGCCCTAGCTTGATTTCCTAATGCCGACACTTGTCATTCAGAACCTGAACTCTGCATGTCTATCTTTCCATCTCTTCTGCCGTGTGCTGGGCTCTGTTGACTTGACTGAGTTCCCAGTCTTACTAAACTTGAGCCACTGAGAATCAACCTCTTTTTTCTTTCTGAACTTTGATGTTAGGCTTTAGTATATCTCTATGGCTAATTAGAAATAGATTATAGAACAGCATGTGAGGTTCAACCCAGTTTTACAAAAATAATGGTGCCTGTTATTCTGGTGGGGCCCCTTTTCTAACAAGTGGATCTTAGGAGGAAATGAGCTATTGTGAAATTCCTGCTTTGATGTACTCCCCTGGCGGAAGACAGAGGCCGCACTCCCCCACACCCTGGGAGTGTGCTTTTGCTTGTGATGGTGGAACTGTAAGTATTGATGTGGAAACTAAACTCTAAGCACCATGGTGGCAGGAATTGGGTCCATTTTGGTTGCAATTGTTTTCCCGGAGCCTAGTGTAGCACCTGTTGTGTGATGATCCCATAAAAAATATTTGTTGAATGAATGACATGAAGAGCTAAGCCCTGAGCCACAAGGGGCCTGTTACATGGCACATCCAGCCTGCTCAGATGTCTCTCCTTGACCCCTTGGCTTTTTCCAGAGCAAGCATCTTTGACAGGGACCTGCAGCACCATGTCACAGCCCAGGAGGATCACTCACAAGTCATCCGTCACTAACCATGTACCTTGCTAGATAGAGTATTCATACAGGTGGCTGGCATCACTAGTTCTAAACAAAAAGCCTTCATTTCCGAAATGGCCTGATGTTATTTGATCAACTCTGAAGATGGATTTAGGGATTGGGATAAATGACTACTTCTTGCTCTTAACTCCTTCAGCTAACTTGGGGACTGACTGGCATAGAGTAGGTGTCCAACACATCTTTGCTTCCTGGCATAGGAGAGGCTTGAGTATCTTATAGGCTGTGGTGAAAGATTCACAGGAGTGAAAAAGAGTAATTGATGGGATAGCATCCTGGGGAGGCATGTGGTGATGGGGTCAGTATCACAGGCCAGAGGAGGAACACCCTTCCCAGAATCTCCTAAGTCAGAAACTAGATTCTGCCCTAAACCTGTCTGCCATATGCAACTGGACCCCATGACAAAGTATCTACTTCTTAAATATCTTGAGCTCTAGTCTCTTCACTTGTTCTACTGCTGCTGTCTTGGTTCAAGTTCTCACTCTTTGCAGCCTGGGCTGCCGTAGTGTGTACATGGCCAAGTGCTCTTCTGGGCTACATTAATACTGCTAAATGCAGCCTGGCCTGCTGTATTCCAGCCAAGTGCTGTACAGGACTACTCTAACAAAGCGTCCTTCCTTTCCTCCGCTCTAACTTGCCTCAATCGAGTGTTCACCCTACAGTCAGAAGAGTGTTTCTAAAATGCATATCTGACCATGCCTATTTCCTGTTTTAAAAAGCCCTGCAGTGACTCTCCATTACCTTCTGGATAAAACCCCAGTCAGTGCCTTAGCCTAGAATCCTAGGCTCTTTGTGATCTGGGCTATACTTATGTGTTTAGCTTCACCCCATTACAGCCCTTCCTCTCTTAGCCTAAATGCCAGCCGTATATCCTGGAGCCTATCTGCTCCTTCTTTTTTCTTTGTTAAGACATCGTCTCACTCTGTTGCCCAGGCTGAGTGCAGTGGTGTGATCTTGGCTCACTGCAGCTTCCAACTCCCAGACTCAAGTGATCCTCCCCACCTCAGCCTCCCGAGGAGCTGGGACTATAGGTGTGTGCCACCGTGTCTGGCTGAATTTTTAAATTTTTTGTAGAGACAGAGTTTTGCTATGTTGCCCAGGCTTGTCTTAAACTCGGGGGCTCAAGTGATCCTCCCACCTTGGCCTCCCAAAGTGCTGGAATTACAGGTGTGAGCCACTGCGCCTGGCCCACTTTTTTATCCCTGCTACCTTTATCTGTGCAGTTCTTGAGCTTAGAATGTGTTTTCTCTCATTTTTGTGCCTCTGTACTTGGTGGTGGCAATGAGGTCTTGATGCGGGTGCCCTCTCTGCATGGTGCCTGACTGCATTGTGTCTATTCCCTCCCTTGGTCAGCGGCAGCTGGCCTGCCTCTTCCTGTTTTCAAAGCCTGTGTCTTGTTTTGGAATATTCACAACGTTTCTTGTTTTCTAACCCATACCTTAAAAAATTCAATGACTTTTATGATTCACTTAAGAAATACAATCTCTAAATCCTACTATAATTTTACAATATCAAAAGTCTTAATCATCCAGTAAAAAATCACAGAGATGATTTCTACCAAGTGAGAGGCCGTTCTCATGTTCATTGTCAAGGGACAGCTGTTTTATTTTGGAGTGTTCCTAAGGCTAAGGAGATGAGGCTAACATAGGGTTTTATATTCGATAGAGAAAATGGAAAGAAGGGAGATGGGGAGGAAGGGAGAGGTGGTTATTCAAAAACATTTCAGAGGCAAATATACTCACTGGATAACTTTTATCCCTATATTAAAATGTTTGCACCTTTTTTTGGGAATAGGTATACAAATAAAATATCTCTTTTTGAATATCTGTGGAGCCCTAATAAGAATCATGGGGTTATCCTTGATGATTTATGTGAAGCTTTAATCATAAAAATATAGTGTTTTTGAAGCAGGAAAGACAGAGGAATAAGTAATTCTCAATTTCTATTTAGTCAGATCTGATACAGAGCAGAAATAATTAGTGTGATAAAGTCTAACTGGCACTAGTAAATTTGACTAAACGCCAAGAGCAACACAGTCAGGGCACTTACATTCATGTTTAAATTACTCAAGTGCTTAATTGTATAATTTCAGTTTCAATTACCAAAAGCTCTTACTTTAAAAATTAGTCCTTTGAGTATTAGCTGCATGATGTTGTTATTAAAGTTGAAAATCTGCTATTATGGCTTAAAGGATTATTGCAAAGTTGTTGGCATATGTCTTGTTTAATAAATAAGTTTAATTGTGCATGTAATCTGGTAATTTCATAATGATGAATTATATTTTACAGAAATCTAGAATGGCCATTTTTTTTCCACAGGGTAAAACAAAATTACTTTTTAGAGATTTGTTTTCCAGAGAAAATATTTTATTATAGAAATATCTAAGACACCTCTTGTACTATATAAGCCCCTGCAAGTAGTGAGACTTTTAATGGAAATTTTACATTAAAAACCCCCCTCTTCCCACCTCTGTATAAGATCGAGAGAAGGGGAATGAAGGTCAGTTACAAGGGTGTACTGTTTATATATTTGGTGCTTTCTAAGTTTGCATTTCCTCTAGAATGTTGAGAGTATGACAAAGTAGCCCATACAATAGATTAGTGTGTTTTCACTCCACGTGGCACATTTCCCATTTAGATGTGAACTCAGCAGCCACTATTAATGTGAATGAGTTTCACTCATCAAGAAAGTCCCTTGAGCTCATTCTGAATTACCTTGGGCAAAATCTCTTATTGGCGTGCTATCGTTCATGCTTCCATTAACTCTAGCTGTCCTGAATTCTAGGGGGAAATATGGCACCAGTTGTTTTATTTATTTATTTATTTATTTTTTGAGACAGAGTCTTGTTCTGTCACCCAGGCTGGAGTGCAGTGGTATGATTGATCTCAGCTCACTGCAACCTCTGCCTCCCGGGTTCAGGCAGTTCTCCTGCCTCAGCCTCCCGAGTAGCTGGGATTATAGGCATGTGTCACCACACCCAGCTTATTTTTGTATTTTTAGTAGGCACAGGATTTCACCATGTTGGCCAGGCTGGTCTCAAACTCCTGACCTCAAGTGATCCACCCGCCTGGGCCTCCCAAAGTGCTGAGATTACGGGCATGAGCCACCGTCCTCAGCCTAATTGTTTTATTTGTTTATTTATATTTTTATTATTTTATAATTCTTTGAGATGGAGTTTCACTCTTGTTGCCCAGGCTGGAGTGCAGTCGGCTCACTGCAACCTCCGCCTCCCGGGTTCAAGCGATTCTCCTGCTTCAGCCTCCCAAGTAGCTGGGATTACAGGTGCCCACCACCATGCCCTGCTAATTTTTGTATTTTTAGTAGAGACAGGGTTTAACCCTGTTGGCCACGCTGGTCTCGAACTCATGACCTGAGGTGATCCATCCACCTCAGCCTCCCAAAGTGCTGGGATTATAGGCGTGAGCCACTGTGTGAGCCACCATGCCCGGCTGCCAATTTTTTTAGACCTGTGTCTCAGAATAAGATGTTTTGGAATTTTAGGATTAAAGCATATTTTCATTTCTAAATGATATTGGCCCAAGTTGATTCTTAGATGAAATCTTTGTTTTATTGACTGTTGCCTTCATTTGATGGGTGACAAAACTGAGGGACAAAAAGTTTGGTGGACTTGTTTGAGATCACATAATGAATGATAGAGAAAAGACAAAAATCTGAGGGTTTTGCTTCCATGGCCTCACACTCTCATGGAGATTGGGGTGACTCTGGGAGGAAACATGTTTGTAAATCGCAGGACTGCAATATCCTTCCCGATCCTTGGGGCCAGATGAGTTTTGGCACTCAGAATTTCTGGAATGTTAGAAAGTTTCCTTCTCAGCTCTGTTAAAATGACAATTAAGGAATAAATGAGGACAAAGAGAACAATAGCAGACAGCAATTGTCATCCCAACCTAGAGGCTAAAAAGCAGATGGAAAAGTGGGTAATTAATTGAGAAAATCAGAGAAAGCTGGAATTGAGTCAAATCTCACTGAGAACCCCAGAAAGCTTCACGCATTTGAAGCAGCAAGGACCTCTGAATGTGAGGTTGCGGAGAAGGGATTTGTTGAAAGTCCTTAAAAGGGGCAGTTAGATGCTCCTCCCCCAAGGTGTCAGTCAGGTAACATTTTCTTCACCCTCAGAAAAGTGGAGGTTTCTCTGGAGAGACTGAACCAGAGTAACTTTAGTCTCTAGGATTCCAGGCACAGCTGAGGGTAGGGCGATGGGGCTAAACTGAAAATGGAGATTAAGATGAAATCTGAATGGTAATGGGTGAAACACTCCATTTCTTCTCCCCATAGCTTCTAGAAAGCCCTGGACAAGTGTCTATGCTCCTAGTTGGAGACTGGAGGATTCTTCTGTGGGAAACTGGCCCCAAAGAAAAGAGCTACAAATAATGATGCTTCAGAGTATTCTAATGAAATAGCCATGGTTCCATTGGATCATCTCTGAAGTCAGGAAGTCTTTTCCACCTGCAGATCTATCAACTGTTTTTTTAGTGCCTCACTCTTAAATGTGAATGGACAGTTAACAACCACCAGACCTTCAAGAAAGGGCCACAAAATGAAAGAGAATAAGATTACTGTGAAAAGGAACTCAGTGGGAACAGGGGGGAGAGAGAGAGAGAGAAAGAGAGAGAGAGAGAGAGAGAGAGGAAAATTAAAAACCAATAGAACAAAAACAAATTGTTATTAATATGGCCAAAGAGAGATGCTTCATCTATGATTCCGTTAAAATAAATAGAGAAAAAGAAAGAATTATCGGGAATTAAACATAAGATCAAAGAAAACAATTAGTAGAAAGAATGGAAGATAAAATTGAAGAAATATTCTGGAAAACACAACAAAGAGAAACAAAAAAGAAAAAGAGTAAAGATAACAGAATTCGGGAGGGATATTCAGGAGCTTCAACATTCAACTAACAGGAGTTACAGAGAGAGTGAGCAGAGAAGCCAGCAGGAGAGGAAGCTATAGAAAATTGACACAAGAAAAACTCCCAAAACTGAATCACATTGGACTTCAGATTAAAAGGGTTAATTAAATGCCCAGCACAATATGTGAATCAGGTTCTCCATAGAAGCAGATCAATAGGATGTGTGTGTGTGTGTGTGTGTAAGAATATATATATGAAGAGATTTATTATAAGGAATTGGCTCATCCAATATGGGAGGCTGATGAGTCCCAAGGTCTGCAGGGTGAGTCAGTAAGTGGGAGACCCCGGAGAACCAATGGTGAAGTTCCAGTTCAGGTTCAAAAGCCGGAGACCTGGGAGGGCCAGTGGTGCAGTATGAGTCTGAAGGCAGGAAACAGCTGATGTCCCCCAGTTTGAAGACAGTCAGGCAGGAGGAATCCTGTCTACTCTGGGGAGGGGGAGGGTTGGCTTTTTTTTTTATTCACATCTTCAGTGGATTGGATCGGGCCCACCTACATTAGGGAGGGCAATCTGTGTACTCAAAATTCACCAATTTCAATGTTGATCTCACCAAAAACAGCCTTACAGAAATGCCTAGAATAATGTTTGAACAAATATCTGGGCACTCCATGGCCCAGTCAAATTGGCACCTAAAATTAACCATCACACACAATGACTAAAAAAAAAAGTTAAAAAAAGAAGAAAAAAGTACAAGTACATCACCATTACATTTCAAAATACAAGAGATGGAAAGAAGATCCTTAAAATCTATAGGAAATAAATAGGTAAATAAATAGAGAATCCAAATGGCTTTAGACTTTTGAACAGCAGTCCTGGAAGCTAGAACATGATGGAATAACACTTCAAAAGACTTAGAGAAAATAATGTCCAAACCAGAATTCTTTTTTTTTTTTTTTTGAGATGGAGTCTTGCTCTGTTACCCAGGCTGGAGTGCAGTGGTGTGATCTTGGCTCACTGAAAGCTCCACCTCCTGGGTTCACACCATTCTTCTGCCTCAGCCTCCCGAGTAGCTGGGACTACAGGCACCTGCCACCACCCCCGGCTAATTTTTTGTGTTTTTAGTAGAGACGGGTTTTCACTGTGTTAGCCAGGATGGTCTCGATCTCCTGACCTTGTGATCCGCCTGCCTCGGCCTCCCAAAGTGCTGGGATCACAGGCATGAGCCACTGTGCCTGGCCCCAAACCAGAATTCTATACCCAGCAGGCATCAACTAAATATGTGGGTAGAAGATATTTTCAGACATAAAATACTCACAACATTTATTTCTCCAAGGCAGCCCATGCTCAAGAAGACACTCGGATATGAGAGTATGTACCACCAAAACAAGGGAGAAAATCACAAAAGAGAAAGATATGGGATCCAGCAAACATAATGCCCTACAGGAGATAAACAAAAGACATTCCCAGGATAATGGATAATGGTGAAGGGAAGTTCCAAGATGACAGTTAAGGCGTAACCAGTTCAGATCAGAGCAGGAAGGTGAAGAGTCCCAGGAGAAATGTTTCCAATTTATATATGTATGAGTTATTATATATGTTATATATCATATACTATATAGAAACTATAATATGTTAATATTATATATAAAAATTATATATAATATATATATATAAATTCAATTGATAGATGACCTGATTTGTTTCAACATATTGGGAGGAGATGATTTTTTTCAGAAAATTTAGGTGTAAGTTTGTAATGGATCCAATAAAACAATAAGCAATTAACTCCCCACCCCCCAACAGTTATTAAGTCTAGAAAAAACAAGTTGTACCAGAACTTGAAATAAATTAAAAATTATTTGTAGAAATGAAATAAATTGTACCATGAGGCCCAGTTGGAAGCAATATTTACGTGACCATGTTAATTTAAATACTGATTATTGATTTAAGCAAAAATTATGATACAACTATATTGGGAAGATGAGGTAACAAGAATTGTGTGTGTGGAGTGTGTGTATACTTGTGTGGGGTGAGTGGGTAGATAGTGGTATAAGGGTGATAATAGAAAATGAATATATCATAGTCATGTTAGTTAGAAATACAGATGTAGAGATTACAAGAAACAGCTCAAAGACAAGTGTTGGTCTTTGTGATATTAGAGTTTGGGGTAGTGCGGTGGTTTAAAAAGTATACCTACACATTCTGTAATACACCTCACTTTAAGAGGTGAGCTAGTTTCATCTTTCCTTGAGTGTGGGCTACTCTCATCCAATGAGTAGAATGAAGCAGATGTGACAGTATGTGACTTCTCAGACTAGGTCATAAAAGCCATTGGGACTCTTTTGTGTCGCTTTGGGTAGAATCAGCTGCCATGTCAGGTGCATGTTAAGGGCACTCAGGAAGTCCTGTAGAGAGGTCTACATGATGAGGAACATGTAATTGCAACAGAGAGGAGCTCAAGAGTCTGGGGTCTGTGTCATTTAGTGGTAGACTAAGTGATCATTTTCTAAGATAGGAAGAGGAGACTTTCATATTGTTTTTTTTTGTTTGTTTGTTTGTTTGTTTGTTTTTTGAGACAGTCTTACTCTGTCGCATAGGCTGAAGTGCAGTGGCACAATCTCAGCTCACTGCAAACTCCACCTCCCGGGTTCAAGTGATTCTCCTGCCTCAGCCTCCTGAGTAGCTGGGATTACAGGTGCGCACAACTATGCTAGACTAATTTTTGCATTTTTAGTAGAGACAGGGTTTCACCATATTGACCAGGCTGGTCTCGAATTCCTGATCTCAGGTGATCTGCCCTCGGCCTCCCAAAGTGCTGGGATTACAGGCGTGAGCCACCACTGGCTGAGACTTTCGAAGCACACATTTTAATAACTGCGTTTGAAAATATTTTAACTTCTTGGATATCCCTATAAGTCTTGCATGGTAAGCAACTCTGAATGGACTAATTAAAATGTCTAAAATGAAAGTAGAACAGATTGTTTAAATGTTCTCAACAAATGTTATGTGGCCTCTCAGAGTTTATTAATTAGTTGATTAATTGGTTCTGTTTATTTTCAAATATTGAATAGATATTCCCAGCTCCAAGACCAATACAGTTAAATTTTCTTCTATAGGGTGAATTTATTTCTAGGCACCCTTTCTTAGAGAGAGTGGCCCTTTGGTATTTTAATGTTGTGGGGTGGGAGTGGGTATTTCATTTCACTTGGGAAGGCCCTAGGTCTGGTCTGCTGTGGCTCACACACCACTGCATGGTAGCCAAAGCAGATGGTCAAGGTTGCAAGGGTTTGGTGAACAAAAGCGGACTTTGGTCCTTGTTTATATTTCTAGATTCCAGCTTCCACTTTGCTTTTGACCTCTGGGGAGTCCTTTTGTTTTTATTAGCTCAGTTATGCATTCGAGTTTTATTCAAATTACTATACTTAGCATTTTTTGTCATTTGCAGTGAGAGAGTTACTTAGGGTCTCTAGTCTTTTCTACTGACAAGGAGTCTAATTTAGATAGGCTAATGTTTGTGAACAGTTGGGTCTGTGATGTACAGTGGAAAAACAGATTCCATACTTTAGCTGAGGAAGCTCGAAAGAAGCTACCCCTAAGCTATGGCTATGGCAGGCACTGTTGAGGCCCTGACCACTATGCCCTCAGCCCACCTGCACTTGTCTGCAGCTGAGGCTAGTCCCAGGCAGGCTGAATTTCTTGCCTGAACATTTCCCTCTAGGAGCTAGGCTGAATACAGGTGTATCCTATAAGAAGTTTGGACGTGGAGTTGATTCTGTGCTCAACCCTCAGCCAAGGAGGGACGGGAGTTGATAGATAAATGCTCCACCTCGCTGTCCCCAGTTGTGTCACTTCTGAGGTGTGTGCCATGGAGTGCCTCAAAGGGTTCCAGCAGGACCATGCCCTGGATGTCCAAGAGGTAACTTGCTCATTCATGCACCCTCAAACAGGCCTGGGACTACTTCTCAAATAAACGACCCGCAGCCTTTTCTCAGGATCTGCTTTTGGGGGAGCCCTAAGACACCATCACATAGACATAAATCTTTTTTTTTCTAAACTCCAAATAATATAATCAGGCTCTATGGATTTTTAAGCCAAGGAATCAATCTTTCCATGTGAGTTTTCCTTGCTATAATACAGAAACAACTTCTCTTTGAATTTAGCTTTAAAGAAAAAAAAAGATTGACTTCCAATAATTTTGGATTGATTTGTGAAGTGTGGTGTTTTTGTTGTCTACTTTTTTTTTTTTTCTTTTTTTTTTTAGTTGGAGTCTTGCTCTATCACCAGGCTGGAGTGTAGTGGTGCCATCTCAGCTCACTGCAACCTCTACCGCCCGGGTTCAAGCAATTCCCCTGCCTCAGCCTCCCGAGTAGCTGGGACTACAGGTGCACACCATCACGCCTGGCTAGTTTTTTTGTATTTTAGTAGAGACGGTGTTTCACCATGTTAGCCAGGATGGTCTCGATATCCTGACCTCGTGATCTGCCCGCCTCGGCCTCCCAAAATGTTGGGATTACAGGTGTGAGCCATTGTGCCTGGCCTGTTGTCTATTTTAATTGAAATAATGCAAGAGGAAAAGTGCTGGTAAAGCTACCTTTTGCCTTGTCAGTTTCTGCTGATATTTCAATTCAATTTTTGTTTTTGAAATGTTTTAAAAGTATCCCAAGCTAGCCTGTTAATTGATCAAGAAAGTAAAGTGATAAATCTTTCTGGAAATTTCCATAGATGCAGACATGGTAGCACAAAGTGATACCACAGTGATTACTGCTGCTAAAAAGGGCGAGAAACTGAGTATGAATTAGTATTAATCCAAAGCTCTGTACAACAGGAAAAGAGTCGATATTAATGTTGGTAAGGATTCTTCCTGCTATATATGTTTCTTTTTCTTTTAATTTCTTACCTTTTTTGTTTTGGAACACAGAAATATTTTCATTTGCATGTTAGTTTTGTAATCTTTTCTTTGTGCCTGTCATTTCAACCCCAAACTCATCTTTCATTCAAGAGTTTTCAGAAGTTCCCAAAGTTAAAAATAATTGCAACTGATCATGTGTGTGAGTAGCTTTGATTTTTTGGTAGATGAGCGTTGGTGGTTTGAGATTTTCTTGTTGGTGATGCTGGAAGGGAGCTTTGAGTGAGTTGGAGTATGTATTATGGAGGGACAGGAGAGCAGTGTGGAAGATCATGGCCTTTGAACTCAAGTCCTCGCCCTAGTCTATGTACACCTCGACAGATGCTTTTTTCTCATCTGGAAAACCCGCTTTGCAGGGTAGTCATGAGGATTAAATGAGATAATCCATAGGAAGTCCTAAATAGGGTACCTGGCATGTGACAGTTCTGTACCTGCTAACTTATTGTAAGGCAGAAACCTTGAAGTGGTCTGAGTAGGATGGATCTCTTCCATTTCTATTCATGTGACTACAGCTTTAATTTCTGAAGAAATGTGGGGCTTAATTTTCCAACTCTGTATGGGAACTTTTCAGACCTCCTCAATTTAGTGCACTAGCATATTGTTGCGTGGTTTATTTCAGCTCTTGAAACAGCTAGTCCTGAAGCTGGAAGGATTCTCCCTCAAAATTGTAATTTCAACTCCAGCATTATCTCCAACATTGCTTTGGCTGTGGAATTTTGTTCTCAGTACTGTAACAGCACAGATTTGACCTACCCTATTCCTCTTGGCTCAGCTCCAGGAAAAATATTTTATTTCAGGGTTTGCCTGGATATTGTATCTTAGACCCCAAATTGTAGAATATAAAAATGTAGATAACAAAATTTTCAAGAGTCACCAACATAATAGACATTATTTATAAGTCATGTTGGAGTGGAGTTTCCAGTTCAGCATATACTCCGTCTTGGAGAAAACTGGCTTGAAATTGACAGCTACTGCAGAAAATCCAAATGTACCAGAAGAAAGTAAAGGACATAGTTTATTAGCTGCATCAAGCCTGTTCAACTGGCAGCCTGTGGGCTGCATGAAGCCCAGGAGGGCTTTGAATGTGGCCCAACACAAATTCGTAAACTTTCTTAAAACATTATGATTTTTTTTGGTGTTTTTTTTTTTTTTTAAAGCTTATCAGCTATAGTTAGTGTTAGTACATTTTATGTGTGGCTCAAGATAATTCTTCTTCTTCCAGTGTGGCCCAGGGATGCCAAAAGATTATGCCACTGAGCTAGATGATCTCAAATAAATCAGGGGTTCTGAGGTAAGAGGCGAGACTTGACTTTGGAGGCTTGGCTCAGACAGTGGAAACAATGGACCAAATAAAGTACTAGCTAAAACAGGGATGGGGCAAAAGCAGCTTTCTTTTTTTTTTTTGAGACAGAGTCTCGCTCTGTCGCCCAGGCTGGAGTGCAGTGGCACAATCTCGGCTTACTGCAACCTCTGCCTCCCGGGTTCAAGCGATTTTCTTGTCTCAGCCTCCTGAGTAGCTGGGATTACAGGCGTGCGCCACCGTGCCTGGCTAGTTTTTGTATTTTTAGTAGAGACGGGGTTTCATCATGTTGCTCAGGCTGGTCTTGAACTCCTGACCTCATGATCCATCTGCCTCGGCCTCCCAAAGGGCTGGGATTACAGGCGTGAGCCACTGCACCCAGCCAAAAGCAGCTTTCTACAAGACAAGACCACCAGCATGTCATTTCAGTTTACCATTGCCATGGCAACACCTGGAAGTGACTGCCCCTTTCCATAACAACAACCTCATAACCCAGAAGTTACCACCCTTTTTCTAGAAATTTCTGCACAACCTGCCCTTAATTTGTTTATAATTAAAAGTGGATATAACTGTGACTGCAGAACTGCTCCTGAGCTGCTACTCTGGGCACACTGCCTATGGGGTAACCCTGCTCCACTGCTGCTGTGTGCTGCCACATCAATAAAACTTGCTGATTAACACCACTTCCTTGCCCTTGAATTCTTTCCTGGGTGAAGTCAAGAACCTCCCCAGGCTAAGCCCCAATTTTGGGGCTCATCTGTCTTGCATCAGTTCCAGTGTTTTTTATTTATTTTTTTTTAAGGAAGATGGTGTACAACAAAGGATCAAGAGTGACAATTTCTTGTAAATGCAGTTGAATGATGCAGAAATCATATATGCCACAAGAAAAGATAAAGCTGAATATGAAGACAATAAGAACGATATAGAAGTAAAAATTTCTCATGTGGTGGCCAAAAAAATGCTCCCTTTACAGTGTATTAGACGACAGCATATATCTGTAATACAAATCAACAATATAGTAGTTACACAATGGAGGAACTACATGTGAACAATAGTATTCCATCTTCTAATGAATTAATATTAGATTTTATTAAATGAATGTATATTTACATTTTAGGGTAAAATAAAATGTTTAAGATATAGACTTATTTAAAATTATTTTCCTTCATTTAACCATTACATATATATATATATATATATATATATATATATATATATATATATATATATATATATATATATTTTAGTTAACCTGTCAAACATCAGCTCTGAATCAGATAATAGGACTTCTACTGTATTTTTAAATACCCTAAGTTTTGCTAGTTCCACTCTTGGCTTGATTCTTCTCAAGATGTATTCTACAATATGAAAATGTTATTGATCCTGTGTTGAGGGGAGTTGAGAGGCATCCAGAATTAGGAGACTCAGCCCCAACATCATCTAAATGGTACAGTAATTTTGTCACTGGCCAAGAGCAATTGTGACTGTTTAGGAGTGTAGGTGACTTGAACCTGTGGTCTTGATCTGCACCCCTTAGACTGTCTTGGGACATTTCCTACACCAGCAGTCAAACAAGCTCATACCCATAGACTCTGGAGCTGAAAGCTTTTAGGAGAGCCCCAAAGTTAGCCACATTTGAGAATCTGACCAGTGCACACTGGCGCCGTACGCTCTGTAAATACAATTGCGTGTTCCTCAGCTGCAGCTTTGCCGTGATGCCAACAGGTGAGGGCAGGGATGCTAGCAATTCTGTGGGCTAATAGAAATTGTTATGAGTTTATAAAACTGTTAATCTACATGCAAAGCTTTTATGTGCTCCTGTTTCAGTTACCTATGCCCTCCCCCACCTTATCACCCGTTGGCTGTTACAGAGTTGAGGAGAGAGTCCCTTGTGGATTGTATGAGCTTCAGAAAAATAAAGCAAACATAAAGATGAAAATGATTTGGCTCTCTGTTGATACTGTCTACGTGAACACCCACCCACTGCTTTCTCTCTACAATGAACAGGGCCCAATATGCTTCATGTTACAAGCTGCAGAGCTTCAATTAAGTAATTCAATCACCCTGTTTTGGTCATTATGCAGAATTGACAGGAAGCGTTCCTCCTGCTCCCACAAATTGCTGATATTCCTTCGGGAGAACTAAATAAAGACACCGTATTAAGAGGAACGTTAAGAAACCTGACAAATATGTACAATAGACAGCATAAGTCAGCTCATGTACAAAGGGAAGCGACCACAACCTCTGTCACTGCATTTTCACAAAAGTCCCTGTCTCAGATGATGAATAAAGTGCTCGTGTACTTTCTAATGTGTTTTTCTCATGACATGATGTATCTTAGTAGGCATGTTTATGCGATCGTGGTCTTTTCTTTTACCAAAGATCTGAATCAGAAGATGGAATATATGTTTAAGTGTTTTCTTCCTAGTTTGTAAATGCGATATTGAAATATACCATGCTAGAATTATGTGCTAATAGCCAACACTTGTTCTCCCAAGCTTTGGATCAGAGTAGCAAGCTACTACTCATCAGGAATACAGATACGAAATGAATATAGTCAACCATATTGTTTTGAGCTTAAAAGAATAAGAATGAAATCAAGCAAAGATTAGTCATTGTTTTCCTACATCCCTGTGCAGCATTGCTTCAACATAAAAATCCCTTATTAATGTTGTGTTACTCTTCCACTTCCCTTTTATTTCCAAGATCTTCCCTTTCACCCCAGTGCAGTCGCAGACCATTGTGACTACGCCTGGTTCTGTTGTTCTAAGGAAGTCCTCCACTGAACTTGGTGGGTTGGTAGGTACTTGGTAAAAGTTGTTGAGTGAATACTTCGGGTCTCTTTCTTTTTTTCTTGTCATTTATCCCATAGCCCATCCTGTCTACTAATCTTGCCTTTCTGTTTCCCTTACAAGCATCTTCAGTCATTCTAGTGTCTGGTTTCACCCAATCTATCTAGTAGATTTCTATGATCATGCGTCTTAGGGGTGTGGTGCCCTCTCTAGTACATTTGGTCTGTTACAGATACATTTCTGTTTGCAGTTTATCAGGCTTTCTTGCCTGCAGTTCCCCATCCCATCCCTACACCTACAGTGCACATATGCACATGTGTACATGCATGCATGTGTGCACGCACAGAAACGCACGCACACTTTCCCTTAACTACATAGCATGTAGTCAATAGTCATACAGATTGAGCATCCCTAATCTAAAATTTGAAATGCTCCAAAATCGGAAACATTTTGAGTGCAGACTTGGTGTCACAAGTGGAAAATTCCACACCTGACCTCATGTGAAAGATTGCAGTCAAAACACAGGAATGCCACACACCATTTATTCAGTGTTCCCAGGGAAATAAGATCTTCCCAGCCCCCTTCCTCTGTAATGTATCTTTCCTGTGCATGCCCACAAAGGGTAAGAAAATGGCAAGACCAGATACGCTAATGGCAAGTTCTGGAGATGCTACTGTGTTGTTTAGTTACCCTGAACACATTATTTCTTCACTGTATTAATGGTGTGTCATTTTTCTTTTTGTTTGTTTGAGATGGAGTCTCGCTCTGTCGCCCAGGCTGGAGTGCAGTGGCGTGATCTCGGCTCACTGCAACCTCCGCCTCCTGGGTTCACGCCATTCTCCTGCCTCAGCCTCCTGAGTAGCTGGGACTACAGGTGCCCGCCACCACGTCTGGCTAATTTTTTATATTTTTAGTAGAGACGGGGTTTCACTGTGTTAGCCAGGATGGTCTTGATTTCCTGACCTCATGATCTGCCTGCCTCGGCCTCCCAAAGTGCTGGGATTACAGGCATGAGTCACTGCGCCTGGGCAGTATGTCGTATTTTTTTACGGTTAAGTACTTGTGTGTGAGTAAGTATAAGACAATGGTTGCTTATTGGTAGCATATAAATTCAGAATGAGGAATGATCGTGATGCTTAATAACACAGATTTTGTCCACATGGTTGGCTGAGATGGTGACAGATTGGCTCTCCAATAGTTCAATGTACACAACTTTGTTTCATGCACAAAATTATTAAAAGTATTGTATAAAATTACCTGCAGGCTATGTGCGTAAGAAACATAAATGAATTTTGTGTTTACACTTGGGTTCCATCCTCAAGATATCTCATTATTGTATATGCAAATATTCCAAAATTAAAAAAAAATCCCAAATCTGAAACACTCCAAGCATTTCACATAAGGAATACCTAACCTGTATATACCAAGCCCTGACCTCTTCCCTCTGTTTTTTTCCAAGGTTTGAATGACCAGAAAGTGGTGGTTGAGCTAAGATCTGGAGGGAAAATAATCAAGGCAGAACTAAAGACTGGTACAAAGCCCTGGGATAGGCAGAATAATGTGAGGAAAAAATAAACCTCTATCTTGTTTAAGCCACAGTTACTAGGAATATCTTTTTTCGTCCCTTTGTTCCCAACCTAACCATGGATATTTATTTTAGGTATGTTTTATAGGAGTGTTTCATTTACATAGCATCTGGATAGATTTTTTTTTTTTTGAGATGGAGTTTAGCTCTTGCTGCCTGGGCTGGAGTGCAATGGTACAATGGTGTAGTCTTGGCTCACTGCAGCCTACACTTCGCGGGTTCAAGTGATTCTCCTGCGTCAGCCTCCCAAGTAGCTGGGATTATAGGCGCCCCCACATCACGCCCAGCTAAGTTTTGTGTTTTTCATAGAGACGGAGTTTCACCATGTCAGCCCGGCTGGTCTTGAACTCCTGACCTCAGGTGATCCACCTGCCTCGGCCTCCCAAAGTGCTGGGATTACAGGCATGAGCCACTATCCCAGTTGTATGTACGTAGATTTGTAACCTGATTTGAGAATTTCTATCTTTTGAAATCAGGCATTTAAGTTATTTATGTATATTATAATTATAGACACAGTCATATGCCTGCCGTCTTACATAGCTTTTCAGTTTACTATGCCTGTTTCCCCTTTTCCTTTTCCCTTTGTTGAATTTGCAACTATTCTTCCATTTTCTTTCATGTTCTATTATTTTCCATGATGTTTTGGAAATTATGTATAACTTTTGTAGTGATCTTTTAGTAATCACCTTCAAATTTATATTTTTCTTCAATGCCTAAAATTATTCATTGTATATTTATTAATTATGTACAAAACAACAATCTTAGCATATTTTACTTCATTTTCTCCATCTCATTAGTTTCTATGTTGAGATATCTTGGATTTTAGTTCTAGATTGTTATATATTTTAAAATCAATAATTAAACTGAACTATAAGTTTTTTTATTTTTCAAGAGATGGGATCTTGCTGTGTTGTGCAGGCTGGCCTTGAACTCCTGGGCTCAAGTGATCCTTCTGCCTTTGCCTCCTGAGTAGCTGGAGCTATAGATGCTTACGCCACTGCCCGTCTGAACGGTGTTTTACTAGTTTCTTTGCTTCGCACTTACGTTGTCTGTTACATCTTCATTTTAGTCCTTTGCGTTCTTACCTCTTTTCTATCATAATCACATTACGTGGTAGTTAATTGTGTGTCCCCTGGCTCTCTTGGTACATGATACCTGAAGACTCACTTTTGCATCTCCTGAGTTCCGCCTGTAGTAGCTACACTGTAAATGTTCGTTGAATGAATGTAAGCCCTGATACTCCATATCACCCCAGCCCTGTACTTTGATTTGCTTCCCTGTGTTTCTAGGTGACCTCATTCCTCCTGGTCTAGATCCTTAGGTGTTACCAGATCTACAAGCCTGTCTGCTCTCTGCCTGAGGTGCACTATGGTGGACATTAGAATTGACAGGAAACAGAACGGAACTCAGGGCTCTGGCAGATCTCCTGAGAGGAGGCACATTTGCTTTGCCATCTGACCCTCTGTCAATTGCTGAAGTTTATTTCCCTAGACATTTACATGTAGGGCGATACAGAGTAGTTGACAAGGTTGAGATGGCAGAAGGATGCAGGCATGAATGGAGGAGCAGCTATGTATTAACTTGGCAGAGGTGAGGATTGAGAAAACACGCATCTCAGGTCTTAGATGTGAGAAGAATCTTTAGATGGCTTGTGCATTTATTTAGCCATATGGTCTGGATATGAGAGTCAAGGCCGGATCCTTTCATAAAGAATATTATCTACTGATTTGTCCTGCCATGTTTTGTTATTCTGAGGGAAAAATACCTTACCCCATGGGAAGAATAGGGCATAAAATCCTCTATGTGTTGGGAAGTTTACCCTAGGCCTACATTTTACGTTGATTAAATTTCATTCTATTACTTCATCACTCAGGATACTACACTAAACTTTTCTTCTCCTTTGTTTATACCTTGAAGGCATTTATTGGCTATTATCATGGCTCCCTAGCTACCTTGGTTGTTGTTTGGGCAGGCAGTTTATTCTAAATGTTTATTTTTATACTTATCTCTTTAGTTCTGCCCTTATTATTTTATATTGTTTTTCCATCTTTGGCTTATGTCTACCTAATGTCAGGCTTTGTTCCATAAGGCTTAAGAGAGTTCTTTGAGCCATTTGGGCTGCTATAACAAAATGCCACAGATTGGGTGGTTTATAAACAACAGATGTTTACTTCTCACACTTCTGGAGACTGGCAAGTTCCTGATCAAGGTGCCAGCAGATTGAGTGTCTGGTGAGATCCTGCTTTCTGGTTCATAGATGTGTCTTCTTATGTTCTTATGTGGCACAAGGGTTGGGGAAGCTCTCTGGGGTCTCTTCTGTAAGGGCACTAGTCCCATTCATGAGAGTTCCACCTTCAAGACCCAGTCATCTCCCAAAGGCCTAGCACCATCCCCTTGGTGATTAGGTTTCAACATCTGAATTCTGCGGGGACTCAAACATTCAGCCCATAGTAACTTCCTTTCGTTTTCCTGTTTCTTAAGGTAGAAATTACTACAAGGGACCAAGAGCAATGTTGTCACAGGGAAGGATAAATTAGGACATTCACCTGGAGTCTTTTACCTTAGGGGGGGATCCTACAGTCATCCTGGGATGGGTGGGTGGACCTACAATGAAGTGACTCCAACTAGCACCAAGATGGTCCTGCCTACCTTTCCTTTTCCACATTTCTTCTCTCTACTGCCTCCCATCTTAGTTCATTCTGTGCTGCTGTAACAGAATACCTGAGACTGGCTATTTTAAAAGGAATAGAAATTTATTTCTCACAGTTCTGGAGGCTGGGAAGTCCAAGATCAAGGTGCCAGCATCTGGTGAGGGCTGCTTTCTGCCTCCAAGATGGCACCTCGAATGCTGCATCCTCCTATGGCAGAAGGTGGATGGGCAAAGAGTGATGAACTCCCTTCATCAAACCCCTTTATAAGGACACCTAAGGAAGGAGCCCTCATAGCCTGATCACTTCTTAGAGGCCATCTTTTTTTTATTTTTTCAGATGGAGTCTGGCTCTGTCATCCAGGCTGGAGTGTAGTGGTGAGATCTCAGCTCTCTGCAACCTCCACCTCCCAGGTTCAAGCGATTTTCCTGTCTCAGCCTCCAGAGTAGCTGGGATTACAGGCGCATGCCACCAGACCCAGCTAATTTTTGCATTTTTAGTAGAGATGGGGTTTCACTATGTTGTCCAGGCTGGTCTCGAACTCCTGAGCTCAAGTGATCCACCCACTTCGGCCTCCTAAAATGTAATGCCTGGCCAGGATTACAAGCATGAGCCACCATGCCTGGCCAGAGGCCTCACCTCTTAATATTATCACGTTGGTAACACATAAATTTTGGAGGGAACACATTCAAACCATAGCACACCCCCCCCCCCCCCCACTTAAAGTCCCCTTGGAACTTAGGAGGGGACACATTCATAGTCAGGCATCTGAAGCACCAAGGAGAAACCCTGATTTTTGTTCCTAGTGACCATCAACACTTACCTTCATCACTTACAGGAGCCCAAGAAGAAAGAAAGGTTTGGCTGTAGGCATGTGGGTGTGTGGGTGTGTGTGTGTGTGTGTGTGTGTGTAATGCTTTTTGCCATAGTAGCATGTTCAGACCTGCCATTAATAGCCTGTTAGTTGACTAAATTCTTGCAGTTGACTGAATTCTTGCCTTTCTCTCTGGGATGCCCAGTCTCTGAACTATGTAAAAGATTCAAGCATTTTAAATCTACACCCACATGAGATTTCACTCAGTGTAGGCTTTATGAATATTCATGCTGAAGTATTTAGCCTCAGGGTGTGAAATATTAATCTCTTACCTGAGTTTTACATCTAATTCTTTTTCAATGACACAGAGAAAAAT
Organism: Homo sapiens; assembly: GCF_000001405.40. Classification (NCBI taxonomy): domain Eukaryota; kingdom Metazoa; phylum Chordata; class Mammalia; order Primates; family Hominidae; genus Homo; species Homo sapiens. Next base: position 74,232,834 of record NC_000016.10, on the reverse strand, counting down.
TAAATGTTACCTGCCACCAGGGGCATCATTAGGATGAGCTCTTTGGGTTAAAGCTCTAAAAGAAGAACTCACAGTCTTAAATAATTTTTTTGCAGTTTCCCATTACGCGATAAGCAAAATTTTCAAAGGTATTACCATGGTTTTTATTAAACAGTGACTTTCTGTCTATCCAGATTTGACAAGCAAATAATATTAGAGTTGACTTCTATTGTGGTAAATATGAACAATTAAAGTTATTTTTGTTGCATTAGAATTTGTTATGAAGAATCCATGTCAAAGGAGTGCAATGCTTATCAATAGAAACTATGGGGAAGATAGACTTACTGTGATGAATGAGCAATGAAACCAAGTACTCTAAATCGAGCAGGAGAAATTAAGAAATAACATTGAGGTTGGGTGAGATGGCTCATGACTGTAATCTCAGTGCTTTGGGAGGCAAGGTGGGAGGATCACTTGAGGGCTTGAGGACAGGAGTTCAAGACCAGCCTGTGTAACATAGCAAGACTCGTCTCTATGGGAGTTTTATAATTAAAAAAATTTAGCTGAGCATGGTGGCTCACACCTGTAATCCTAGCTACTCAGGAGGGTGAGGCAGGAGGATCGTTTGAGCCCAGGAGTTTGAGGCTACAGTGAGCCAAGATTGCACCACTGCATCCAGCCTGGGCAACAGAATGTGATCTTGTCTCTAAATAAAACAAAACAAAAACCATTGGATTATGTTTCTGTTTTGGTGCATTTTTGTTTGTGCAGTATTTGTATTTTGTTTTCTGATGGTTAGTCTGAGAGTTCACCTGGGTTTTTCTGAAGCGGGTTGGGGGGTGATGAAGAGTGGAAGAAAAAAGACAGCTGAAGAGTAGTTTCTAAAACATTTGTTTTTCCTTTTTCTTATATCAATATTTATTGAAGAAAATTGAGAAATAATGGATAAATAAAAAAGAAAATAAAGAATACTTCTGAACTGATGACCAGGGAAATCTACAGCTATGATTTTAGTATGCTTTATTCAGTCTTTTATTCTATATTAAAAATTCAAATATGTATATTTAAAAAAAGCAGAGTCATGCTGTGGTGTTTTGTAATGTCTTTTAGTAATTTAAACGATGTTCTTGACATAATTTTAAGTAGCTGCTTAGTATTCTTTTATATGGCTGTATTATAATTCATTTAAACAATTAGATATTTTTATATTTAGGAAGCTCTTGTTTTATATTGTTATGAATGGCATTTCAGTGAACACCCTGAAAGCTAAATTTTTGCATATATCTACTATTACTTCTTATTCTTAGGATGAATTTCTAGAAATAGAGTTACTTAATTGGAGTATGTACATTTCACCACTGTAGATCTATATTGTCAAATTGCCCTCTAGAAAGATTGTCCCAGTTCATGCTTCCACACTCTCTCTAAAGCTGGTTATTATCATCAAAATAGATATTTGCAAATTTTATAGGAAAATGCTGGTAACTTATTGCTGTTTTTAATTTTGACAGATTTAAAATTCCACCTTAATCTCATATGAAATGTTTTTTTTTAAGGGTAGTTATTTCTTGATGAAGAATAAAAGAGCACAAGAAAATCTTATTCTTCCTTCTATTGGAAGGAGATAGAATTCCTTCAGAAGAAATGATTATTTCACATCAAAGATTAGTAATAATTCCCGAGTTGTGGAAATCATTGCATTGGTAGGGCATCCCTCTCTTGAGACACAGATCTTTTTCCACATCTTTTTATTATAATTAAATTCATTGTGATGGGATTTTACCTGTACGTAATCCAGCACATTTACAGTGAAAGAATTAATTGTGGGTTTGTAGAGCGATACTATCCCATGAGTCTAATGACTTTGATAGTATGATCTGGGGTTATAATTAAGAATCGAATGGGTGGCCTTGGGCATAGGCTCACCAAGAATAAGTAGATTATTTTCATCTTTTGGGTTTAATCTTAGGTAGAGAGAAGAATGCCCAAGAGATGAAAGCATGATATTCCAACCCCCAAACAGTATGTATATTCTTCTAGAAGAGTTACTATTATAGTAATGAAAATGTTGGTTTGGGCTGCGATATTCACTAATAAAAGTTCACTAATGTGTACATGAATTGACATCTCTGGCTCAATTTTGAACTCTGTTAAACGGTTATATCCATTTATTTTGGCAACTTAAGTTGGAAGATCAGCCTGGGTATTAAGAATTCCAATGAAAAACTGTAGCCTGGAGGCATCCTGCTAGTTTCTTATTTAAATGCTGCTGGAAGTCTGTCTGTCAGCACTCATACTTACTACTGAGACTATGATAGGTATTTGGTAAAAAATGATAGTAGATTATTCAGTTTGTGTATTGCTTTTGTTTTAAGACGCTGATAGTGATTATCTAAGATGATTGTTGTTTCTGTTACCCTTACTCACCTGTTGCAAACATTTTTCCCCCTCTGTCCCAAGCACATTATTGCCAGGTTAAATGTACTTAAAAGGAGCTGGGCACCGTGACTTTACACCTGTAATCCTAGCACTTTGGGAGGCCGAGGCGGGAGCTCGGGAGTTTGAAACCAGTCTGGGCAATGCAGTGAGATTCCATCTCTATTTTAAAAAAAGTACTTAAAGAACATTTGCTGAATTATATAGGGGTCATGTTCCATCATGCCAAAATCCTGTCTGAAATCTTGAAAGGCTGCCCTGACCTGTAGAATTACACAGTGATCGTTTATCTGCCAATCAAAACCCTTCGCAAAACTGGCCAGTGCCTACTTTTTTAGTTTCATCTGTCATGGTTTATATGCAGTGTTTTGTACCCTGAATAGAACTATTGCTTTTTTTTTTTTTTTTGCCTTTTTGTCTTATAAAAAGCTTCTCTCTTAACCTGGAGTGTGCTTTCCCTTCATTTGTACAGATTCTTGGGCTATGAGGTTTGGGAGAGATTTTCAATATTCATGCTTTCTGATTTTCAAGACCCAGAACATATAATCCTGTCTCTGATTTCTAGTTGAAATGACTTCTTTCCTCTGACTTTCTATGTACTGTATTCATACTCCCTTAAGACAGCATTGACTACATTTTGTCATATTTGTAGTAGTTTATGTACCTGTCTTATTCCTCTAATAGATTAAAAATTGCTTGGGGTGAGGGTTGACATTTTATTTTATTTTTTGAATTTCTTGTACTAGCACAGCACTGGGCATACATTAACTTATCAGTAAATGTTTAAATAAAGATGTAGTATTGAGAAATTATTAATGTGATTTTGTGGGTGTTGAATTATGACAAAGCATACATTTTGAGGAGATTCAGACAATGACTTTGCTGAATCTTTTTTTAAAATGGCATATTGAAAAACGTTATTTTTAAAAAAACCATTATATGACTTCAAGTTTATTAAAAATTTTTTTTTGGGGAAAATTACCACTTTTTTAAAATTTTTTTGAGACAGGGTCTTGCTCTGTCGCTCGGGCTGGAGTGCAGTGGCGTGATCATGGCTCATGCAGGCTCGACCATCGGGCCTCGCGATCCTCCCACCTCAGCCTCCTGAGTAGCTGGGACTACACGCCACTGCACTGGGCTAATTTTTGTATTTTTTGTGGAGACAGGGTTTTGCTATGTTGCCTAGGCTGGTCTTGAGCTCCTGGGCTCAAGCAGAACACTCACCTTGGCCTTGCAAAGCGCAATTACAACTCTTCTACAGCAGCATGTGAGTCTGACTTGACATATGGCAGTAAACATGTAGCATGTGAATTTTCCACTCACCCACTTTCTTGATTTCATCAATGTCATGTCCCACCATCCCCATATTTTTTCCCTCTTTCCTTTAGTCACCTAGTCATGATACTTAATCTTTTTAGACAGTAGCTTGTGGATTCATTGCCTTCTCTGTAGCTCAGCCTGAATCACTTTAACAACCACCTGGATGACCTCCCTGCCTCTTGCATCCCCACTCTTAGGGTGCTGGAAACACTCTTCAGATGTAGAAATGTCATCAATAAACCTACCCAGACATCATTCATGGGTTCCCGCTGATTAAATCCAGATTGCAGCATTGAAATCTCATCTGGTTCCATTCCACCTGTTCAGCTTATCTTGCCTTCTTTGGGGCCAAGTACTTTTCACTTAGAGAGCCATGCCTTGGGAGTCCTTCAGATTCAACATGCTCAATCTTTTTATCAGCCATCCCCAGTTTGTGCTACATGGAGCAGGCTTCTCTCTTCTTTCTCTCTCCCCAGGTTCTATCTCCTCCCAGGAGATCACAGAGGCTCTGGCCTCCCCTCTCTGGCCCATTTATTATGGGGTCTGTTTTGTCCATTTGGGCCTTCCTGCGCAGCTGTTGCATAGGCCTCGTCTCCCCAGATGGACTGGGCCCTTGCATGTGATTGGTCCTTGGGCAGATACCTTGTGATGTAAAGCAGGACTCATGATTTGTGTTTCTTTCATGTGGCCCTTGGTGCTTTGCACCATGCTTGGGATGCTTAGTGAACTTCTGAATGTCTCCAACTTGGGGAAAAGCTCTGTCTACAGTAGATCATGCTGCTTTTCTGAAGTTTAAGACATTTCTCCATAATAATTTTACTTAAGATCATGAATTTTTCTCCTCCCCCCCATTATAAAACCATTAAAAAAACACGTTGGATTCTACCCTAGCCCTTTTCTTTTCTTTTTCTTTTCTTTTTTTTTTTTTTTTTGAGATGGAGTCTCGCTCTGTTACCCAGGCTGGAGTGTGGTGGTTTGATCTTGGCTCACTGCAACCTCCACCTCCCGGATTCAAGCCATTCTCCTGCCTCAGCCTCCCAAATAGCTGGGATTACAGGGACATGCCACCACACCTGGCTAATTTTCGTATTTTTAGTAGTGACGGGGTTTCACCATGTTGGTCAGGCTGGTCTCGAACTCCTGACCTTGTGATCTGCCCACCCCAGCCTCCCAAAGTGCTAGGATTACAGGCATGAGCCACCACGCCGCCCAGCCTACTGTAGCACTTTTCATATGATAACTTCAGAACAGGTAACAATCAGAATGAAATGTAGCATCTTTTGGTGGACGGCCAAAACAAATTTATGCCTAAATCACGTATAAGTTGGCCACTGATTGGAGCTGGGTGTTGAATGTGCAGCTCAGGACCCCCAGCCCCTGCCTCCTGGGGTCAATTTAAACCCACTTAAACCAACTTTCTTAAAAAAACAAAGCAGGCCATGCACGGTGCTCATGTCTGTAATCCCAGCACTTTTGGAGGCTGAGGCAGGAGGATCGCTTGAGCCCAGGAATTTGAGACAAGCCTGGGCAACAAACTGAGACCTTATCTCTACAAAAAAATTAAAAAATTAACCAGGCATAGTGGCACATGCCTCTAGTCCCAGCTACTTGGGAGGCTGAGGCAAGAGGATTGCTTGAGCCCAGGAGATTGAGGCTGCAGTGAGCAATGATCGTGCCTTTGTACTCCAGCCTGGGCAACAGTCACAAAAGAAAACAAAATAAAACAACCTACGGCAATTTGGGAATTCTGTGATTTCATGAGAGTTGCCGATGGGATTCGTGTGTTCTGTGTCCCAGGCTGGTCCTGTCCAGGTGGCACTGTGCAGTGGCAGCCCCACAAGAGAGAGACACTGGTCCATTCTCTGGGCGGAAAGATGGAAACAGGACCAGAGCTTTCTGATGGCCACTTTGAAAACTCTCTGTCTCTTTCTTCCTCTCTCTTTTGCTAGTTATTTTGAATATATTTATTTATAAATCTAAGTACTATTAAAAACGAATCACTTTCTCCCTCTCACTTTCCCTCCCCTTCCCTGCCTCCCAGCAAACAAACAAACAAACAGATCCTAATCAATGCAATTTTTTCTTGTCTGGAATTAGATGGTTTCTTCCGGTATAATACCTATTTAGCTCTACTTTGTTATTCTGATTTTATAGCTAGTAAAGTTCTGTGAATATCAGGGGATCCAAACATGACAGTAAATCACACGTACCATTGAAAAAGCCAGCTGCAAGTTTTAAAAAGCCATCCTATTTATATGAATAGAGAGCTCTGTATTTTCTCCACAAGAGGGCAGGAAAGTCTGGGCTGTAAATAGAATTTTTCAAAAAATGTCTTTATTGGAAGAAGCGCTTTACTTAACTCTACATGCATACTTTTAAAAATATATAAAAATGTCCCATTGAAAAAGGAAGTTCTACGAGTGGGTGATTTGGAAAGTTTCTTAAATTTTTCTGGGCAGTGACTTTTCAGCATCGCTCAGCACTCTCTGCTTCTCCAGCTTCTAAGTCAGAGCTTCTAATTGCAGGACTTAGTGTAGCTATGCTCCTGTTAATTGACTGAGGCGGCTTGTCCTCACTGACTCATGATCTTAGACCCTTAATACGTATACAGGGAAAAGGAAGAGACCAGCATTTCACTGGAGGCTCCTGCCAATGAGAAAATAATGCCTGTGTCAAAGGAAAACAAAAATCACATAATAGACTTGAGACCAGTTCTGATCATATATACACATTCATACATTCTCCTGCTCATATTATTTTTTATTCTTCACTGCTTCCCACTGCCTCTCACCCCCACATCTTTTGTCTTTTTTTTTTTCTGTGAGATATACATTATAGGCCACACTGCAAAACCCATCTTAAATCTGTGATATCAAAAAACACAATGCTTCTCTCTCTTCTGGTGATCACAACAGGGTTGGCTTAACCTGTTAGGTCTCAGTGTGCTGGGATAACAATGGAATATGCAAGCGAAGGGGGAGACATTTGACAAATTCACTTTGTTTTCATAAAAATACAGTTGGTAAAATATTTGTAGCTTCAGATTTGGGGGCTGGATGCCCCTTAAATCCCCAGTACCAACTAACTTCCTTCCTCCCTCCCTCCCTCCCTCCCTTCCCCCTTCCCTCCTTTCTCTTCTTTCCCTTCTTTCCTTTCTTTCTTCTTCTTTTTTTTTTTTATAAAGAGCTAATAGACTATTTGAAAGATAAATTGTGTAAAACAATAAAGCATTAAAGACTCAATTTTTGCTTAAGGCTGATAGTGATTCCCCCCTGTAGGGCATGAAATTAAAATGTGTGCACAGAACGAATGATTGCTTCGATATCATGTTTTTAGTGGTGGTTGTCCTCTTGAAGGAGTTAGTGCTGCTCAAAAGAAATGAGGTGGAACAATTCAGGTGGCAAAAGATTGATTCAAAGAGGATGTTTATACAGAAAAATTATTGACAGCTCCAGACATATCCAGTTGACATAGCATATCAGTTGGTGACAGACATAGCAAAAAGATGTGAGAAAGATATCATAGAAGTAATATGAGGACTTTCTGTGTTAGTGAGATGTAAGTGTAACTAATACCGCTAACGTGCATACCTCAAATATAAGCAACGTGGCCACCCACACGCGCTGTTTGTTGCGATATGGCTGCTCAGAAACATACAAGTCATTTGGCACCCACTCCTTTAAGCACCATGACAGTTTGTAGCTTTAGGAAAGGTTCACTTGAAAAACCCCTTATGGTTTCACTCCTAATTACAGATACAGATGGCCACATGAATTTAAAAAAAAAATTTAAAGTGTAGAACATTGAGCCGTGCTGAAAGTTCATTTCAATCCTATGAATGCCTTATGTCTGTTTTCACAGCCTGTCTTCTTTTCCTTCTTATCTGTTTTTCTTTAGAAGTAGTGTAATGGGCAGTGTGCGTGTGTGTGTGTGTGTGTGTGTGTGTGTATGTGTGTACCTATGTATAATTTATATATATATTTTTCATTTTTCTTTTGCATTATAGCTCTTTTTTGCCTGTACCTAACGTGGTTAGTCTTGGTTGAGTGAATGATATCGCAGTGATTTTGGCTTTCTTCCAGCAGGCAGAGGGAGAAATGACAAAGTTGACCAAGAATTTCATAGCACAATGGGAAGAGGAATGCACTAAACAGACTTTACTCAAAGGAAACATGAGGAAAACATCTTATTATAAGATATATATTTAATATGTTTTTCATATTTGGAGAGAAAAGTTAATGTCTGGGAATGCCTTTTGATTCCCTGGCCAGAAGGATATGTGTTGTTTGACATCTCTCCCCACTCCTTCTAAGTCTTTAGATTAGAAATGATTTATTTACAGAGAAAAGAATGGTACTTTGATATACTATACTAATGTTAAACATTTATGGGGTTTAAAAATATTTATGAATGTGTAAAAGTTATTAAAGTAAATGTGTTTTGGGTTACCTTATGATCAGGTATAGTATGAATACAAAACCAGGAAATTTTATAAAAAAAAAAAGAAAATACATATAGATTTGTAAAGTTTAATAATCTTAGGGTATGCACATGTGTCTATTTTGTGTATAATTTAAAATACATAATCCTGTAAAATACAGACTTAATATACATAGGTATATTTTTAGAGTCATCATAAATTACAACGTTAAAGCTCCAAGAAAATTTCATTATAACTCTTTATTCTGAGTCACTCAAAAAATAATAAAAATTTTTCAGTAAAAACTTCCACAATTTGTTCTTTATGAAAAAAATGATCATTTGGGGAATATTGGACTGCTTTTTTGGGGGACATTAGTTTTAAAGGAAGAGAATTTTTATTTGCTCTATAAGATTTTTCAGGCCTTATGTACTTCATAAGAAAAACATTCAGTAAACTTACATAAAATTATACATGTGAGTAGGATACAAAAAGAGAGGCCGTGGAATATTTCAAGTTAAAGGAAAAATTTCTTCTATATCTTTATTAAGTCGATTTTTCTAGAAGCATCTACAGTGCTCAAAGGATAAATGCTTTTTTAGCAACATTAATAGCACACCTAATATGAGTCAAGCAAAGTCATCTTTTCTTTTTTTTTAAAGTATTTCAAGGAAATCAAAGACCCCAAAATTTATTACTCCAAAAATAAAAGGGTTTTAAATTCTTTTTAGTTTTCTCTTTGCCTCTGGGATTTGTAAGCCTAAAAGGACACTTAAAAATATGCATATATCGTGGTCCTTATGTGGTCATCAGAAGAGTGGCTAGAGAGGTGAAGACCCACACATGTTGCAGGGAAGTTGTCTTCCTGCTCCTGCCTTCTCTCAGTGTCCAGGCCCCCGTTGTGACTTTATAGCTAACCAGGATCCTAACATATGAAAGCCTCACAGATCTGCTTTCACTGTGGAGAGCTGTGGGTTTCCTTGGGGCAGCTGAACTTCTTTATGTACATTTTTAATAATTTTGCCACATCAAATTCTTCCTAGGCTATTTATAATTGTTGAACACTAGACAGTTTCCATACACATTGAGGACTGTCATGATCATTTAGTTTATGCAGGAAATGAATATTTTAATCCTGATTCTATTATTGTGGGTGGAAGAGGGGGGAAGGTCAGGTCCACAGACTCACGCTACAATTTTATGCTTTGCTTTGGTGCAATAGCTGTGGCTTATACTACATCTTAATTATTGTGAAAGTGAGTAAAATGTACAGACAAGGTAGAATTTTTTAAATGAAAACTTTATATAAGGAATCACCGTATCATTTAGAGAGAGTAGTAAAATTTATCATTTAGAGACAGTAGTTAAAATCTGCATGTCTAAAATGCACTCCTTTCTTCTATTTCAACTTGCATTTTATAATTAATATAGCCATTTTTTTGTGGGGGAGGGATTTGAGATGGAGTCTTGCTCTGTTGCCCAGGCTGGAGTTCAATGGTGTGACCTCAGCTCACTGCCACCTCTGCCTCCTGGATTCAAGCAATTCTCCTGCCTCAGCCTCCCGAGTAGCTGGGATTATGGGTGCCCACCATCATGCCTGACTAATTTTTGTATTTTTAGTAGAGACAGGGTTTCACCATGTTGAACAGGCTGGTCTCAAACTCCCAACCTTCAGTGGTCCACTTGCCTTGACCTCCTCAAGTGCAGGGATTACAGGTATGAACCACTGCGCCTGGCCAAGTATAGCCATTTTTGATTGTACTTGATGACTATCAAAATCTTGAGGGCTTTTACTCTCAGAATGTTAACTGTGATTCTGTCACCTAGAGTAGAAAATAAAGTGGAGAAGTATAAAATACAGATTGGGACTAATTAAATTGTCTAAATGGAAAATATATGTAAGAGCTACCTTTATGCAAACGTTAAGTGGATGTGTTTTTTTACTCCGGTAAACCAAGATACCCTGGGGCCTACCCCTCACTGAAGCACAGGTTTCAGTGTCAGGGGAAAGGTGAAACAGCCGAACAACCAAGTCACTGCTAAGTTTTGGCTACCACATTAAGCTTTTGGAAGTCACAGTGAGATAGTAGTTTTGAGAGCCAGACTTTGTAGAGAGAGAAAAAGGACTTCTGCTTCTCAAGGCTCCTTTTATATGATCCAGACACAAGAAGCCAGGGCTGAGATGGGGCCAAGTCTCCAAACATGGGGAATCCCCAGGACTCCAACAGTCGCAAGAGAACAGACCACAAGTTCCACCAGGTGAGGACTTCAGCAGGTGGCCAGAAGAGAAAGAGCCATCTCTCAAGAGGCAACAGGGGCACTGAGGGCCTGGAGGACAGCTCAGGGTCTAGCCTTTGAACATAAATGTTGCAAAAACAGTACAAAGAACTCCCCTATACCCTTTGCTTAGATATACCAACTTTCCACTTACACGTTAGCATTCTCTATCTTTATATGTGCACGTATTACTAATTTTTGAACCATTTGAGAGTAGGTTGCATACATAATGCCTCTTTTTCCCTTTAGTCTTTCTGTGTGTATATTTTTAAGAACAAGGTCATTCTCTTCCATAATCACATCAAGTTCATGAAGCTTAACACTGATACATTGCTTCTGTGTCATCTGCAGTGCATATTCAAATGTCATCACTTCTCCCAATGTTGTTCTTTTTAGCATTTTCTCCCCAGTCCAGGATTATATTTTGAATTAATTTCCCTGCGAGACTGAGTCATTGTTGACAAATTGTAGCCCATTTTGTCACTCCATAATACCCAGCCTCCATCTGCCAGAATAGGCACTTCAGAGCAGGTTTCGTTTTTTCTTATTTTTGCCTATTTATGTATAGTGCATGTTGAGTGTATATCCATTTCTATTTCCAAACACTGAGCCCCGTATGTAGAGTTGAGGGATTTCATCTTTATCCTGCATCATTAATTAGACTTCAAGCCAAGTAGCCGAGAGATTTTTTACTTCTGCAGCCTTGGAGGGTGCCCTAATGAAGTCAGAAGAGAGGTAAGGTCATATATTTTTTTTTTTGTTATTTAGTTTTTATTTCATAATCATTTACTTAAGTTTTATTTCAAAACTTAACTCTGCAATCCAGCCAGGCATGGAAGGGAAGAAAGAAAACATGGAACCCAAAGGGAACTGCAGCGAGAGAACAAAGATGATAGGATACTGCAAACAAATGGGGTGGAGGGTACTCTCCTGAGCTGCAGAAGGAGTGGTCTGCTGGTTAAGATAAAACACAAGTCAAATGTATTCGAGTTGTCCACAGTCAGCAGTGGTGATCATCTTGCTGGTCTTGCCATTCCTGGACCCAAAGTGCTCCATGGCCCCCACAATATTCATGCCTTCTTTCACCTTGCTGGAGACCACATGCTTTTGTCCAACCACTGTCTTGGCAGTGCAGATGAAAAACCGGGAACCGTTTGTGTTGGGTCCAGCATTTGCCATGGACAAGGTGCCAGGACATGTATGCTTTAGGATGAAGTTCTCATCATCAAGTTTCTCCCCGTAGATGGACTTGCCACCAGTGCCATTATGGCATGTGAAACCACCACCCTGACACATAAACCCTGGAATAATTCTGTGAAAACAGGAACCCTTATAACCAAATCCTTTCTCTCCAGTGCTCAGAGCATGAAAGTTTTCTGCTGTCTTTGGAAGCTTGTCTGCAAACAGCTAGAAGGAAATGTGGCTTAAGGGCTTGCTGTCGATGGCCATCTCGAAGAACACGGTGGGGTTGACCATGGCTGATAGTATGGGGCTCCTGGTGGCAGTGGCATCTGCCTATTTAATTTATTTTTATTTTATTTTTGAGATGGAGTCTCGCTCTGTTGCCCAGGCTGGAGTGCAGTGGCATGATCTCGGCTCACTGCAACTTCTGCCTCCTGGGTTCAAGCGATTTTCATGTCTCAGCCTCCCGAGTAGCTGGGATTACATGTGCCCACCACCAGGACTGGTTAATATTTTGTATCTTTAGTAGAGACAGGGTTTCACCATGTTGGCCAGGCTGGTCTCGAACTCCTCACCTCAAGTGATCTGCCTGCCTCACCTTTCCAAAATGCTGGGATTAAGGCATGAGCCACCGCGCCTGGCCAAAGGTCATATATTTTAAAATAATAATATTTTATTTTATTACCAGCACAAAGCACTAAATATACATACGCTTATTTAATCTTCAAAACAAATCCATGAAGTAGGTTGAAATCCTCCATGGCTCATACGACCAGTGTTGTCTAGTGTTTGTCAGTTCCCTCCACCTGCTCATTACTTTTTTGCTCACCCAAAGCTTTATGTTTTTTTGAAGGGCTGTGTTATTTTCCATCCCAGGGTCTATACCCATGGCCGTTGTCTGGAAATTCTTTGCCTCACTGTTTTTCAAAGAAGCTTAGCTATGGAGGGAAGGTAAGAGTTAAACTGGTCAAGGGAGGCCAGGCGTGGTGGTGCATGCCTGTAATCCGCCACTACTTGGGAGGTTGAGGTAGGAGAGTCACTTGAACCCAGGAGTTCATGACCAGCCTGGGCAACATAGCAAGGTACCCTTCTCAAAAAAATAAACATGTCAAGGGATGGTTTTGTGGTAGTTCTTATGATTGTTGATGCTTCGTATTGTAATGACAGCCACATATCTATTGTATAAGCTGCAGAGGAAGAGTTAAGAGACAGGAGGAAGATACAGAGGAAAAAGGAAATGGGTGGAGGGAGGTTCCTTAAGAGGAGGGTGGAGATGAGATACAGAAGAGATGAGCTTTTTACAGCTGGGAAAACTCATTGGCAGGCATGCCAGAAGTTGAGGGAGTTTGGCTCTGCTAGTCTTTACTTTTTACTGTTAAAAGGCTCAGTCATTTCCTTGAATGTTTACACAGAGGAGGTTAAAGATGGAGGAGAGGATGGAGGATGAGGGTTGATAGACAATATGACCAAATTATGTTTGAGAAATGGGGACAAAAGGATACCTGCACCCTTGCTGTTATGTTGGACCCCTGGAAAGCAAGATGATTTTAGAAGTGTCTTGCCTGCAGCACAGGGTGGGATCAAAAGAAATGTCGGTGGGTGTCCGAGAGAGCCCCATGGAATCCTGGCCTACTGGGGGACCAGTAACATTTTCCCATGTGGCTAGAGTGGCACAGGTGTACTACATGGGGCTTATGGGGATGAGGAGGAAGCAGCAGTGACCTGTAAGAGCCGACAGGATGGAAATGAGAACATTTTAGAGGACGCCAGCCCATGGGATAAAACTGATGACCCCATTGTTCTCCTCTGTGCCTCAGTCTTGTCTAAGACCTCCTAATGAGAGATGATGACAATCTGGGGAACACTGAAGGACTTTCCTTAAAACTATGTGCCCTAAAAAATTTAATTGGCTTACCAATAACATAGAAAATATCTTACAAGGCAAACTCGAGTTCAGCTATTTTTTAAATGGGAAACACTTCGAAATGTTATTGTTACAAGGACTGAATTCGTTGAGGAATTTCCACTGAGAATTGGAACTGAAAGAGATGTGCCGTGATAGAAATGGAAATCTTTCTCTTATGAGCCTTTGGAATATAGACCTTTTTACTTCCCAGTAATTTTCTGCCTGAAGCGCTGACATGTCTAATTAATAATAATATTCTATTGAACAGTATGATTAATCTGAGAGATCGTTATGCACAAGTAGATTAAAAAAGCAACCTAAATCCCCTTGGTCTGATTTAAGATAAAATAAACCTGAATTTCTTATCTAGGGAGATTTTTTTTTTCTCCTTGTGATGTAACTCGAGGGTACGTTCTATTTCTGTGATTCTTCTGGTGTGTGTTCTTTATTATCTGATGAACTGCAAGGAGACTTTCGAATACAGTACCTATTCAGTCGCACCTCTCCAATTCAATGATAATTTTGTGTAAGTATTTGTATGTGAATATTATTTTTGCAGAATATATCAGTTACTTAATATCTTTCTGTTGTTAGCTTCATATGGGGCAGAGCTGTTAATCTTAATATTTTACTAATAAGAACAAGGAATCATTTGGGAAAAATCAGGTAGCGAAGGACCCCATGGGATATTTGAGCAATTCAGGCTTAAAACTGCCTGATTCCTGAGCTGAAAAAATGACAACAGCATTGTTTTCCAAGTTCAGCAACTGAAAACAACATAAATGTTTTTGCTTTCTCAAAAGGCTATTTTAAGGAAGTCTGGGTATTTTAAAAGTTGTTGTTCCTTGAATTTTTCATTTACTGATGGCAAGATTTTTGATAAACTTTCCCTTACAGCCAGGCACTGGAGTAGAGTGAGTAAAATCTAGCTTTGGGGGTTTTGTGGCTTCAGGTTTTACCTGCTGTGGGACCTTGGTTAAGTTGGTTAATGCTTCAAGGCTCAGTGTCTTCATCCCTATAATGGGGAGATCACCTATTTCCTAGGCAGAACCTCCCTGATGTGTCTGCCTCTCAGACAGATGTTCTGAGATGTTGGCCAGGTGCGGTGGCTCACCCCTGTAATGCCAGCACTTTGGGAGGCCGAGGAGGGTGGATCACTTGAGGTCAGGAGTTCGAGACTAGCCTGGCCAACGTGGTGAAACCCTGTTCCTACTAAAAATACAAAAAAATTAGCCGAGTGTGGTGGCAGGTGCCTGTAATCCCAGCAATTTGGGAGGCTAAGGCAGGGGAATTGTTTGAACCCAGGAGGCGGAGGTTGCAGTGAGCCAAGATCACGGCACTACACTCCAGCCTGGATAACAAAGCAAGACTCTCTCTCAAAAAAAAAAAGTTCTGAGAATCCCTTTGGCCCTGTCTCTCTAGGAATTCAGCAGTGGGACAAACTCAGTTTCTGTATGTGCTAAGTAGTGGGAAATTTGAGGTGGCAAAACCAGTTGTGAGAATTAAGAGTATTTGATGAAGGTAAAGCCTTTAGCTCTGCTTGGGACCTCATTGTTATTTGATAAAAGCCAGCATCCATTATTACTTATTAGAAAATTCATCACACCTTCAGATCATATCTACGTTATTTTTAGAGATAAATTTGTCTTCTATTCGATTGTCTTTCATCTGGAATTTTAACATTTCAAAGATATATCCATCAGCTAAACATTGGAGCCATTTAGCACTTAGCTAAATTTCATAATAGCACGTGGGCATATATAATCTTATACAATTCACAAAACACTTTCCATATCATATTATTTTAGTATATGGTCACTACTGATTATGACCAAGTATAACATTTGATTTTGCCTAAACTGATTATCTCTGGGCATCTTAATCAATGATCAAATTTGGAAAGTTCATGAAAAGGCCACTCACAAGTACATACACACACACACTACACTCATCTATAGATGGTTTAAGATACATACACTGCTTGCTGCTTAGATATTGATATTTATAAATGGTGTTAGAGATGTAATAATTTGTACTATTGTATAATAAAACTACTGATTGGCATTTAGTTCCTATAATTCCTTTCAGTGACTATAATGGAGTAGAAAAGAGTCAACAAAAATGGCGGAAACGCCTCATAGTTAAGATAATGTAAGTGAAGTTTTATTTATTTATTTATTTATTTATTTATTTACTTTTAAAGAGACGGGTCATGCTCAGTCACCTGGGCTGCAGTTCAGTGGCATGATTGTAGCTCACTACAGCCTTGAACTCCTGGGCTCAAGTGACCCTTCCATCTCAGCCTCCTGAGTAGCTGGGACTACAGGCATGCACCACCATGCCTGGCTAATTGTTTTATTTTTGTAGAGAGAAAGTCTTGCTGTGTGTGTGTGTTTTTTTTAATCTCAAAAAAAAAAAACCCACAAAAAACCGACTAGTTCTAATAAAGTATATTGAAATTGATGGTGATATTTTCATCATACATATCTTTCCTTAAAGTGTGCATACACTTGATAGACTGCTCTTCATATAAACATGCATGATCACATATAAACACTCTTGGTGTTAAGAGTTGTCAGCTCTGATAGAAACTCTTCCCATGACAGTGTGGGACATGGAGGCCCAGAGAAGTGAAGTGACTTCTCAAGGCCACATAGCTTATTCATGATAGAACAGGCACAACTAGAGCCTAAGGAACTGTAATGCAATTTCCACTGCCTCGCTCCTCCTCTGTGGGTGATTTCAGGAGCCCTCCAGAAAGTCAGATGCCTCCTGACTCAGCTAATTTTTTCTTCACTTTCTGTGATCAGAGATGCATACCTTCTTGGTTTCATCACTGCTTAGCATAGTGCAAGTAGCTCAGGCTTTTGAGGCAGATGAACTCGGGTATAAAATCTAGCGCCGATACTCAGGGCTGCCACATTGCACAACTCCAGGGGGCACCACTCCAAGGTGGTTTATGTAAATAGAGCCTAGATTAACAAGAGGCACTTAATAATTTGTTAGGAGTAGCATCAACTACTGCTTTTTGAATTTGGAAGCTGACATGAGTGGAATTTTTTCGTAGTGAGGACTCTGTGTTAAGAGCCTGTCTGGACAAGGAGATGTATGTATGTGTATCTATTGCTTTAGTAAATGTCATAAATGCACACAATAAAAACTATGTGAATGTGGATGCCACTACTTCAAAAGCTGTGGTCATGGGGGCAAGAGCTGGGGCAATGGGTGTTATCTTCTCTCTCTCTCTCTCTCACTCACTCACTCCCATTTCCTTTGAGACATCCTGACCCACCACTCGTCTTCCCATTCCAGATCCCGAGTGAAAGGCCTGGCCACCTCTGTTGACATGGTGAGCAGCTAATGAACCTTTGGGAAGTTGCAAAGGGGACAGTTTGCAGGTATCACTTCTGTCATCGCTCAGAGGGCAGGAATGAGGATGGGAGAGCAGCCATCTTAGCTCTGCTCTCCATTTGTCTGTGAGGTTGGTGAGAACTTTCTGAGACTCTTCTAAAATCTTTTCTATTGTCCTTTAGTTTCAGAACTACTGGGATCTAAATTTTGGTCCCAGAGGCTGGGAACCAGTGCGAGAGATTGAATTTTCTGTAATGCTTATGGTCTATTGAGCAAATGAATAGCATCTGAAAATGGCAAGACTCTATAAAATTAAGAAAATGAATTGTTTTCAAGCAGTTTTAGAGGAACCATTTACATACGGACAAGATAATTATGATATAACAAAAGCTTGTGTTATTTAAGGTGGGGCTTTGGTAGTCTAATTTAGTGGGTGTCTGTAGTAGATCATCATCATAACAGCTCCCAGTGAATCAATGCCTCCCTGCATCCACACCCCTTTGTAACATGATATTGTTGCTCTTCCCATCAAGAAATGGTCTCTTTTGGCCGGGCACAGTAGCTCACGTCATCCCAGCACTTTGGGAGGCTGAGGCAGGCAGATGGCTTGAGGTAAGGAGTTCGAGACCAGCCTGGCCAACATGGTAAGACCCTGTCTCTACTAAAAATACAAAAACTTAGCCGGGCGTGGTGGTGTGCATCCCAGCTAATCAGGAGGCTGAGGCAGGAGAATCACTTGAACCTGGGAGGCGGAGGTTGCAGTGAGCCACGCACTCCAGCCTTGGTGACAGAACAAGACTCTGTCTCAAAAAAAAAAAAAAAAAAAAAAAAAAAAAAGGAATGATCTCTTTCTCTATCCCCTTGAATCTAGGCTGGTCTGCAACTTGGTTTGAATAATACAAAGGGATGGAAGTAATGTTCTCAACTTCCACGCCCAGGTCTTGTAGCTTCTGTTCCCATGGAAGGGACCCATCCGTTATGTAAAGAGGGCCAGGCTCTTCTGGAGGGAGAAGCTGTGTGGAGCACAACCAGCCCCAAAGTGCCACACGTATGAGTTAGGCAGTCTTGAGTCCGCCAGTCCTAATGGAGCCACTGCTACGCTGAGTCCTACTCAAATTCTTGACCCATAAATGTGTAAGCAAATAAAATAGTGGTGGTTTTAAGCCACCAATAAGCTTTAGTGTGGTTTGCATGTGGCAATAGATAATGAATACAGTCACAATTCTAGCTGCTAATCAGAGTCTAGCTGCTAAAAAAATTTAGGAACTTTTATAAAAAACAGATTACTTGGCCAGGTGCAGTGGCTCACGCCTGTAATCCCAGCACTTTGAGAGGCTGAGGTGTGCAGATCACTTGAGTCCAGAAGTTCGAGACCAGCCTGGCCAACATGGCGAAACCCTGTCTCTACTAAAAATACAAAAATTACCTGGGTATGGTGGTGGACTCCTGTATTCCCAGCTTCTTGGGAGGCTGAGGTGGGAGAATCACTTGAACCTGGGAGGTGGAGGTTGCAGTGAGCTGGATAGTACCACTGCACTCCAGCCTAGGTAACAGGGTGAGACTCTGTCTCAAAAAAAAAAAAAAAAAAAAGCAGATTACTGGGTTTTGTCTCCAGAGTTTATGATTTGGGACATCTAGTGGGGAGAGGACTGTCTCAGCCTTCTATAATCTACATCTTCCCCCACCCCCATGCAATTTTTATTTGAAACAAGTTTAAATCTGTAGAGAGGTTGAAAGAATAGCACAAACATCTAAAGAAACTTCTCCTGGATTCACCTATGGTTAACATTTTGCCATATTTGTATCAATCAATCAATGTGTTTGTCTTTTTGTAAAATCATTTGACAGGAAGTTGCAGATGGCAAGTCACTTCATCCCTTATCAGGGGTATAAGGGATTCTTACATCCCCGTCTAAGAAAAGAACATTTTCTTACATGACCACATTATCATTGTCACAACCAAGAAAATCCACATGGATTCAATCATATCATTTAATTTATAGTCTATATTCAAATTTCCTAAACTTGGAAATGTCCTTTATAGATTTGTTTAGTTTTAATTTTATTATTTATTTTTATTTTGAGACAGGGTCTCGCTCTGTCACCCAGGCTGGAGTGCAGTGGCGCGATCACGGCTCACTGCAGCCTTGATCTCCCAGGCTCAAGCGCTCCTCCCATCTCAGCCTCCCAAGTAGCTGGGTGATAGGTGGCTATTTATTTATTTATTTTTTATTTTTTTAGAGATGGGGTTTGTCTATGTTGCTAGGGGTGGTCTCAAACTCCTGGGCTCATGTGATCCTCCTACCTCAACCTGTCAAAGTGCTGAGATTATAGGCATGAGCCATGGTGCCTGGCCTCACCAGCAAATTTAAATCGTAAAAGTTGCTGATGCCAGCTGTTTCTACTTCCTTACTTCTCATTCTCTTAACACGGTTGTCCATCTTCTGTCCTCTCCACTCCACTGAAATTCTAATGTCACCAACAACCTCAGTGATTTCCACCCCAGTGGTTATTTCTATGTCCTCACATTCCTCGACTTTTCAAGTGCTTTCCCTGTAGCTGACCACTTCCCCCTTCTTGAAACACTATTTGTCCCTTTGGCTTTTGTGACATCACACTCTCTCCTGGTTTCCCTCCTACCTCGGTGGCTGTGGCTTCTTGGGCTCTTTTGTGGATCTTAGTCTTTTCTGCTTGACCTCTGCGTGTGGGGGAGCCTCTGGGGTCTCTTAACCTATTCACTTTTCCCCAGCTAATCTCATTCAGTCCCATGACTTTTCATCTATATACCGACAGACTCCTAAAGGATTATCTAGCCCTGCCTTCTCCTCTGAGTTTCAGTCTCATATAACTGACTGCCCACATGGTACCTCCACTTTGATGTATAAGAGGCGTCTCAAACCTAACATGTCCTAAACCATTTTTGATCTCCCTCCCCTACCTGGCTTCTGCCCTGGAATCTTCCCCATGTTCATTGCTTTATCTACTCAGTCCCTGAAGCCAAAGCTTAGGGATCCATTTCATCTGTTTTCCTCACTCTGCACTGTCAATCCTTTAATAGGACCTGTCAGTCTGAAAGGGACTCTGAAAGTGTCTGAATTTTCTCACCTGCACTGCCGCCTTTCTTGGTTGATGGTCCAAGCCACTGTTATCTCCAGCCCAGGTCACTGTAAGCCTCTAAACTGGCCTGATTCCTTCTTACTTGCTGATCTATTTCTCTAATGATCTCTTGTTACTCCGCTGCATAAAACCTGCACAATTTCTAACCTGGGCAACATAGCAAGACTCTATCTCTAGAATAAATAAAAATATTAGCTGGACATGGTGGTGCATACTTGTAGTCCCAGCTACTCAGAAGGCTGAGGTGGGAGAATTGCTTGAGCCCAAGAGGTCAAGGCTGCAGTGAGCCATGAGTGTGCCACCACACTCCAGCCTGGGTGACAGAGCAAGACCCTGTCTCAAAATTAAAATAAACATTAAACTCCATCATATTTAAAATCCAAGCTCCTTCCCTGGGCTGTAAAAACCTATGTGATCTGACGAGGTCAGGAGATCGAGACCAGCCCTGCTTGCCTGCCTCTGCAACTTCCCCTCACTCACTGTGCCATAGCCAAATCGGCCTTCTCTCAGTTCCTTGAACCTGCCAACCTTGTCCCTTCCTCAGAGGCTTTGCACGTGTTCTTCCTTCTCCCAGAGTGCCCTTCCCCCTGGGTCTTTGCATGGCTTTCTCCTCTCCAGCCTTCAGGTTTTGACTCAAGGGTCACTTCTTTAGAGAAGTCTCTCTTGACCACCCAAATAGAAAGTAGCCGCCCTCCCCGAGTTACTCTTTCTCACATCTTGCTGTTTTATTTTCTTCAGAGCACTTATCTATTTTAATATTGCTTCCTCGTTTGTTTACTAGTTTTCCATTTGTCCTTTCTACATTTAGGGAGTTGGGTTCTTCTGCGATTTGTTTACTGTTGTGTCTCCAGTATTTTTAGAAGTGTGCCTGGCACGTATTAGGTAGTAAATGACTGGAAACAGTGAATGGGCCGGTGGACAATCCCAGTATTAGAAACCCGGGATTCACCCTGCTCTCCTGTGCTCCTGCTTTCTGTTCAGTAGCCAGGTGCTATTCATTTTGTATTCTTGATTTTTCTGAGCTCTATCCCCCTTCCCAGCTACTACCACTGGCTTGGTTTTTTCCATCAGCACCTAGACAGTTTCCCAGTCACTAGTCAAGGACTGATCCCTGCATGTGTTTTTTTTCCCCTCTTCCTCCAGGAAGAACAAATCAAACACTCTCTGTGCCACCATGATGTTCCCAGATCTACTTCCATAGGACCCCTGAAGCTTTATTGCACAAACCCTTTGCTGTGTTCGCCTCCTCCTATTATAATCCCCCTGGAGTCAGGGATCCCATCTTCCTGTTTTTTTTTCTTTTATTCTTTTTTTTTTTGAGACAGAGTCTTGCTCTGTTGCCCAGACTGGAGGGCAGTGGCACAATCTCAGCTCACTACAGCCTTGACCTCCCAGGGTCAAGTGATCCTCCCACCTCTGCCTCCCAAGTAGCTGGGATTATAGGCAGGTGCTACCACGCCTGGCTAAGTTTTGTATTTTTGATAGAGATGGAGTTTCGCTATGTTGGCCAGGCTGGTCTCGAACTCTGAACTCAAGTGATCTGCCTGCCTCGGCCTCCCAAAGTTCTGGGATTACAGGCATGAGCCACCACACCTGGCCTGTTTTTTCATCCCAAATAATTAACAGTGTGCCTGGCATGTAGTAGATATCTGATAAATGTTTGAAAGAAGAGGATGAATGAACACGAATGAGTTTGACTAAATGGGTCTACATAAAAACAGCTACAATAAAGCACAAACCTAAACTTTAGATTTAAAATTAGTGATGTCCAATTTGTGAATTTAAAAACAACTTTAAAATAAGGCTTACCTATGACAGTTAAAGCTCAAAGACTAGTGACTGACAAACTTGCTTTTGAGGTCATCGTGTTCTTCATTCCAACGTCTGCAGTTCTTGCTATTCATTTTTTTTTGAGATAATTTTATACATAAAAATAAAAGCCTAGCCATTCCCATATTCTTCTCATAGAGATACAAAAATAAAGACGACTTAGTGCAAAGAACCCCATGCTATGTACAAGTTTTAGGAAATCTTTTTTTATTCCCTTTGTATCTTTTGTTGTCTTTTAAATATGTTTCACATATCTAAAGCAATTTAGGAAAACTATGAACAAAACTGTTCACACATCCTAGGACCCTAATCTAACCTCAGAAGATTCAAGTTTCATTCTTATTTTTGCTACAATACTCACTCCATGTGCATCTTTTGTATTTCTAAATATTGAAATCAGAATACATGTCCATATCTGTTAGTGAAATAGAGGAAGCTGTAATTGTATAGTATTTCCAGACAATGAATATACAGTAAATTCTGCATGTAATTTTTATCTCCTTCCATCAAGTGTAACAATATGTTGAATTTGCCATGGGCCTTTAAAGCTTCAATGTTGTGAAGAGCTCTGCATGAAATTTTAAAGAGACTGGACCTTTCATCTGCACAACAGCAGGGCACCTCGCTATAGGGACAAGAAAGGAAGAGAGAGAGAGAACATTTCTGAAGTAATAGTGAAAAATAACAGCAGAAGCAATTATTTCATCAAAGGTTGATTTTTCCCTCCCTATTCTTTATTTATATATTTTTTCAAATTTCTTAGCTGGAGATTGTCTACCTTGTTACCATCCTCTCCTGGCATATGTTAAATTTGCAGGTTTCACATGGTCAAAACGGGGGAGAAAATTCATAAATGAAAAGATGTTTATTTTAAGAGGTGATGTTATTGATGATTGCATTTGAATGTATTTGCAAGGGATCTGCAAGTGGGGAAAGTTGCAAATAACTAAATTTGGCACTCCCCAGCGTCCTGAGTCTGTTTGCTTGGGGATATGAATGATGCGGATATGTTTTCTTCCTCACTTTGTTTTCTCCCTTTTCTCCCGCAAACATTAGCACAAACTTTGACTGCTGTGGCAGGGCAAGAGAGTTTTCTCTCTGCATCTCTGTGGCTAATACTAATATGCTTTTTTTGTTGTTGTTTGTTTAATCTTGGGAGTTTGCCGGGCCCTCCTGGCTGTGGAGTCAGTTTGTACCACTTCTGTGAGATAGACGTTATCCTACTGGCAAAGAGGATAACCAAATACAGAGCCCCATCTTCTTTTCTGTGTTTTTTTTTTTTTTTTTTTTTTTTTTTTTTTAGATGGAGTCTTGCTCCATTGCCCACGCTGGAGTGCAGTGGCGTGATCTCGGCTCACTGCAACCTTCGCCTCCCAGGTTCAAGCGATTCTCCTGCCTCAGCCTACTGAATACCTGGGACTACAGGTGTGTGCCACCATGCCCAGCCAATTTTTGTATTTTTAGTAGAGAGAGGGTTTCACCATGTTGGCGAGCTGGTCTTGAACTCCTGACCTCAAATGATCCACCCGCCTCAGTCTCCTGAAGTGCTGGGATTACAGGCGTGAGCCACTGCGCCTGGCCTTTTTCTGTAATTTTGATAAATCATCAAAATGAAATGCCTGGGCCTGCTCTGCTGTTTGCTTTCATTTTGGATGACTCACTTTAACCTCCCTCTTCCTCCATTTTCTTTCTCCTTTGTCTGATGTTGAGAGGATTGATAAAACACTATTTATTTGGGCTTTGAGGACTTTGGAGAAAACGCCCTCCCTCATGTTAGTTTCCTATCGGCACTGCAATAGATTCCTACAGATTTAGTGGCCTAAAAGAACACAAATGTTTTCTCTTACAGTTCTGGAGGCCAGAAGTCGTATGGGGCTCAAGGTCTTGGCAGGGCTGTGTTCCTTCTGGGGGAGTCCCCGGGAGAATCTGTTTCCTTGTCTTTTCTAGCTTGTAGAAGCTGTGTTCCTTGGCTCATGGCCTCTTCCCCATCTTCAAAGTGCATTGCTCCAGCCCCTGCTTCTATATCCCATTCCCTTCTTCTTGAGATCTTTAATCATATATGCAAAGTCCCTTTTACCACGTAAGGGAGTGTATTCACAGGTTTTAGGGATTAAGATTGTGGACATCTTTGGGGGCACGTTATTTGGCCTACCATCGTGCCCTTCAACTTTATACTAAATAAAATTTTTGTAATCTTCATTCTATTTCTTTCCATTTGTGGATGTGCAGATCATTCCATTCTCAAATGGCAGTGACAGTGAACTTCTTGTTCTTTGTTTTTTGAGATAGTGTCTCTCTCTGTGGTCCAGGCTGGATTGCAGTGGTGTGCTCACAGCTCACTGCAGCCTCAATCCCTCAGGCTGAAGCCATCCTCCCATCTCAGCCTCCCTAGTAGCTGGGACTACAGGCATATGCCATCACACCCAGCTAATTAAAAAAAATTTTTTTTGTAGGGATGGGATCTCACTATGTTGTCCAGGCTGGTCTTGAACTCCTGGGCTAAAGCAATCCTCCTGCCTTGGCATCCTGAGTAGCTAGGACTACTGGCATACACCACTACACCTGCATAATTTTTTGTAGAGAGAGGATGTTACTACATTATCTAGGCTGGTCTCGAACTCCTGGGCTCAAACAGTCCCCCTGCCTTGGCCTCCCAAAGTGCTGAGATGGGAGTTGTGAGCCACCACGCCAGGCTATGACAGGAGAACTTCTTAAATGCACACGAGAGAGTTTTGTTTGCATCCTCTCCAAAGATTCACCTAAGAGTCAAAACTGTCAACAGCTTCAGGGGAGCAAACTTCTTGCAGCGCTGGCTCCCTAAGCAATTGGGGCTGTTTCTCTGTGTCTTTCAGAGGCTTGTGGAGTTTTGAGGAAGTAGATTTTTAGGATTCATCACTTCAGGCTCAGCCAGAGGCTTGGAGATGCACGTATGTTATAATCTCAGCTATTCTAAACTTCCTCACTGGGTGCAGATCTTTACTCTCTTCATTTTGCATTTATTAAAGATCTCTCCTCATTTTTTGGGTGATCCCCTCTCTCACCAACTGACTGTGGTTTTAGGAAGATCTCTCCCTTCTCTGCCAAACTTACTTACTCCATCCTCTGTGTTCCCATAGTGTTTTGTGCATTCTTTTATTGCAATCTCCATCTTTTAGGATTGTGATTATTTGTTTCTGTGTCTCCTACTAAAGCTTGAGGGCAGGAATCTTGACTTATTTACCTTATTATTTCCTTCATTAGCACAGTGCTTGACCCAGAGTAAGCACTTACTGTGTATTTTTCAACAAGTGAATTACTAGAACATTTTTTTTCTTTGAGACAGGTTCTCACTCTGTCACCTAGGCTGGAGTGCAGTGGCAGGATCACAGCTCACAGCTCACTGCAGCCTTGACCTCCTGAGCTCAGGTGATCCTCCCGCCTCAGCTTACTGAGTAGCTGGGAGTACAGGTGCATGCCACCATGCCTGGCTAATTTTTTTGTATTTTTGTTTTTTTTTGGTAAATATGGGGTTTTGCATATTGTTCAGGCTGGTCTCAAACTCCTAAGCTCAAGCAATCCTCCCGCCTCAGCCCCGCAAAGTGCTGGGATTACAGGTGTGAGCCACTGCACCTGGCTGCCCTAGTTCTTTATATATTAACTCTGGGTCTGTAGGGGAATCCAGTTGACCTGGGTTTGTGACAGTTTTGTGGGAAACATGTTCTTCGACATTGCCTGTGTCAATCATGTAGACTGTATGAATTCGAAACAGGCCTAAGGTAACATGAGACAGTGGGAATATCCCAGTTGGACCATAGATATTCCAAATAGGAAAATAACTCACGTGGGGCTCATGGATGAGCTGTTTGTTTCTTAAGAGGCTTCTTGGGATGACATTACCTCAGTGAATCCACAGTCTAACCACTGGCCTTTTTCCTGGCAAGCTGAGAACTTTGCTTTCTGTCTACACGTCAGGTGGCTTAGTTGGCCTGTTGCTTGAGCCAGGGACCCTATTGCCCGGGAAGCATTTGAGTTGGCACTATTACCATGTGCTTTTCTGAAGCTTTTGGCTCTGTACTTCCATGGCTAAGCAATATGATTTTTTAAAATTGATTCATTGTATCCTGTTACACATAGAGCAAGGATATAGTCAAGTATTGCCAACCCTGAAGCCTTTCTGTGTCTGTTAAGGGAGAGAGCATACCATGTTAGTTGAGAACATAGGCATTGGAGGCCGGGCGTGGTGGCTCACGCCTGTAATCCCAGCACTTTGGGAGGCCGAGGTGGGCGGATCATGAGGTCAGGAGATCGAGACCATCCTGGCTAACACAGTGAAACCCCGTCTCTACTAAAAATACAAAAAATTAGCTGGGTGTGGTGGCGGGCGCCTGTAGTCCCAGCTACTCGGGAGGCTGAGGCAGGAGAACAGTGTGAACCCGGGAGATGGAGCTTGCAGTGAGCTGAGATCGCGCCACTGCACTCCAGCCTGGGCGACAGAGTGAGACTCTGTCTCAAAAAAAAAAACAAAAACAAACAAAAAAAACCCCAAAAACATAGGCATTGGAATTAAACAGAACTGAGTTCAAATCCCTGGCACGGCCACGTAGACTGTATGGAACCCTTGCCACTTTCTTGAACTCCTCTAACCTTATTTTTCCTTTCAATAATAATAAGCAACCTTAGGTGCGTTGTGAAGATGAAGTGAGATATACGGTATGAAAGTCCGCGGTGTTTGGCATGGGGAGGTTGCCTGGTAATTGGTAACTTCTAGCTTCATTATGATGTAGGTGACCTCTCATCTCTCTCTTCTGATCCAGTTTGTGCTGTTTTTCAAGTTTAACTTTCAGGAGCTCATCTTATTTATCTTGATTCCAGATTGCAGGGAGAGGCTCCTCCGTGCTCCTGAGAGGCCGAACACAGGGTCGCCAGCACAGCTTACTGCTCGGTGTCTCCTGAGCCACAGAGGAAGACGTGGCAGGAGCACCTGGTGCTAATATATATTCATGTCTATGGCAATGCCGACCATCTGGCTGGTCTGAACCAGGATAAAAGTGAAGAATTCCTCTGTGAAGACCCAGCTCTTTCTTTGGCTCCTTTTTTGAAGCCATCTTTGCTCTGCTCTCCTCTGCTGCCCAGGTATGTGCAGTATAAACAAGTTACACACATATCGCATAAATCCATGCTTGTGAAAAATCCAAATAATGCATAAGCATATAAAAATTATTGTCTTCCTTTACTCTCCCAATGGCCCTCAACCCGTCCTATTTACTAATCATTATTAATAATACAAATACATAATTAGTAAATTAGTATTATTTTGGTGTGTATCATTCTAGCCTTTTTCTATGCATTTATATACTTCTTTTAAAAAATGGTATTACACTATGCACACTTTTTGGCAAACTGCCTTTTTTTTTTTTTTTTTTTTTTTTTTGAAACCGAGTCTCACTCTGTCACCCAGGCTGGAGTGCAGTGCCGCGATCTCGGCTCACCACAAGCTCCGCCTCCCAGGTTCAAGTGATTCTCCTGACTCAGCCTCCTGAGTAGCTGGGATTACAGGCGCCCATCACCACACCTGGCTAATTTTTGTATTTTTAGTAGAGATGGGGTTTCACCATATTGGCCGGCAAACTGCCTTTTTAACTTAATGTTATTTGATCTTTCATGTCAGTACATAAAATTCATCATATTCTTTTTTTTTTTTTTTTTTTTTTGAGACAGGGTCTTGCTCTGTTGCTCAGGCTGGAGTGCAGTGGCACAGTAACGGCTCACTGTAGCTTTGACCTCCAGGGCTCAACCAATTCTCCCACCTCAGCCTCCCATGTAGCTGGGACTGTGGGGGTACACCATTACGCCTGGCTAATTTTTATGTTTTTTGTAGTGATGAAGTTTTGCCATGTTGGCCAGGGTGGTCTCGAACTCCTGGACTCAAGTGATTCCCCTGCCTTGGCCTCCCAAAGTGTTGGGATTACAGGCATGAGCCACTGCTCCTGACGTCATCACATTCTTTTAAATTTTTGCATAGTTTTCTGTATATAGATTAATCAATGTATACCATGAGAGTATTGATGGATACTTAGCTTTCCAGTTTTTAAATACTAAAAACAAGGTTTCGGTAAATATTTTTGGGTTACAAGTGATGTACCTATTAATATTTTGATAGATATTGCCCAACTCTCCTCCTATAAGCCAGTTTATATTCCTATCCACAGTATGCAAGAAGGCCCATTTCCATATATACTCACCAATATTATATCTTCTTTAGTCTTTTTACTAAATGATAAAACACTTTATTTTAATTTGCATTTTGCTGATTATCTGTGAGATTAAGCATCTTTTCAGTTTTTTCATTGGTTCTTCTGAATACCATAAGTTTATATCTTTTTCTCAGTTTTCCATTGCTTCATAGGAGCTCTTTGTATATTATGGATTTTTCGTTTTTTTCTCTGTACTTTCTTCCAGTCACTGTCTTTTAATTGCTTTTTTGTGACTTTTGCTATATACAGAAATTTTAAATTTTATCTAGTTGTTTTTTGCTTTCTTATTATAAAATTTACTCTATTTTATATTTGTAAAGGAGTGTAAAAGTTTAAAAATTACTCAATCTCCCCTGTGGTAACACAGGATAATATTATTTACATGTAACAAATAAGAAAAGTTTAGCACATGAAGTTTAAAACTCTTATTGCAAACTCTAGCTGCTTTCACATCAAACCAAGCATTTATTGAATACCTACTATGTGTCTTATGTGTTAGATAATAAAAATTAACATAAAACATGGTCTCTGCCTCTATTTGTATGTGAAGCATAATGGTTATATACACCTTAGAAAATCATATAGGGAATTGGTTAGCTAAGTGCTGAATTTTGTTACAGAAAAAGTGGCATTAGAATTCAAAAGGAAATGGGTCAAAAGAGTATATATGCTAGTACCTGAAAAAGGCTATAATGGGAAACTTAAACTGGAGCTTAAAGCCTGGAAATATTGGGTAATGAGGTTATAGAACCTATATTAGCTTTCTATTTCTGCATAATGAACCACCCCAAAACTCATAGTTTAAAAAAACTACCCATTTAATGTAGCTCATAATATTGCAGGTTGACAATTTTGGCTGGGCTCAGCTGGGTGGTTCTTTTTTTCTTTTTTTTTGTTTTTCCCTTGAGATGGTGTCTTGCTCTGTCGCCCAGGCTGGAGTGTGGTGGTGTGATCTTGGCTCACTGCAACCTCCGCCTCCCAGGTTCAAGTGATTCTCCTACCTCAGCCTCCTGAGTAGCTGGGATTACAGGTGTGTGCCTCCATGCCCGGCTCATTTTTGTATTTTTAGTAGAGACAGGGTTTCACCATGTTGGTCAGGCTTGTCTCGAACTCCTGACCTCAGGTGATACACCTGCCTCGGTCTCCCAAAGCACTGAGATTACAGGCGTGAGCCACCGCGCCCAGCCAGATGGGTGGTTCTTCTAGTGTGGGCCAAACCTAGTTAATCTTGTCTGAGGTTGCTTGTGTACTTGTAGTTAACTGATAGATTGTGTGGGCTGACTGGTTTATCAGAGCCACATCTGGGACAGCTGGGATGATTGGGACCTTTTACCACATTGGCTCTGAACCTCTTTCAGCCCACTCTGTTTGTTCCCATGGTGAGCACAGAGTTCCAAGAATTTGAGAATGGAAGCTGTAGGGTCTCCTAAGGCCTCAGCTCAGGGTTGATATGCTTCCATTTGTGCACATTCTATTGGTCAAAGCAAGCCATAAGATCAGCCCAGATTAAAGGGGTGGGAAAATATACTCTACCTCTTGATGGGAGGAGCTTAAATATTATGGCCATTTTTGCAGTCTACTGCAGAACTCCAATTCAGATTCATGTTTGCTTACTGATTTAATGCTTGCATTTATGTTTGATGATCCTGCTCAAAAATATCTTTGGCAAGGCCAGGTAAAGATATGAATAGTAAGAGAGTCAAAGTCTGTATACAAGTAATATTTTCCCATGGCAGAATGCATATTGGCTTTTTAGAACACCTTTCTTTCATCCTCTTTCAAATAGGATGGTTAGGAACATGATGTCTGGATTTCCTTGTTTGTTTGTTTTTTTTTTTTTCAGTCTAAGCTCACTGCAACCTCTGCCTCCCAGGCTCAAGCAGTCTTCCCACTTCAGCCTCCCAAGTAGCTGGGACTACAGGTGTGTGCCACCACAACCCGCTAATTTTTGTATTTTTAGTAGACATGGGGTTTTGCTGTCACCCAGGCTGGTCTTGAACTCCTGGACTCAAGCGATCCACCCACCTTGGCCTCCCAAAGTGCTGGGATTACAGGCGTGAACCACTGCGCCCGGCCTGATGTCTGGATTTCTAGACTGGTCAAAATGACTTACGATAATCCTGTTCCCCTGTCCCCACCCCCTCATTTTAAACATAATGAAAAGGTGTTGGGATGTGGTTATTCAACTGTAGTAATAAATGCCATGATTATTAATGCAAAGTATTAGACTAAAAATTTATACGTGATTATTCTCCAATTTAAAAAAGCCAACTTCTAGTATTGATTTCTTGTGTTAATCTTTATTTTCAAGTTAGTTGACGTTGCTTGCAATTTCTGGTTTAAATGGTTAGTATAAACTCTTCTTACCTAATTCTGGCCTTGTAGGAACAGTCCTAGGAATTCCATCAATTCTTGTTTTTACTATATGGAGTAAGGGGAGGTGGCAATGAGTCCTTTGTCTAAGCTCCTCTCCCTTCTAGCAATCATGAGGCTTCTCGGTTCATACAATAGGTGTGAGGCTTAGGAATAGACTTATAGACCTGCCGGTTCGTGTTTTCGTTTATAAATTTATGGTCTTTTGGCCAAACCTTTAACTCAGAATGAAGCATGAGTAATGTCTGGGTGTAACCTAAAATGTATTTATACAAAGATGGTACTTTTTTGAAAATGCAAGGTTATTTACTATTGTCCTCAGTTCTTTCTTAAGGAACAGAGGCACCTTGAAAATTTGATATATTTGTACATAAAAGCCGATTTCCTTTGATTCTTATACATACACAAAATGATGCTAATTAAAAGAAATATGCTGTTCAGTAAAGGAACAGTGTATGATGAGGGAGCCGTCCGTGAATGCTGGAGCCAGAATCTTGTTTGAATTAAGAGGATGTCTGCTTAGTTAAGGCACCCCATGGAGATGTATAAGGCCAGAGCTTCCAGCAGTCCATACTGTCTTTATTGAGAGACATATTTATATCTTCCAGACTAGTAATTAATCACTCAGTGGGGTTTTCTTGGGGGGAGTCATGCACTCACAGAGAATCTTTTTGTCCTGCCAGGAACCACAAAGCATGGGCACAATTAAAATGCTGATTCAATTTATTATATTGAAGCATGGAACAGGAATGTTTAAATGATGTTGACAGGGCCAGAATTTCAAACCACCTTTTTAAAAATAGAAAACAAATGCCTGTCCCCTTAAATTAAATTATATTAATAACATGTCTCTTATAAGTTGCTTGGAAGCAAAATAAAGCTCTTGACATTAATTAAAATCTGAAGATGTATCATTTGTCGTTAATGTGCAGTCTTTGTTAGGGGAAATACATTTCAGAGTGATCTATTTGTGAAAATTAAATGGGGAAAATTGCCTATTGAGCACATGTCAGTTAACAAAGCTGCTTTTCTTAGAAATATGGATTCTTAAGCAACTAAATTGTTTTTATACTCCAATAATGGTTTCTATTTTTGATCCTCTCAAAAATTGTCTCTGTTACTCGAATTTTGATATTTCCACAAAGAATTCTATTGTCAGGGGGCTTGTAAGCCCTAAAAACCAGGAAGGCCTTCATACATTTTGAGGTGTTGGGTAATATACATTTGCAATGAGAATTTCATCTGAAATTGATGTGGTTAGGCACATGGACCTCCTCCAAATACCTCTGCAGGACCAGGAGCCGAAGGGCCCCATTTGCAGCCTTTAACTAGCTCTCCTCTGATGAAGGCGATGTTCTGTGTTTTGAAACTACACGTTAC
Organism: Homo sapiens; assembly: GCF_000001405.40. Classification (NCBI taxonomy): domain Eukaryota; kingdom Metazoa; phylum Chordata; class Mammalia; order Primates; family Hominidae; genus Homo; species Homo sapiens. The sequence continues at coordinate 74,201,030 of NC_000016.10, read as the reverse complement.
TGGTTTCACACGAACTAGAAAGTGCCATGAGATAATGGGATAGCTGTTGCCTTGCTGTACCCCAGGGATGAGAGGTAATAGAGTCACCTCTGTTGAGGACCTCACATGCAAATAATATTCTGAAAAGGTATACATCTCCAGGGTCATGAAGGAAAGGCTGTTTTTTACCCTGGTTTAGGTCTTATTTTCTTTTGGTGATGGCACAAATGCATTTGACTTGGGTTTTCAAAGTTGATATCTAACAGAACTCTTAGACAATGTTAAAAGAATGTGTTCTTCAGTGGATGCAATAAAAAACCCATGAGTGATGCATGTTGTCCGTCACCCCCTTCCTACAATCTTTGTGGACCTTGATAGTCTAACTATGGCATGGAGACTAACTAACCTCTGTTGGTCTTGAGAATTTAGAGATAGAAGTGCAAATGGAATGGAAGAACGGAGTCATTTGTCTATGTGTGTCTCGCCACTGGTTAAAATGAAAGCAGCCACAGTGAAGTCAATATTTATTTTTATGAACATTTATGTGGTATGAGCTTTCTTTTGGGAAATGTCCCTGTTTTTGTGGAAAAATTCTTATGACTTAGGTAATAAATAATAATGAACTGTTGTTGATGTTGTAAGAATTGTTTTTCTCTCCTCCCTTTACTTATTCCCCTGCATCCATTTAATCACCAATTCCCGTGGCTTCTACTCTTTGATATCTTAATGTTACACTTCCCTTCCCCCTTCCTGACCCCAAGGGCTCCTAAACTCCTGTCACCGCAAACACTGATTTATTCATCTGCTCTGTTAGAGGGCATGAATCACATCTGATTTGACCTGGCCGGTGTGTGGCATATAGTAGGTGATCAGTATATATTCAATGTATTAATGAAGGTTTCCATATAAGTCATTTAATTCATTCATTCTCAGTGGGCAGAGGGATGGGTGTGTGTGTCACTTCCCCCCTACCCCAGCATTTGGCAGCATCTGGAGACACTTTTGGCTGTTATAACTGAACTGGGGAGTGTGTGTGTGTATGTGTGTGTGCATGTGTGTGCATGTGTGCTACTGGCATTGTGGGTAGAGGCCGGACCTGTTGCTAAACATCGTACCATGCTCAGAATCACAACAAAGAATTATCTGGCCCCAAACACCAACAGTGCCAAGTTCGGGGAACTCTGCTCTAATTTGATTTCAAAATATCTATTTTAAATAGATAAACAGGTATCAGAAGTTTCTTTACTCTAGATATAAGAAAACACACTAGGAGAGATTAAATGCCTTATCTAAGTCCACCCAACATAAGGTAGTCACAGAACCAGGAATTCAACCCTAGGCCCTTGATTCCAAATCCAGATAATAACTAGACTATTTCAATCACTAAGGTGATTATTGTGCTTTTAAAATAGTATCTAAACAATAGCCTTATATTTGAGCCTTGGAAGTCTGTCCACACTCTACTCAAAAGTAATATACTGGAATTAAGGCAGAAAATATTTTGTATGCATATTTGAAAGATATCTCCGAGATTCTTTTAGATCTTGTATAAACAGTTTGAATCTGCTAGGCTTACATTTTTCTACAGAGAGTAAATTTCTTCAGTGAAGTGAGTCAGCTCATCCATGATCCCATTGACACAGTTCTGAAAGATTAACATTATTAAATATTTTTGTATTATTAAAGTTGAAGCCTGAAATGTCTGAATTGACCATTAGGTATTTGAGCAAATGCCTGATTAATTTTTAACGCAGTACTTATTTACATTCTGGGAACAGTACACGGAGCGCAGCTGCTTCAAGTGCATGAATCTGTTTAGCACCTGAGTTATAGATTTGAAATAAAACTATTGTGTGTCTGTGCCTAGACCACTGTATATTGTTGGGCCATTGCCTTTCTGGAAATAGCAGTAGAGATGGATGAGGGAAGATGCAGGTTTGGGTAATTAAATCAGTCAAGGGGAAAAAACAGTTGATTTAAACAAAAAAGAGAGATCTGGTGTACAAGAATGTTTCCAGTGTACAAGACCCTGCGGGAGAAACAAAGATAGTCGAGACATACTCTCTTTTCTTAAGGAGTGTACATAGGTGACAGGAATGTACATATCAAAACTAATTAATGAAATAAGGCAGCCTGAGGGCTGAGTGAATGGCAGTAGCAGGGAACGCAGAAGGGGAAAAATATTTTATATTGGTGAATTCTGGTAAGGAATTAGCTGACAGGAGACTCAAAATACATATTTAATCCAAATTGGAAAATGTAAGTCATGAGCCTTGGTTAAAAAATATTTCATAATAAATTATTCTAGATGATGTATTTTTAAAAAAATTTTGTTTTATTGATTCATCATATTTGTACATATTTATGAGGTACCTGTGATTTTTTTTTTTTGAGACACAGTTTGTTGCCCAGGCTGGAGTGCAATGGTGAGATCTCGGCTCACTGCAACCTCCACCTCCCAGGTTCAAGCGATTCTCCTGCCTCAGCCTCCTGAGTAGCTGGAATTACAGGCACGTACCACCAAGCCTGGCTAATTTTGTATTTTTAGTAGAGATGGGGTTTCTCCGTGTTGGTCAGGCTGGTCTCGAACTCCCGACCTCAGGTGATCTGCCTGCCTGGGCCTCCCAAAGTGCTGGGATTACAGGTGTGAGCCACTGCGCCCAGCTGCCTGTGATATTTTTTTAAATGCATAGTAATGGTCAAGTCAGGGCATTTAGGATGGCCATCATCATAAGCAGTTATCATTTGTATATTAAGCAGTATTTCTTATTTTTTATATCGACAAAGAAATAGAACTCTTTTCTGCAACTTCTGTCCACATCCTCTTTGTGATATTTGGATGCTATTCAAAAAGTAAACATCTTTTTGGAAAGATTTTACTTACTATTTAAAATTCTTTCTGTACCATCAAGTTCTGATCTTTACAGGTGCTGAATTTTTCTGGATTCCTTAGGGCTCTCTGCCATATCATGAGATAACTTTGAGTACTTTCTATATAAAAATTATAAAAGTCACTTGAATTTAAAGAATATTTAGAAGAATACAAAATATCTTTATTTCTCTTCTGTCTTTCAATGTCATCCTTGACTTTGCATGTAAACATGTGGTTTTCCAAAGTTGGGATGGGTGCTGGCTATTCCAGAATGACTGAGTCAAAAAGGTGACAAGATAGTCTTGGAAATAGATAGAAGTTTATTTATTTATTTATTTAGTGGCAGCGTCTTGCTCTGCTGCTCAGGCTGGAGGGCAGTGGTACAAACCCAGCTCACTGCAGCCCCAACCTCCTGGGCTCAAGTGATCTTCTTGCTTCAGCCTCCTGAGTGGCTAGGACAATAGGTGCATGCCACTATATCCAGCTATTAATTTTTTTTTTTAAGAGAAAGAGTCTCACCATGTTGCCCAGGCTGGTCTTGAACTTCTGGGCGCAAGCAATTCTCCTACCTCAGCCTCCCAAAGTGTTGGGATTATAGGCATGAGCCATCTCATCTGGTCTAAAGTTTTCAAAATTATGAGAAAGAACATACAAGTAGAAAATTATACTTTAGTTCACAGTAGAGAGGAAAACATTTGAAAATTATTCCCATGGGAGGCAGAAGAAATAAAATTGCTAACTGACAGCACTTCTGCTTTACCTTTTAAAATCCAAATTAAGTAAGCATTAGATTGAATCATTTTGGCCAAGAAAAATGGCAATTTTATGGTCAACCTAACAGTGGCTAAATATGCGCGAAATTTCGAAAACACCAATTTAAAAATTACCAGTGGGGCCGGGCGTGGTGGCTCACACCTATAATCCCAGAAACATTATGGCTATATTAACAAGACACATTATGAATACATTAACACAGACATCACATTCATAAAAAAAGTGTCACATCCCAGAATACCAACATTTGTAAAGGTTAGACTAAAGGCTGCTAAAGAGTTAGTGTCCATCTGATTCATAGCAGAGTACAATGATACTTCATTTAAAAATTATAAAATTGAGAAGTCTCAATTTTATTGAAAAACACCAGGTGACTTGGTGATTTCATCCCCCAAATCTTATTAAAAAATCTTTCAGTCCAGCTTGTTTAAAGTTCTGCATTTAGCAGGCATGTTTGAACATATTATTCAAAAAAGCAAAATTAAACAGACCTCAAGGTGACATTATTTTACACTGAGATATTATACAAATTTTTTTTAGCTCATGGGATATGGCAGCTGAAAGGATTAATTTTAAATTTCAGTCAAACATGTCTAAATTGTAAATAGTAGAAACTGGTTTCTAGATCACTTGAAATCTTTTATTCAGCTGAATAGAGAAACATATTATATCCCTTTAAATGGGGCCAGTGTTGTGCAGAACTGTGAAGTAGGCAATGGTTATTTTCAAGCTGGTTCCAGGCTCTCCTTTCTATGTTGTTTAGTGTCTACTTCTGTCAAGATCTACTTTCAGAAGAAGATCAGGCTGGGGGCGGTGGCTCACGCCTGTAATCCCAGCACTTTGGAAGACTGAGATGGGAGGATCACTTGAGGCCAGGAGTTCAAGACCAGCCTGGGTAACGTGGCGAAGCCTTGTCTCTACAAAAAATACAAAAATTAGCCAGGCAGGTTGGCATGTGCCTGTAGTTCCAGCTGCTTGGCAGCCTGAGGCGAGAGGATCGCTTGAGCCTGGGAGGTCGAGGCTGCAGTGAGTTGAGATTGCACCACTGCACTCCAGCCTGGGCAACAGAGTGAGATGCGGTTTTTGTTTGTTTGTTTGTTTGTTTGTTTTTTTTAAGGCTGGGTGCGGTGCCCCACACCTGTAATTCCATCACTTTGGGAGGCTGAGGCGGGTGGATCACCTGAGGTCAGGAGTTCGAGACCAGCCTGGTCAACATAGTGAAACCCAGCTCTACTAAAAATACAAAAATTAGGCAGGCGTGGTGGCACATGCCTGTAGTCCCAGCTACTTGGAAGGCTGAGGTGGGAGAATCGCTTGAACCTGGGAGGCAGAGGTTGCAGTGAGCTGAGATCATCGCCGCACTGCACTCCAGCCTGGGTGACAGAGTGAGACTCTTGTCTCAAAAAAAAAAAAAGAAAAAAGGAAAAAAAGAGGATTAGATAAATTCATTCACGCAGAGTAGAATGTCTGAGGTTTACTTTTTGACTGTTTTCAGAAAAGGTTGGTGAAGACACTAGAAGGTCATGTCATGATTTCACAGAAGGTGAAGGTGCTCTGACTGCTTGGTATTGGGAAGGGTAGGAAGATGGGGTGGGGCATGACATCTACAAGGCTACCGTGAGAGGGTGCACAGAGCGTAGCACAGAGTGTACCGTCATACGATGTAATCAGCACTGATCATGAGAGCTGTGGACTGGGTGTGGGGGCTCATGCCTGTAATCCCAGCACTTTGGGAGGCTGAGGCCAGAGGATTTTTTGAGTCCAGGAGTTTGAGATCAGCCTGGGCAATGTAGTGAGACCCCATCTCTACAAAAACATAATAATAATGAGAACTGTGATTATTATAAAGAGGAAGAGGGATTCAGTCTATGGCCTCAAAAATAAAAAGAATAGATGAGTGGAAGACCTCAAGGATGCAGATTCCAGTTGGATGGGAGGAAAAACAATATTCGAATAGAGCTTTCTAAAAATTAAATGGGCTGTCCCAGGAGAGGACTTTCCAATCTTTGGTGTGGTTGTATGTAATTCAGATCTGTCACTCCCAAACCAGGTACACATCAGAAAATCTGGGTGGGGGGGCTTGTTAAAAACACTCCAGTGTTTCTGACTTAGTAGGTCTGGATGTGGCTCAGAACCTGTATTTTTATCAGCACCTGGGTTATTCTGAGGCAGCTGGTCCATGAACCAGCATTTGGAAATCACTTGTCCATATGACCACCTGATGAAGACATTATGAAGGGAAGTGAGGCATTGGGTGGAAGATTGGGGAAAGATTCAATTTCATTTCATTAAATATATTTTTAGAATGTTTTTGGAACATGTGATTCCTTTCTCTTTTCCCATTTTATTAGGAATGTTTTCAAACACACAAAAAATTGAAAAAATTTTACGGTGAACACCCATATACCCACCACCTAGATTCTCTTATTAACATTTTACTATACTTATTTTGTCACATAAATACTGAGATGAAGTTTACATACAATGAAATGTACAAACTTGAGCATAGCACTTCTATAATTAGGAAGGATGAAAATGTGCATTGGAGCCAAGGGGGGTGGGTGGGTGTTGATGAGTAAGTAACAAGATCAATGGTTAGAAAATTGAGAGATGTCAGAGGATGTGCAAGGTAAGTATCAAATTGGGCTATTGAGGAGGACATTTGAGATGGAGATAAAGTCTGTGCTTATTATGACAAATTCTGTATTTGTGAAATTGCCTATTTGCAAAAATTTCCTTTTTGCAACCACGCCAAAGATTGGGAAGTCCTCTCCTGGGGTGGCCCATTGCATTTTTAGAAAGCTCTATTAGAATGTTGTTTTTCCTGCCATCCCACTAGAATCTTTATCCCTGAGAACCCCCAAATCAGTACTCATGGTGCCTTTGCAGTCATTTGTGGACATGCGTAGAGTGATGAAAAATTTGTTGATAAAAATACAGATTCTGAGCCCCATCTAGATCTACTAAGTCAGAAACACTGGAGTATTTTTAACAAGCCTCCCACCCAGATTTTCTGATGTGTATTTGATTTGGGAGTGGCAGATCTGAATTACAAACAACCACGCCAAAGACTGGAAAGTCCTCTCCTGGGTCGGCCCATTTCATTTTTAGAAAGCTCTATTAGAATGTTGTTTTTCCTGCCATCCCACTAGAATCTTTATCCCTGAGAACCCCCAAATCTGTACTTATGGTGCTTTTGCAGTCGTTTGTGGATAAGCGTAGAGTGATGAAGGATTTGAATTATCCGACATGGATGTTCCCAGATGATGTTGAATAAGGTAACGCTCTGTCTTCTTGTTTCAGCTCTTGTAAATAAGTGTTTTTAAATTTGCAGTCTGCTTAGTGCCATATTTTCCACATTTTTGTGCTATTTCCTAGTGATTTTGCTGTTTAAAATGCCTCCCTCCTCCGAAGCTTGGTATTGAAGTAGTGTCCAGTATTCCTAAGCAGAAGGCTGTGAAGTGCCTTACAGAGAAAATACGTGTGTTAGATAAGCTTTATTCAGGTAGGAGTTAAGGTGCTTTAGTTCTGAGTTCAATGGTAATGAATCAATAATATATTAAATAAGGTTTATTTAAACAAACACATAAAGCAAGGTTATGTCTTGATTGATAGAAATGTTGTGATCGACGTTTGCAGGAACCCAACACTGTATTTCTCCTGGGATCCATGGTTCAGTGTTCCCTAATTCAGTGTTTCCATTATGTTCAGTAGAACATAACTACCAAGAATAGATTGTAACACCTTGGGTGGGTCAAAGAAATTGATTGGACACTTCAGTGTTTCTCATCTTTGAAGCTCCGATACTTGGAATTTTCTTAGGTGCAAACGTATTTGCAAGAGCACACCAGCAAATCCTAGGCTTTAGAGTGTGACGTTTTTGTGGAATAATTATTCTACTTGTATGAGAAGTTGGCAGGCTAAACATTCCATTTATTTAAACATTCTGCTAAACTAATAATTTGGGGATTATGTTCTTTGATTTCATAGATATTTGTTGTGTGAAAATGTGCTGCATTTCTCTTAAATATAATCCTAGTAGAAGAATGGTTTACATACCCAATCATATCACCTTTTTACTGTGGCTTTATATAGAGATTTGTTTGTTTTCATACCTTTCAAGATTACTTCTTGTCCAGAGCCTGACTCCCGGGGCTGGAATTAGAACTGGGTATGAAGCTTATGAGAAGGGGATAAAATGATAGTTGTGGAACCAGAGAGATAAATATGTCAGGGAACCTCAGACCTGGCCCCACCTACAGGTGTGTGAGGCCTGAAAGGTGAAGCTGAGCCCAGTGGGGAGAGTGTGGATGAAGGTCAAGGTCGAGTTCAGCAATAGACTCCACATCTTTTACTGTAGGCTCCCTCTTCTTGGGCCTGGGACCTAAACGTAGCAGGTCAGAGCTGGACATTCCTAGATATTTTTATTATTTAAACATTAGTAATCGAATATTTTGTTATGCATCTATTGTGTATGAGATATAAAATACAGACATTACAGACCTTATTTTGAAGGATCGACAATCTGTTTGTGGAGGAAAAGACAAATTACACATGGAGAATTGTAGATAACAAAATAATACGTGGATGAATATGATATCGTAACCCAAGATCCCCAGGTTTCTGGGTATGCACCCTGAAAAAGCACCCACTTGTAACTGTTGCATCTTGAGTTTCAGAAAGTTCCAGAGTGAAGCTCAGCTCTAGATGAACAAAAACTGGTTGAGTCCAGAGATGCCTGAGTTGGAGATGAACCTTGCAAACTTTCCTCATTACCATACTAAAAACCCCACCCAGGAAGGAGCTTATCTGCCATTTCCTACACATGTGACATATGGAGAAGCATGATCAGCTACTTCACAGTCTCTGCCTTTACTCTGCCTCCGCATACAATGGCTCAGCCAACTAGCCTAACGAAAGCTGTTTTCACCATTGTTTGGGAGGTACTGCTTTGGGAAACTGCCCCAGCTGTCCTCCTTACTTGTTGTAGGTAATAAAATCCCTTTGTTAAATCTTCCTTGGTTGTGGTCTTTGGACTGTCACCCACCAAGTGATAAAACCCACCCATTGTGTGGGTAACAATATTATCTAAAATTCAATATGTAAATGCTGGAGAAAGGAAGTATCAGAGTGGGGAGGCTCCATGATCTCATTTTGCTAAATGTAGAGCCAGTTTCACACATTTTTAAAAATTTTTATTTCTGAAAAATAAAAGGTAGAGAATATAAATTTTAAAAGTTTCATAAAGCTAATCTAAAAGTACTTTTATATCTTAAGACTTTGTATGGCCTGTAAGAAAAAGTTTACTGATCCTATGCAAAAAAACATCATGTAAAAAGTGAATCTGCTCCAAAGTCAGAAGTGCTTATTGAATACCCATGCTTTGTCAAGCAACGTAGAAGAGGATAAATGTAATATTAATACAGTGTTAAGACTAGGTCTCTTTCCTTAATGTCTATAGTCAAATAAGGGAGACAAAATACATGAGGAAACATATATTTAACATAAAATATATGTTAAATTAACATAAACTTTATGTTAACATATATTAACATAAAATTTAAGTTGCCCAATATGAGGGTTACAATTTTATGGTTTTAAATGAAATCAGTGATGCTACTTTAGATTCTGACTTTCTTCCTCTAAATGCAATGTCTCTTTTTCTCTCTGCCTGTCTTAAATATTTTTTCAGCAGTTTGACTATGCAATATATCAGTGTTTTTAATTTTTGTTTTCCTTTAAAAAATCTTGCTTATGATTCTCTGGGATTCTTGGATCTGTGGTTTGTTGTTTTTCATTAACTTTGGAAAATTCTTGTCCATTTATCTCTATTCTTGAACTTCAGTTACATGTACTTTAGGCCATTTGATTTGCCCCATAACTCTACTTTTTTTTAAAAAAAATTTCTTTTTATTCTTTTTTCTCTATCTGTTTTAGTTTGGACATTTCTATTAATCTATCTTTACATTCACTGTGTCCTGTCTGCTAATAAGCCTATCAAATGAATTTTTCATCTCTAAAAATGTTTTAATTTCTAACATTTCCACTGGACTCTTTTTATAGTTTCTATCTCTCTGCTTAAATTTCCTATCTGTTCATGCATGTTGTCTAACTTTTTCACTAGATCATTTAACACAGTAATCATGGTTATTTTAAAGTCTCTGTTCAGTAGTTTCAGCATCGAAGTCATCTCTGTGTTTGCTCCTGTTGGTCAATCATTTGACAATAGCATGCTTTATCTTGCTTTTTTGTGTGTCTTGTACTTTTCTATTGAATGCTGGACGTTGTATGGAGAAGAAATGAAGAGACTGAGTTGAACAGGCTTCAAATCCCTTGGTGATGGCTGCCATTCCCTTGAGTTTAGAGTGGGATCTGGAGTACTGGATGACTTTTCTCAGTGTTCCCATTCTACCTTGCTTGCCTGAAACACAGAGGGTCTCTTTTCACGTTCTTGCCTTGCCAGTGTTAAACTACTGTTGCTTTTAATTGGTTTTGGGCTTGGGTGGGGGCAGAGGGGACTCTCTCTTCTAATGCTCCAACCTCAGTCTTAGGCAGGCCCTGTAAGCCTGGGCCTCGAAACTGGGGTTTTCTCAGCATTCCTTCATCTCCTCTCTATGTCAGCTGGATTCTGCCTTGTATCTGTGGTTGGTCTTAGGTGGGAGAGAATTTTTTGTCTCTCTCCTAGCAGTAGCTGACCTGTGTCTGGCATCATTGCAGAGTCTTGGGCCCAAGATTTCCTGCCCAGTTCCACAGACAAGTGTGTCTGCTTGAAAGGGTCTTCATCAGTGCCTGTCTCCATCAGCAGCAGATGTGTCCCTGAAGGATGGCTCTCTCAGGTTTCCTGCTCTGGTCCCTGTCTTTGTCTTCAGTATGTGTACCCAGGGGGAGGCTTATGAAACTGAGGTTGAAAATGAGATTGTGAGTGAAACTTCCCCTGTGTCTGGGGCTCCTAGCTCTTCCAAACTGACATGCCAGCCCACACTTGCCCTTTAAGAATTCATTCAAATTTTGGCTGATTTTTTTTCTTGCCTAGTTGAATGGTGACCACCTCTGTCTCCCCTGTTCTGCAAAAAGCTTTGTGTGCAATCTAACTTTGGAAGCTTGTCCCTCTTTGGAATTCAGGTTACTTGGCTGTGTTATGATTTCAGCCCTCTGATGGGCTCAAGAATAGTTACAGTTTTGTAGATCATCTGACTCTTTTGTGGTTGTTAGAGTGGGAGCAATATTCTTTTTATGGCATTCATCATCCTAAGTAGCAATGGAACTCTGAGTTTTTTAGTTAATGTGTGTGCATTGGTATTACCACGCTAATCAAAATGAAATCTTGGGATCAACTAGAAAGCACTAAAAAAAAAACTTGGAAGAGAAACATAACCACTCTTTTCTCCTTAGTATCTGTAAGGTAGTTGAAATAGTTGAAACGGTATTAAGGTTAACCTTGAACTTCCCTGAAGCTATTTCTGAATCCAGAGTCCTAATATCTTAAAATTCGAACCCATCCCTATCCCTCTTCCTTCCTCCCTCCTCTAAAGGAATCAAATGGAATGGAAGGATTGAGGCTGAATGTCTCCCACTGCAAACTGGGCAAAGGCTCTAGAAGCTGGGTAAGCACTGTAGAGACTGATGGGGGCTCTAGCAGCAACTACAGCAGTAGCTGTGTGTGTGTGGGAAGAGGCTATCTGGAATATATGTATAATACTTTTATTTTCCCCTCTGCTTTTCATTTTAGTTATAATCTCCTTAGAAAGTTGACCACTCTGCTTTTATTCCCTCTATAATTTCTCAGCAACTAAGTGCCTGTATTTGCTGTTTGTAAAAGGGTCACCCAATATTACATAAGAGAAATGGTGAGCATTGGGTCCTCTGGTTCTCCCCTTTCTGTAAAGGGGACAAGTGTGTCTGGAGGACAAGACTTTGATGTCATCACCATGTAAATCGTGGCATAATTCTACAACAGGAAGAACTCTTTAGCTACATTATAAATTAAAGTTTTGTTTATTCTTATGGCGTGGTAAATTATAATTTGTTGTCTTTGACCTGTAGGAACCCAGTTGTCTTGATTACAGTGTCTGGATATCAAAGGATGAATAAGCTTTATTTCCCTCTCTGAAATGAAAGACTTGTAAAATAATATTTAAAAAACCCATTCATAGCCACCAATAGCTTTAATTAATTAAAGGTAGAGGATCTTGGTTACACAAAATATATGCACATCTTTGACTTCAAAAAGTGTCCTTGTGTCTTTAGTGGATTTGTTAATTGTCTTTGATGTTGGATCACCAATGTATACAGCTGGTAGGGTCAAATAATTTGGGAAAGTAAATATTCTTTCTCACTATCAACACAGAGTTCAGAGCTGTTCTCTGAAGAGCTGTCACTGACAGAGGAAAATACGGCCGTGCGAAGAAAACTCTTTGCTTCCATACATGGACTTCAAAAATCTGATCTGGTAGCTTCTCTTAGACACAATCTCAGTCCTTCCCTTTCATGTATGCACTCTTTTCTGCAGTATTACACAAGTTCTTTGACCTCGAGGTTTTCTGAATAGACATATGGAGAAGAGCAACAAGATAAAATTACGTAGAGCAAAATAAGCACGTTCGAACCAGAATTTTAACACGTATATTGAAACAATGATCAGGAACTGTATTAGTCTGTTCTTGTATAGCTACAAAAAAATACATGAGGCTGGGTAATTTATAAAGAAAAGAGGTTTAATTGGGTCACAGTTCATCAGGCTGTACAGCAAGCATGGTGCTGGCATCTGCTGGGCTTCTGGGGAGGCCCCCAGGAAACTTACAGTCATATAAAAGCTACACACTTTTAAACAACCAGATCTCTCGAGAATGCACTCACCATCAGGAGGACTGTACCAAGGGGGATGGTGCTAAACCATTCATGAGAAACCCACCCCCATGTTCCAAACACCTCCTGATGTGGTTTGGATTTGTGTGTCCGCCCAAATATCATATCAAATTGTAGTCCCCAGTGTGGGAGGTGGGACCTGGTGGGAGGTGATTGGATCATGGTGGTGGATTTCCACCTTGGTGCTGTTCTCATGATAGTGAGTTCTGGTGAGATCTGGTTGTTTAAAAGTGTGTGGCACCACCTGCCCCCCGGCTCCCACTCTGGCCATGTAAGAAGTGCTTGCTTCCCCTTCTCCTTCCACCATAATTGTAAGTTTCCTGGGTGCCCCACCTTCCCACTCCCACCCCCCGAAGCAGATGCTGCCATGCTTCCTGTACAGTCTGTGGAACTGTCAGCCAATTAAATATTTTTTCTTAAATAAATCACCCAGTCTCAGGTATTTCTTTATAGAAGTGCCAGAATGGCATAATACACCTTCCACAAGGCCCAACCTCCAACATTGGGGATTGCATTTCAGTATGAAAGTTGAATGGAGAAACACATCCAGACTATATCAGGAACCATAACTGGATGTCTTTTCAAGCCAGTAGGTTTATTCTGGGGCTATCTTTATTTGAGAAGATTTTTTTATTCTTCAATGTGAACCACATATATTGAATAAAAAACAAAACAGAGTTAATACCCATGATATTTTAACACATTGGATGAGAAGAAAGTTGAAAATGGGTTCTGCCATGTAAATATAATTTAAGTAAAATGCTTTTTGAAGGAGCAATGTGAATGACTAGACTTAGGAAGAAGCAAACGTTTGGGAAATTTTGGACTTAAGTCTGGTAAAGTATAGTTTGATTCTTTTTTTTTTGTAGTTTGATTCTTGACATTAGTGAAATAAAAAGAAATTCAAAAGAATCTCATTAGAAATTTCTGGGTTTCAGTGAATCTGGTGAGCTAGCTTTGGGTTGAATGGAAGGGTAGAATTGTAAGGAAATGAGATATTTAGCAATCATGTCACAGGCTTTAGAGATAGAGAGTTTACCAAAAATTCATAGAAATGCTCAACCAGGAAATCTGCCTTTTCCCCTTATATTTAATAATTGCAAAGTGTAAATGTAATTTGCAGTGAATGTTTATATGTCATTAATGTTTTTTAGTTAAGAAATCAAAAATGAAAGGGAAATAAGGAAGAACTGACTCACATAATACTAGATGTGTACGAAATGCTCTTTGGAGTTGGCTTAAAGGAATCCAAAAGGATAACACATATCAAAACATGACACCAGAAGGGTGAAAAGTATTTAAGAGCCTAATCACTATAAATCATGCAATAGTTTCCATTTTTCTCAAATGTACAAGAATGTATTGAAAATAAATTACAAAGTTCTATGGCTTCAACGGAGTTTCATTCAGAGAAGGGGGAAAAGCCCTTTGTAAAATATGGAAACCATCTTGAGTTAAACAAATGCCAGAAAAAATTATAATTGTAAAAATAAGATGTCGACTATCCTTATTACAGTGGCTGTGTTGTTTCCAATAACAATTTGGCATTTTATTTAGTCTGTAACAATCCACAATTGAAATATAAAATAAAGATTTTTCTTTTATTTCCTTCTGAAGTTCTGTGCCAAGCTAAGCAGAACTGAATGAAACATCTGTGGGTGATTAAAACAAGCTTTCCTATGGGGTTCTGAATAGAAAGTAAACATGGATTTTATCCATAGTCAACAGCATTTACAAATGTAAAGAGAGGAAGCTACTGAGTTTTTGAAGAATGAGCTGCTAGACAGGAAATAGAAGTATGGAATGGCAGATGGCGATAATTAGTTCCATACGGTAAAAGGCTTCCATTAAAAAAAAAAAATGACAACGAGCTGCTCTGGTTGGGTGATGTTTTATTGAAGCAATCTTTGTGTCTTATTTCCTATCTTTGTCTTTTGAGAATAGTCTCCTCTCCCAAAGCTAAACAAATGTGACTCATGTACATGAGGGATTTTCTTTTTTGAGTCTACGTTGGCCCTCATGAGTGGAATGACCCTTCCTTAAGGGTCACCCAGACTGATGAAGCACCCTCCTGGATGCTCAGCCATCTCTTGTACCTGAGATCTTAAATTCTCCAGTCTTTCCTGCTTAACTTTATTTTTGGTCAATCACAGTTTCCTAACTTCTTGAGAATATGTCATTGAGAATATGTCCAGACTGCCTGGATTTGAGTTCTGCTTCCCCAACTTACTAGCTGTGAAAACTCGGGGGAATCACCTAAACTTTCTATGCCTCAGTTTTCTCATCTGTACAATGGGGACAGTTATTAATATAATGCCTGCCTGAGTATATTACACCACCTAATAGTAGAATTGTTGTAAAGATGAAAATGAATGAATATATATAAAACATGTCTATTAAAAATACACATTCTAGGGCCTCACTCTAGAGCTACTGAACCAAAATCTCTGCACTTTCTTCATCACATACTACTCGTCATAAAGAAAAGGTTTCTGATATTTACTTTCCCTATGCTTGTTCGTGTATTTAGTAATCTGCATATTGTTTGAATGTAGTTTATACATTTTATAACACACACAAGATAGACATTTAAAAAGAGTGAGAAAATAGCAAAGACATAGAATCAACCGACATGCCCATCAGTGATAGAGTGGATGAAGAAAATGTGGTACATATACACCATGGAATACTATGCAGCCATAAAAAGGAATGAGATCATGTCCTTTGCGGGGACATGAATGAAGCTGGAAGCCATTATTCTCAGCAAACTAATGCAGTAACAGAAAACCAAACACTGCATGTTCTCACTTATAAGTGGAAGCTGAACAATGAGAACACATGGACACAGGGAGGGAAACAACACACACTGGGGCCTGTTGGCAAAGGGTGAGGGGAGTGAAAGCATTAGGAAAAATAACTAATGCATGCTGAGCTTAATACCTAGGTGATGGGTTGACAGGTGCAGCAAACCACCATAGCACACATTTACCTATGTAACAAACCTGCACATCCTGCACATGTACCCCGGAACTTAAAATAAAAATAAAAAGAATGAGATAAAAAGTAAGTATAGGCCAACATGGTGAGAGGACCACTTCAGCCCAGGAGTTCGAGACCAGCCTGGGCAACATAGTGAGACCCTGTCTCTACAAAAAATTAAAAAAGTAGCTGGTGTGGTTGTCTGATGGTATGTGCCTTGGTCTCAGCTACCCAGGAGGCTGAGGTGGGATGATCGCTTTAGCCTGGGAGGCCGATGGTGCAGTGAGCCATAATTGCGCCACTGCATTACAGCCTAGGTGGCAGAGCGAGACCCTGTCTCAAAAAAATTAAAAAAGGAAAAAGCGTAGAAAGTTTAGATGTCTTTTTCTTGAATCGTGGGGGCTAGGATTCAGAGGTCACTGGTTGAGAATGTGTTTCCTGAGTTGAACTAAACTGAAAGGAGGAGTTCTGAATTCCACTAGCCAAGACCTTCTGCAATGACAGCAACATAGTGCCAGCGCTTTACTAACCAGTGTCTCCATTCCTCATGCACGTGCCAATGCCAAATGTGAAATTCTGTGCCCAGTGCCTTATATTTTGCATTTCAGCAATCTTTTTGTTTGCTTTTATCCCTTTGCTTTTTGTACTTTTTAATATTGCCTACCAACTCAGTATTTGCAGTTGTGACCTTGACAGTATTCAAAACTCTCTGTTCTTGGCCAGAAATATCTGTGGCTTTCAGAAAGATAAAGCAAACTTTGTATATTTTGTTTTTTAAAATTTTTAATTTTTGAGGGTACATAGTAGGTGTATGAATTTATGGGGTACATGAGGTGTTTTGATGTGGGCATGCAATGTGAAATAAGCACATCATGGAGAATGGGGTAGCCATCCCCTCAAGCACTTATCCTTTGTGTTACAAACAATCCAATTGTACTCTTTTAGTTATTTTTTAAATTTATTTTTATTTTATTTTATTTTTTTGAGATGGAGTCTCTCTCTGTCGTCCAGGCTGGAGTATAATGGCACAGTCTCAGCTCATTGCAACCTCCGCCTCCCAGCTTCAAGCAATTCTCCTGCCTCTGCCTCCTCCCCAGGTGGTGGGGACTACAGGCACCCACCACCATGCTGGGCTAATTTTTGTATTTTTAGTAGAGGCAGGGTTTCACCATGTTCGCCAGGTTTGGTCTCGAACTCCTGACCTCAAGTGATCTGCCCGCCTTGGGCTCCCAAAGTGTTGAGATTACAGGCGTGAGCCACCACTCCCGGCCTCTTTTAGTTATTTTTAAAACTCTGTATTTTTAATTGTTGAGAAAGGTTTCCTTACTCCCACCTTATTTCCATTTTCTTCCCAATTGGCAGAGACTGTAGCAGCTTTCTTTGTTCTTGGTGGCTGGTGGCCCTGACTCAGATATGCTACATGAGTGGGCACAGATGTTAAACTTCCTCTATTCTCTCTTGCAGCCTTTCTCTAGCTTTATATTTTGCCATTATTTTCAATGGCAAAAATTGCAATTACTTTTGCACCAACCTAGTAATTACCCAGGGTGGTAACAGCTCTTAAGAACACACTCTGTCACCTTGAAATCAAGTGAGTGTTTGCTGAAAATTCAGGCAAGGTCTTAAAGTTGTTGTTTCTTTCAGCTGTGAATAGTGAGGGAGAATTTGAACATGACAGTTCTTGATTGTAATGATATTTAGATGGTGGATTCCCGTTACCCTGCATAATGTGTGATGTTGACATTTCATTCAAACATGTAATCCTTGTCATTGAGGGTGGGAAGGAGAGAGATTGCTCCCTAGAGTAGGGGCAATACAGGATGGCACTACAGAGAATTGACATAAAGCCCTAAATAATAGCAATGATCATTCTTCTTGTCATTTCATTTTTAGAGTTCACATGATTTTAGAGTTTCTGTGGCACTATCTTCATGATTCTAGGTGGCTGCTGTGGTTCTGAGCAATGTTGAGGGCATACCTCATTATACAGATGCATTCAGTACCCATGAACATTGATTATATTTGGTTAAAATTTTTGATTCATGTCCTTAGAATCACATCTTGTAATCAGAAGAACTTCATTGTTGAATTATTTATAGATAATCTCGTATTTGGGTTATAATGCCTATTCTTTTATGCTGTTAATTTGTTGGAGATAGAAAGAAATAATTACTGGCCAGGCATGGTGACTCACACCTGTAATCCCAGCACTTTGGGAGGACAAAGTGGGTGGATCATCTGAGGTCAGGAGTTTGAGACCAGCCTGGCTAATATGGCAAAACCCCATCTCTACTAAAAATACAAAATTAGCTGTGCATGGTGGCACATGCCTGTAATCCCAGTTACTCGGGAGGCTGAGGCAGGAGAGTTGCTTGAACCCGGGAGGTGGAGTTTGCATTGAGTGGAGATCACACCACTGCACTCCAGCCTGGGCAACAGAGTGAGACTCCATCTCAAAAAAAAAAAATCATCCTGGCCTCTGCGTGAGGAATGATTTATAGGCTGGCAAGTGTGGAAGCAGGAGGACCAGTGAGAGAGCTATACTGTGGTCTATACAGTGGTTTAGAGGACCAATGAGAGTGGCTTGGATTCAGGCAGTAGCAACAAAAGTGGAGGAAAGTGGTCAGATTCATGATATAGATTGTTCCTTGGGCTTGTTCATGAGTATGTGTGGTTGGTAATGGAAAAAAAGGAGCAATATATGGCCCTGGGGTTTCTTTGCTATGGTAATGCATTACCTGAGCTGGGAGGATTAAAGTTATTCGGAATATGGAAGAAGTAGTTCTGATCATTTGAGGTTTTAGGTTAGTGGAGTTGGTGGTAATGGTAGTTATGATCTACTCCTTTTTTTTTTTTTAAACAAAAGTTTATTCCTTAATCTGGCAAAACCATGGGTTCAGTTCCTAGAAGGCTCACTTAATTTTGCTCTATTTCATTGGTGGGATGGGGGAGGGTCTCTGTCTCTGAAATAACTTCCCATTTGTTACAAAAGAAAAAGTGTGTGAATGGGTTGGTGAAAATCCACCACTATGCTTGGCTGACAACACAGAGCAGTACTTTACTATTGCTAATAAGTTGAGGATGTAATATAAAAGAAATTATGCAGAAAGATTTTGAGAAAATAGATATTTATAGTAAGTAATCAGGGCTTGCTATAAGAAATTCAAACAATATGAAAGTAGAAATTGCGATTTTTTCTCTCTGCTAATTCAGTGCCTCAGAAGTGACCCCCATCAGCAGCTGGAAGTTTTCCTTCCAGGCACCTATCTATGTATCCTTGTTCCCAACCTTCTCTACACATACACATAAAATAATATAGTTTAACAGTTTTTTTGGGATAAAAATGGGACTGTATTAGTTATCCACTGCTGTGTAACAAATTTTCCTAAAATATAGCAGCTTAAAACAACAAACATTTATTGTCTTACAGTTTCTTTGAGTCAGAATCAGGCTCTAGCTTAGCTGAATTCTCTGCCTCAAGATCTCTCATGAGGTTGCACTGAGGGTATGGGCCAGGGCTGTGGTCTCATCTGAAGGCTCTATTGGGTAAGGATTGGTTTATGAGCTCACTCATGTGGTTGTTGGCAGGATTCAGTTCTTTGTGAGGCTGTTGGATGGAAGGCCTCAGTTATATGCTACCTGTTGGCCAGAGGCCTCCCTCAGTTCTTTGCTACACAGGCCTCTCTGGCCTCCACTACAATAAGCAAGAAGAAACTGCCATCTCTTTGTACACCTAATTGTAGAAGTGATATTCCATTACTTTTGCCATGTTCTATTAGTTAGAAGTGAATCACTAGGTTCAGCCTACATTCAAGAGGAAGGGATCACACAAAGGTATGGCTATGGGATCACTGGGGGCCATCATAGAGACCACCTCCCATATGGATCATAGTATATATACAGATATGCAACTTGAGTTTTTCACTAAATGATGTGCTGTAAATATCTTTCCAAGTTAGTATATATAGATCTGCCTTAAGTTCTTTTTAATTGTTTTGTATGGATGTGTCACAATTTATATAATAATATTCCACCGGATAAAATTTAAATTGTTTTTATTATTTTACAATGAATACCACATATATTTCTTGGACATTAGTGCAAACTTTTAAAAGTATAATTCTTAGAAATGTATTACTGGAAAAAAGGTAGGCATATTTTAAACTGTGGTAGAAATTGCTAGATTGCCCTCTAAAAAGATTACACTAGTTTAAAATTTTTTCAAGAATGTAAGAGATTGCCATTTCCCCATATACTCACCTGTGCTGGATGTTAACAATCATTGAAATGTTTGCCAGTCTGTTAAAAGTGGCATTTGATTGTTTTCATTCCCATTTAGTTTACTAATGTTGACATTGAATACATTTTCATATGCTTATTTGCCATTTGTATCTCATTTTTCCTAATTTCCTATTGTTTGTCTTTGAATTTTGCTCATGAAGTAGTTCATCATTCCTTCCTTCCTCCCCTCCCCTCCCCTTCCTTTCTTTTTCTTTCTTCCTTTCTCTTTCTTTCTTTCTTTCTTTCTTTCTTTCTTTCTTTCTTTCTTTCTTTCTTTCTTTCTTTCCTTTCTTTCTTTCTTTCTTTCTTTCTTTCTTTCTTTCTTTCTTTCTTTCTTTCTTTCTTTCTTTCTTTCTTTCTCTTTCTTTTTTCTCTCTCTCTTTCTCCCTCCTTCCTTCCTTCCTTCCTTGCTTCCCCTGGCACAGTTTACATAACAAGGTTTATTAGAGGTGAGACTTACCTTAACAAACTTAGGTCAATTACACCCTTACCCTAACCAACTGAGGTCAATTGCACCCTAACCCTAACTAACTTAGGTCAATTGCACCCTCTGGCAGGCCCTGCTCTTACTCAGCTTTATTTTTTTTCCCATCTGTATTGGTTTCCTATTGCTGTTGTAACAGATTAACACACATTTAGTAGCTTAAGCAATACAAATTTATTCTCTTACAGTTCAGGGAATCAGAAGTCCTAAAATCAAGGTGTCCACTGGGCTGGTTATTTCTGGAGGCTCTTGAGTGAATCTGTTTCCTTGCCTTTTCCAGATTCAAAAGGCTGCCTGCATTCTTTGGCTCATGGCCCCTTCCTCTATCTTTAAATTTCTCTGACTCTGACCTTCCTACCTCCCTCTTATAAGGGACGCATGTGTTCACATAGGGTGCACCCAGATAATGTAGGACAATATTCCCAGTTCAAGACTCTTAATCACACCTGTAAAGTTCCCTTTATCATGTAAAGTCACATATTCACTGGTTCTGGAACTTGGGACATCTTTGGAATGGTGGGGGTGGGGGTGAGGGCATTACTTAACCTCCACACCATCTAACATATGATATATTTTGCCTATTTATGCTATTATTGTCTGTATTCCCCCTTCATCCCAATCATCACTAGAATGTAAATTCCAAGAGGGCACGGTTTTTTTCTTTTTGAATCCTCATAATTGAGAAGAATAAGAATAAGAATAGTGCCTGGTTATATTGGTTTTCAATTTATATTTTTGAATCAATAAAAGAAAGAATAAATGAGTAAAATAACACAGACTGATGACTTTTGGGGTTAGATCTTAAACTACCCTTTCTATTTATTTTGTGCTTATTAGTAGGTTTGTGTTTTATGTCCTTGAGTTAAGTTGAATCATTTTTATTATCCTAAAAATCATCCATTTTATCTAGAGTTTGGTTTTATTGCAACCTAATATTATTGATTATTTTATGTTTAAAATTTCTTTCATATTTGTGAGTATGGCCAATTTTTCAATTTCAACGTGTTTATTTCGGTTTTATTTCTTATTTTCTTAATTATACTTAGCAGAGATTTATTTTATTGGTGTTTTGAAATGACAGATTTTGGGTTTATTTTCAAGTGTGCTTTTTAAAAAACTAATTTCTACTTTTATCTTGATTAATTATTCCCTTCTTTATTTTGGCTAATTTTGGTTTTACTTCTAGCTTTTAGAGTTGTATGTTTATTTTATTATATGTCTTTATTTTTTTTTAACTTTTAGGTTCAGGGGTACATGTGCAGGTTTGCTACATAGGCAAATGCATGTCATGGGGATTTGTTGCACAGATTATTTCATCACCCAGGGATTAAGCCTAGTACCCAATAGTGATTTTTCCTGATCATCTCCCTCCTCCCACCCTCCACTGTCAGGTAGGCCCCAGTGTCTGTTGATTCCCTCTTTGTGTCCATGTGTTCTCATCATTTAGCTCCCATTTATGTGTGAGAACATACAGCATTTGGTTTTCTGTTCCTGCTTTAGTTTGCTAAGGATGATGGTCTCCAGCTCCACCCATGTTCCTGCAAAGGACAGGATCTTGTTCTTTTTTATGGCTGCATAGAATTCCATGGGGTATATGTACCACATTTTCCTTATCCAGTCTACCATTGATGGGTATTTAGGTTGATTCCATGTTTTTACTATTGTGTATAGTGCTGCAATTAACATATGCATGCATATGTCTTTGTGACAGAACAATTTATATTCCTTTGGGTGTATACCCAGTGATGGGATTGCTGAGTTGAACAGTGGTTGTTTTTAGCTCTTTGAGGACTTGCCACATTGTCTTCCACAATGGTTGAACTAATTTACATTCCCACCAACAGTGTATAAACATTCCATTTTCTCTACAATCTCGACAGCATCTATTATTTTTTGACTTTTTAATAATAGCCATTCTGGTATATCTTATTTTTTAAAAAATTAATTTAAGGCATCCTCCTCTGAAAGCCAAAGCGACATTCATTTTGATATGTGGTACTTTCACTGTTACTCATTTCTTTAAAAATAAAAGCCCTTTTTATTATAGAAAATTTTAAATATACACAAAAGTAGACATACACAATCAGAAATTGTGGATCTCTTGAAATGACATAATAGAAAGTGCACAACACTAGAATAATGAAGCCCTAGTTTTATTCTACCAGTTTCAACAAATATGGTCAATTTTGTTTATCCCTAGCTTTCTGGATTATTTTAAAGCAAAGCCAGACATTTTATCTGTAGGAACTTCTTTTTGCATCTCTAAGATTCCGACTTTTAAGTAAACATTATCTCCAAAGGAAAAGTGACAAAATTTCTTATATCATTTAATAGCCAGTCAGTGTTTACATTTCCCACTTATCTCATGAATGTCTTTTTAATTGTTGGTTTGTTTGAATTAGTACTCAAATAAGGCCTGTATGTAGCATTTAGTTGACACATCTCTTTCCACCTGTAGCAGTCCTTCTTTCTCCTTCTCATTCTGTTTTTACTTTTTTGTGTGAAAAAATAAGGCATTTGTACTGTAAAATTTCCCAGTTCTGGACCTGCCTAATTGTATCCTCATGGTGTTGTTTAACATGTTCGTCTATCCCTGTGTCTCCTGTAAACTGGTGGTTACAACTAAAGACTTGATCAGAGTCAGATTTGAGTTGAAGATTTTTGGCAAGAATCTCTCATAGGTGGTGCTGTGCAGTGCAGTTTGTCTTACATCATATCAAGAGACCCACAATGCCTTTTTCTCTTCTTATGATATTAACATTGATCAATAGGGGCAGATGTTTTGAGCTTAATTCATTCATTATAAGGTTCCTCATCAGTCTTACCTGATGGTTTTATCAGTCATCCTTGATCATTGCCCAGATAGTTTATTTCATTGAGGGTTGCAAAATGGTGAGTTCCAATTCTATTATTTCTTTATAGCAACTAAATGTTTATCCAAAAATAAATTTCACAGAGAAGGGCAGGATAAATTTTTGAATATTTTATTTACCATTTTCAGTATAATGAATTGGTGCTCTAGAAACCTCTAGAACAGACCGCTTTTAAAGTATTATTACAAATACATAGATTTTAATGTGTTTGATGTGTTTCAGTCCATTGTAGTCAGTACTTTTTTGATGTTCATGTTGTCCCATCTTTGACCAGTGGGGGCTTTAGGTTCTTTCCATGTGACCTTTGTGGTCTTTGATAGCTTTCTTGCTTTCTGGTACAAGAAGATGTCCCACGCTTATCTTGTACAGTTCCTGCCCCAGATCCAGATCTGTTGTTTCCCCAAGATGCTCTGGTTCTTATTAGTGGGAGACATCATTAATTTCTAAGTAGTCTGTAATTTCATTCTTAGATGTTGAGTTACTCAGAAGGATGTTTTCAGATTTATTTTCTTTTCTTTCTTTCTTTCTTTTTTTGAGACGGAGTCTGGCTCTGTCACCCAGGCTGGAGTGCAATGATGCGATCTCAGCTCACTGCAACCTCCACCTCCCAGGTTCAAGCGATTCTCCTGCCTCAGCATCGCAAGTAGCTGGGATTATAGGTGCAGACCACCATGCCTAGCTAATTTTTTGTATTTTTAGTGCATATGGGGTTTCACCATGTTGGCCAGGCAGGCCTCGAACTCCTGGCCTCAAGTGATCTGTCCACTTTGGCCTCCCAAAGTGCTGGGATTACAGGAGTAAGCCACTGCACCCGGCCTGTATTAAGATTTCTAAGTGGTTAGTTTTTTTGATTTGTATTTGTTGTTAATTTCTTCATTTGATTGCCCTGTGATCAAAGAATGTGGCTGCATGATTTTTATTATAAATTATCATTAGATTAATTAAAAGGGTTTTAATAAAAGGTTGACAATAATTCCATAGAGTTATTGAATTAATTCTTTAATTATTATTCATAAACAGTACTCATTTTTGTTTACTTATTCTGTAGAATTTTAAGAGAGCTGTGTTAAAAACAATTGCTCTTCTAGTGGTTTTCAATTCCTTTATTATTTATTTATTTATTTTATGAGACAGAATTTCGCTCTTGTTTCCCAGGCTGGATTTGCAATGGCGTGATCTGGGCTCACCACAACCTCCGCCTCCCGGGTTCAAGCGATTCTCCTGCCCCAGCCTCCCGAATAGCTGGGATTACAGGCATGCACCACCATGCCTGGCTAATTTTGTATTTTTAGTAGAGACGGGGTTTCTCCAAGTTGGTCAATCTGGCCTCAGACTCCCGACCTCCTTGGCCTGCCTTGGCCTCCCAAAGTGCTGGGATTACAGGCGTGAGCCACTGTGCCCAATTCCTTTATTTCTAAAAATATATTTTGGTTTGTTTATTTTGAAGGAATGTTATTTGGGTTTATAACATTAGGGTCCAGGTAGAAAATCTAATTATTCTCATCTGTAAGTTGGATAATTTGAAACAATATAAAATTAAATTTTCTTCTCTTTATTAAGGATTAGATTGCACAGAGCACAAACTTAGATTTTTTGCTCTTGTAAAAAAGGGTTTGGATTTTGTTGGTAGCTCTAAGGAGGAATTGGAGGTGTCATTTCTTATGGGAGTTGGATTGCTAGTTCATGTATGCAATAATTAATGGTACAGTGAAATGCAAATAGTTGGTTGAATAAATAAAGGAGAAATTACTGGAGAGTGACCAGTATAGTTATTATCGGTTGTACACATTTTCTTTGAATGCTACTCCTTGGTAACCTGGTAGTCTCAAGAAAACAAAGAGATTTTCAGAACCTGAGTGCAATAAGGATGCTTGTGGGCTGTGCCTTTTTCTTTCCTGGAATGCTGTGACATTACGAGAGTGTCTGCATTCAGAAGGCCCAGTGCATTGTCTGAACATCCATGGTAAGGACAGCCTCACTCGTGCTAGCAAGAGATGTGAGACAGGCAGTGTTCGCGTGATGTTTCAACACATGGTTGTGGCCTAGCAAAGACAGCCTGCCACCTATGAGGTTTCCTTTCATTTCAACTGTTTAAAAATACAATTTCACACATTCTTTCATTTTATTAATGAAATGCTATGCTTCAAACCCAGGGGCCTGCCTGCCAGGTGGAGCTATAATTATGCCTGGGCAGTCTGCAGCTGTGCTTAGTTATAAAGCTTTAACTAAAGCAAATAGAATTGGAGTTGCTTTTATGCATCTCATAATATTTCCCCAAATTAGTACATTTATATGACAGTAAAATAGTTTCTAAAAAGATTACTGGCATTAAATTATTATTATTATTTTTAGCCAAGACATTGGAAACTTGGTGCTAAGAAAATACCTATTTTGGGGTTATCGTTTCACACAACGAACCCCCAAATTATCCTTTTATTTTCTCGGAAACCGTGTACTTCTGCCTCTTTCTTGACTCCTCTCTTTTTTCCCACCCACTACCCCAATTATCGGCAAATCCTCTGGTTCTGATTTTGAAATAGATCTAGGAGGCAGCTACTCCTCACCTCCTGACTACGACAGCCAAGTCCAGGCTGCAGCATCTCTTGCCTGGACTCTGCTGCAATAGCCTTCTATCAAGGTTCCTGCTCCTGCTTCCCTTCCCCAGTGTGTTCTACAGCCAGCCACAGCCATCTCTTAGAAAGGTAAATCCGCCGTGCCTCTCCTCTGCTCAAAGCCTACTTTGCTGTCTCCTTTCACTTAGAATAAAATCTAGTGTTGTTGCCATGGTCCGTCAGGCTGGAATCTGTCTAGATACCTCTAGATCTCTGTTCTCATCTCTCCACTCTTCCCTTGGCTGCTTCTACCCCAGCTGCACCTGCCTCCCTGCTAATCTTTGGGCACAGTGAGCACGATCCCACCTCAGGGTTTTTGCACAGGCCGTTCCCACCACCTGGAAAATCTTCCTGCACATACATGTGTGGTTTGCTCCTGACTTCATTCAGATGTCCACACATATGTCACCTTATCAGAGAGGCCTTTCCTAAAATGGCCTAGTTACTGTCTGTCTCCTTACTTGGATTCAGTTATTCTTAGCTCTTATTAGTATGATAGTGTGTCTCTAGTCATGAAGATAAGAGTTCTAAGAGAGCGACTGGGCCTGGTGGCTCACGCTTGTAATCCCAGCATTTTGGGAGATGGAGAAGGGTGGATCACCTAAGGTCAGGAGTCAGAGACCAGGCTGGCCAACATCATGAAACCCCATCTGTATTAAAAATACAAAAATTAGCTTGGCGTGGTGGTGCACGCCTGAAATCCCAGCTACTCGGGAGGCTGAGGCAGGAGAATCGCTTGAACCCAGGAGGTGGAGGTTGCAGTGAGCTGAGATTTTGCCACTGCACTCCAGCCTGGCTGACAGAGCAAGACTCTGTCTGAAAAAAAAAAAAAGAAAAAAAAAAAAGAGTTATAAGAGAGCATAGATTGGCTGGGCACGGTGGCTCACACCTGTAATCCCAACACTTTGGGAGGCCGAGGTGGGTGGATCACCTGAGGTCAGGAGTTCGAGACAAGACTGGCCAACACAATGAAACCCTATCTCTATTAAAAATACAAAAATTAGCCTGGCATGGTGGTGCATACCTGTTACCCCAGTTACTCAGGAAGCTGAGGCAGGAGAATCGCTTGAACCCAGGAGGCAGAGGTTGCAGTGAGCACAGATCACGCCATTGCACTCCAGCCTGGGTGACAGAGATAGACTCTGTCTCAAAAACAAAACAAAACAAAACAAAACAAAACAAAAACGATGGATTATGTTTTGTTCATGTTGCATTTCCATGTTGAGAGAGTGCCAGCTACAACATAGATGTTCAGTCAATGCTTGTGGAATGCATACATGAAGGTCAGTGTCTGTTGAGTCTCCTGCACTTGGACTTGGTGCCCTAGTTCTGAGAAAGTCACAACCCACATTCATGCTTCTGAAAAGCCAGCTAGAGCCAGCCAGAGCCACTTCTGTATGGAATTATCATCTTACAGTGTGCAGAATGGCCTGTTGAATAATAATTTCTCACATTTGCTCCAGGTCCTAGGATTTATAAGACCTTTCCCACATGCTGTGGATTGAATGTATCCCAGCTAAACTCGTATGTTGAGGCTCTACTCCCCATTGTGGTGGTGTTTGGAGGTGAGCCTTTGGCAGGTAATTGGATTTGGATGAGTCATGAGGGTGGATGGGATTGGTACTCATAGAAAAGGATGAAGAGACCAGTGCTCTCTGCCATGTGAGGGCACGGCAAGAAGACGGCTGTCTGCAAATCAGGAAGAGGGTCTTCACCAAGAACCAGACCAGGCTGGCTGTCTGATCTTAGACTTCCTAGCCTCCAGAACTGTAAGAAATAAATGTTGTTTAAGCCCCTCAGCCTATGGTATTCTGTTACAGTAGCTCAAGTTGACTAAGATGTCACATATGATTGTGTTGAATTCTCACAATTATTTTTCTCATTTTATTTTAATTAATTAATTAATTAATTTTTTTATAGAGTCTCGCTGTTGTTGCCCAGTCTGGAGTGCAATGGCATGATCTCGTCTCACTGCAACTTCCACCTCCTGGGTTCAAGCGATTCTCCTGTGTCAGCATCCCAAGTAGCTGGGATTAAGGCGCCCGCTACCATGCCCAGCTAATTTTTAGTAGAGAGGGGTTTCGCCATATTGGCCAGGCTAGTCTTGAACTCCTGACCTCAGGCGATCCGCCTGCCTCGGCCTCCCAAAGTGCTGGGATTACAGGCATAAGCCACTGTTCGCGGCCTATTTTATTTTTTTTGAGACAGAGTCTCACTTTGTTGCCCAAGCTGGAGTGCAGTGGCACAATCTTGGCTCACTGCAAACTCCGCCTCCTGGGTTCAAGTGATTCTCCTGCCTCAGCATCCCGAGTAGCTGGGATTACAGGCACCCGCCACCACGCCCAGCTAATTTTTGTATTTTTAGTAGAGACGGGGTTTCACCATGTTGGCCAGGCTGGTCTCGAACTCCTGACCTCAGGTGATCCATCTGCCTCGGCCTCCGAAAGTGCTAGGATTACAGGCATGAGCCACTGCACCTGGCCATTTTTCTCATTTTAGAAGTGAGAAAATAGAGACTCAAAGTGGCAGAGTTGGAATTCAAACCCAGGTTTTTAAGTGCAGAGGGCTTCTGGCTTCCTTCAAACAAATAAAAAGATGTGTGGGCTCTTTTTAACCTAGATAGCCTTTTGAGCATTTTAAGGAAGTTGACATTTTTTATTTGTGAAGAATTACTTTAGGCATTAAAGCTTATAGCCACTGGGATTTGAAGTGGTCCTAGTTATTTAAAACCATCTCTAGCAAGAAAGAAGGTAGAAAGAGCATATTCTGAGGATGGGTTGGGCTGTGTCCACTTGCCAACAGCATGGGAGGTACGTTCTAAGAAGGGGCATTCCAGAGGTGAGACAAGAGTTGCAGATCTCTTAAGGCCCAGCCTGTGGTGTTATACAAAGTCACATCCATCACAGTCAGACTGGTCCTGTAATCAGAATAGGTCCCAGGAAAGGCTAGACTTAAAGAGAGGTGAAGTAGACTCTACCTTTTGACAAAGAGATGGTGAGGTCACAGTGCAAAAGGTATGTTGTGGCCAGCCTTGGAGACACAACCTACCCCCAAAAATCATTCTGAAAAACCATCATAATTGCATCACAAGGAGATAATAGAGAGCTTTATAAGATGACAATGAGATTCACACTGTTGAAAATTGTGGACTTTCTTTTGTGTACTGGAGTTTTTCTTTCTTTTTTTTAGATAGCGTCTTGCTCTGTTGCCCAGGCTGGAGTGCAGTGGCGCCATCTTGGCTCACTGCAACCTCTGCCTCCTGGGTTCACGCAATTCTCCTGCTTTGCCTCCCGAGTAGCTGGGATTGCAGACATGCACCACCATGCCTGGCTAGTTTTTGTATTTTTAATAGAGACAGGGTTTCACCATGTTGGCCAGGCTGGTCTCGAACTCCTGGCCTCAAGTGGTCTGCCCACCTTGGCCTCCCAAAGTGCTGGAATCACAAGCATGAGCCACTAGGCCCTGCTGGTGTACTGGATCTTGAAGAAAGGCATCACCTCTGACTAGTACCCTTCTCATTGGGCATACCAGTAGGTCCAAGGGAATGTTGTTCCTCTTAATTGTGGCAATGTTGATAACACTTTAGAAAGCAAGAATAAAAACCAAATTGTGGAATCTCGCTGAATTCTCCAAATTTTATATAGGTAGCTAATATTTGTACTTTGCAACAGGATTCAGTGAAACTGGTATTATACCATTGGTCACAAGGAAGCTTTGACAACAATGTGTAGAGCAATTATTATCATTCATTTCCATTAGAATAAAATTCAAGAGAATATTAAAATCTGTGTTACTAATACATGATGTTGCCATGTCTGCTAAATCTAGAAATTGATCTGTTGTTAGGGTATAGTTGTCTTTCTAATTATAAAAGTAATAACTATACCATTGGTTTTAAATTTATTATTTATTTATTTATTTTTCTTGTTTCCAGTGGGGTTAAATACATTTGTTATTTCTCTTCAGCATTTAGAAGTACTTCTTGCCACCGGGCATGGGTGGCTCATGCCTGTAATTCCAACACTTTGGAAGGCTGAGGTGGGAGGATCGCTTGAGCCCAGGAGTTTGAGAGCAGCCTGGGCAACATAGCAAGACTTTGTCCCTCTGGGGGAAAAAAAAATTAGCCAGGTATGGCGGCATGCACCTGTAGTCCCAGCTACTTAGGAGGCTGAGGTGGGAGGATTGCTTGAGCCCAGGAGTTCGAGGTTGCAGCGAGCTATGATTGCACCACTGGACTCTAGCCTGAGCAACAGAGGAAGACCCTGTCTCTAAAAAATACAAAAAATAAAAATAAAAGAAGAAATACTTTTAGTACATTTCTAGGCACATGGGAAACCCTGAATAAATTTTTGCAACTGTTGGATATTATATCTCCAAAATCAGCTTGTTTTGTTCTAGAAACTTCATTTTATGGGGAACAAATGAAATAATGTGATTAGGCCGGGCAAGGTGGCCCACGCCTGTAATCCCAGCAATTTGGAAGGCCGAGGTGGGTGGATCACTTGAGGTCAGGAGTTAGAGACAAGCCTGGCCAACAGGATGAAACCCCGTCTCTACTAAAAATACAAAAATTAGCCAGGCATGGTGGTGGGCACCTGTAGTCCCAGCTATTCTGGAGGCTGAGGCAGGAGAATCACTTGAACCTGGGAGGCGGAGGTTGCAGTAAGCCGAGATCGCACAATTATTGCACTCCAGCCTGGGTGACAGAGCCAGACTCCATCTCAAAAAAAAAAAAAAAAAAAAAAAAAAACAAAAGAGAAACAATGTGATGAACTCTAACTGTGGTCTTACCAGGCACCGCCTTTCTTACAGGCATATGTAAACTATATAAATATAGTCTATCTAGCCGTTGTTGTAACTTTTACTTTATCACTATAATTTTTAATTTTTGACACCCTCATCTCATGTTTTAATTTCTGACCGTATCCCGTCTCCCCCAGTTCACTCTCCACTGCTTGGCAGGACACTCCGTCTGGAATTGCTGAGTTAACAACTTCCTCTGCTGTGATCGTGAAATTCTAATCTTTCCCCTCACGAGAGAACTTTCTGTGAATTCTATGCCCATATGCTGCATATTCCCATTTTGCTTCTGAAGTGAGTTCCAGACACGTGACAAATATGGTCAAACTATTTACAGCAAATGTCCACAGGAGCATTCAAACTAAGCAACTGGGAAACGGGGGTTGATTCGCAGAAAAGTTTCTGTTTGACTTGACTGTCATAAACAATGAGATCACAAAAGTAAATACTCCACATCTGGCTGTCTGGCTTCTTACTTGCCTGGATATTTCTGGAAAGAAAGAAAGAAGCCATGTGGCTCAGTCAGCATCATGTTGTCCACATAATTATAATATTTTCTAAGAAGTAAAAAAAAAATTGGGGGTTGATTCTTTAAATAGCTTTCACTCTCATGATATGTGGGCAGTCGTGGTGTTTGAATGAGTACAATGTAGGCAAATTAAAGAGTTGGAGTATTTCAGTATGATATGGGGATACTTGTGGTAGAAACAAACACGTAATTATTAAGTTCATAGTTACAATCTTGGCTTACAGCAAGAAAACAGTTGGTTAGCTGCCCCAGAATCTATAGTTGTCTTTTTTTCTTGTCTTTTAATTAAATGATATTTTCTTAAGATGCCATTGAATTGAAAGAGAAAAGTGCTTGTCTACATTCAGAAATATTTCTCAGTATTCCATTTCATAATGAAGGTAGGCACAAAAATGCCAAATTGGTTATTTCCTTATGATTTAACCAAACATTCAAGTAGTTAAAACTTTACGGGTAACCATTAGTTATGGAAATACAATTCAGTTAAATGTAAAGAAAAATAGAGAATTCTAATAATAGGCCTAAATATGTGTTAAAATACGTATATTTTTCCTGAAATGCTTTTGCATTAGGGATAACTTATATTTGTTGATTTTTCAGCATACTATTTGCACTTCAAATTTTTTTTCTCTCCTTATAATGCACAGCAATAAAAAGTAATATTATATTCGGAAGTGTGCTGGCAAGGGAAACTGGTGGAGTTAATCCAATAACTTGGAGTTCCTTGGAGAAAAGGCTCCATAGAAACACAATGTATTGTTATCA
The DNA here is from genome assembly GCF_000001405.40 of Homo sapiens. Taxonomy (NCBI): domain Eukaryota; kingdom Metazoa; phylum Chordata; class Mammalia; order Primates; family Hominidae; genus Homo; species Homo sapiens. The sequence goes on along the minus strand of NC_000016.10, from coordinate 74,169,217 downwards.
GTATTATTGCTCTGTGGAGCTGGAAACCTGTCTGCCCTTTGTAAAAGCTAGCCATTTAAGAAGGAATGCAGAATTGCCATAGAATGAGCTGTGAGTTTCGCATTTTCAAAAAAATGTACACAACTAAGTAATAGAAAAAATTTAAAAAAATTTTCCTTTAAGAAAATGGCTTACGTAGATTTCTTACTGTTGTTCTTCATTTTTGAAGCCGATGGTGTCGGTGATTATTTTCCAGGTATAACACGTAAGTGAAAATCTCAATGCTTAGGGGTATTATTGGTCAAACTGAAAATATGATCCTTTAAATTAGAATTTGTAACACATCGGCCTTTGGGATTCAGATGAACACAGACTCCCAGACGTACAGAAGAATTTACAGTTTTACATTAATATTGGAACACTGTGAATAGGAATCATATACTTCTGTACCTTAGCTGAGGATGTGTCAGTATTAGGGAGGCCATAAGTGTAGTGGCCGAGAAGATCAGCTCTGACATTTAACTAGCCTCCATTCAAATCTTGACTTCTGGTCATGTGACCTTAACAAAGTCATTAATTTCTTCAACCCTCAGTTTCTTCATCTATAAACTAGGTATGATGAAATCACATCAAAATCAGTGCCTTGCACATAGATGAGTTCTCACATATGGAGGCCATTGTTTCAATTAAATGTTACCATCATTCCAATTAAGGTTAACCTAGAACTATACTTACAACTATTAACTCAATTGTTACCAAGATAATTATATAGTGTCTGCACACTTCAGGTTGCTATCTTTTATTTTCTGCCATTGCTCTCTTTAGGGAATGAGAGAAAGGAGAGGTCATAGAAATTAATTATCCAAATAGGAATGCTTTTACACTGTTGGTGGGAGTGTAAATTAGTTCAACCATTGTGGAAGACAGCATGGTGATTCCTCAAGGATCTAGAATCAGAAATACCATTTGACCCAGCAATACCGTTACTGGGTATATACCCAAAGAGTTATAAATCATTCTACCATAAAGACACATACACGCGTATGTTTATTGTAGCACTATTTACAATAGCAAAGACCGGGAACCAACCCAAATGCCCATCAATGATAGACTGGATAAAGAAAATGTGGCACATATACACCATGGAATACTATGCAGCCATAAAAAAGAATGAGTTCATGTCCTTTGCAGGGACATGGATGAAGCTGGAAACCATCATCCTCAGCAAACTAACACAGAAACAGAAAACCAACCACCACATGTTCCCATTCATAAGTGAGTTGAACAATGAGAATACATGGACACAGGGAGGGGCACATCATACACCATGGCCTGTCAGGAGGTGTGGGGAGGGGGAGGCAGAGTATTAGGACAAATACTTAATGCACGCGGGGCTTAAAACCTAGATGACAGGCTGGTAGGTGCAGCAAACCACCATGGCACATGTATACCTATGTAACAAACCTGCACATTCTGCACATGTATCCCAGAACTTAAAAAGTTGCAGAAAACATTAATTCTCCAGTTTTGAAGGTGAGAGGGAACTTATTCATAAAATAAATATATGGCTTTGATGTAAGTTTTCACTGTATAAATATGATTTAAGGAAATGAGAAATGCAAGTTAAAAGCATATTGGCTAATTAGCCAGATACCTGCATCTTTTTTTATTGCATCATTATAAATGCTGCATTACAAGTTCTTTCTTGGATGTCATGTTGTAAATAATCTCTTTAGGGCCATATTTTCAAAACTACTCTAGCAGTATTTCAGCATTTATTTACCAGGTATATCTGCTTATTCCAGTCATTTTAGTTAACTTGTATTTTAGTTATCTCACAAATCAAAAGGAAGTGTGCTTCAACTTTTCCTTCTGCAGATATGTGTCTTAGGACAGGGTATTTTAGTATTCCTAGCTAAGCTTAGATAAAAGAAATAGACATTACCCAAGTTCATTTCTATATGTGGTCTTGTGCCTGAAAATAATTATGGGTGCAAACATTCTGCATTTCCAAATATGTTGAACATATTTAGGGTGTCAGAGTGATGGTTTAAAACTGCATTGACTCAGCCATGTCTAACTACAGCTTTGATGAAAATACTGGGTTGATATTGGAAACCACTGATTTTATTGCTATGGACTGCTCAGTAGGCATGTCTTTATTCAGCTGAGAGAAGTGTGAACCCAATTCTTATTTCAAGGTGGTATTTAAAGTGGACCGAGATAAAAACCTTACAGTAGCTACATTTCACGGAAGACCAATGCATTCTCATGTCTTTTTTTTTTCCTTTTTAAGAATATACGTTGCTTCCTTTGGTATACAATTTCACTCATGGCTCTCCATTTTTACATAGATACACACATACCCACATGTATTCCTTTACTTCGTTCTTGTTATTCTCTTTTGTTAAATTATATATTTATTCATTCTGTCTTAATTTTTCCCTTGTCTTCTCCCTGCTGGTGTCAAATGAATTCCTCTTTCTGCAGAAGCTCAGCTGGAAATGGATTAATGCAGCTGGAACACAACTACTGTAGTGTCAGGATGCTGGGTGACCTCTGTTATCTGAAAAATAAAAGAATTGAAAAGTATCCAGCAGCTAAAAGTCAGGGGGAAAAAATCTTGATGCATCTTGTTCATTTCCACTGTGGAAGTGTTTGCTGCATCTCCGAGGTATCTTGTGAGAGAAAAGTCATAAACACACACACACATACACACATATACACAAAAACTTTAAATGAAGATGAAGTGGTCAGGCAGAAATGCTGAGTCTGGGATATGTTTTAATACATTTCAAATTAGCAACTCACAAGGAACCTGGAATATTGAGGCACATGCTTGATAGGGCTAGAAATGTGACATTGTTCCTGCCCCATCCACTTATATTGTATTATTTCCAGCAGTGAAAACCATCTCAAAAATTCATCTTCCAAAGATAAAACGGGTTCACATTTCTAGCCATCCTTCATCAATGTCAGGCTGTGATAGTCGGTCATTACATGGGTATCGTTGCTGCTGAGGCAAACGGCAACTTAACTAGGACGGAAAGGATGTCCATATTCTCTCCTGCTGGGTCACTTGCTTGCGAAGAGTATTTTTTTCCATGACTAATATTCAGTAAAATATCTGATGGTTAAAAACAAGATTGCTTAGCTTTGCAATTGTTATTAAATTCTTTTCCTGGGCTATAATGCATAGGCTTTGATCTAAAGTCCTACCATTGCTAGAAGGACTCGTATGATTACGATAATGTGCACTGCTCTTTTTGCTATTCCTATAGGGAAAATAAACCCCACATTAGTTCCATATTAGTACCCGACTTAGAGAAGTTAAAAAGCAACAGAAAAAGGTTAAACAGAGTCAAGTACACGTAAGAGAGCAGTGGTTATTAGTGTTCAGGGAACCATTAAAAAATTCTGCTTATACAGAAGAATTTATTGGTGCTCCTGCTTCTGGCTGCTTTATGCATTTTAATAAAGAAGTAGGCTCTGTGTGTGTGTGTGTGTGTGCGCTTGCACACATTTTATGGCTATGATTGAACAAGGACTTTAGCTATTTGGTCTGTCATTAATTTTATCCTTTTTTTCTCTCCTTTCCCCAAGTCTCCTTCTTTACTTTTCAGCTTCCCAGACAATATTATGATTCTGAAAATCCTTCAGTTCCATTTTTATGAAGGTAATGCAGGAATAATATGCATATTAATTGTGTGGATTTTTTATTCTGATATATATATCTCTGTCTCAGAAAAAACATATATATGGAAGCCTTTTTACTTTAGCTAGATGTTTGGAGGTAATTAGAGAAAAAACTAAATATGCAGTTTCAAGAGGCAAGAAACGTTTGTGAAATTCTATATTTCTGTATGCTTTGAAATTTAAAAAAACCTTTATTAGAAAGGACATGTGGGTTATGATTTAAGGAAATTATTTGAGCATATGCATTTAACAATTCCTTTTAACTGCTCATTGAAATAACCAACGGAATATAAAATTAGAGAAAAAGGTAAGCCAATATTAGAAACTAGGCTACAATGCTACTGACGTTCAGGAACTCGGAGAGGTTTTTGCAAAATACACTGTAGAAAAGATTGAACTATGAGGAGAGCCAACTAGCACGTGAAAGAAATGCCTTCCTTTCCTTCAAAGAGGAACAACCCTAAGAAAAACCCAGTTGTAAGCTTGAAGAGTCAGGGGGTTGAGGGCAAGAGTGATCTTTAGAAATTGGGAGTTGGGGGGAAAATATTAGTCTGTCATATATACCAGGTGCAACATTGTACAATACTCACTGCTAATTTACACTTGGGCCTATGTCAGACTAAGTTGCGTAGAACTTACTGTTACAACTAACCACAACCATCCTATTTTTGTGTGTTTCTTTTCATTGTGATCAGAGAACATATTTTGTATGACTTAAATCCTTTTAACTTTATTGAGATTTGTCCTATCTCAATAAAACAACATAGACCCAGAAAATGGTCTATCTTAGACCACAGGTGCACAATGTGTATTTTGCTATTGTTGAGTGGAGTCAATTAGGATGTGTTGGTTGGTGATGTTGTTCAACTCTTCTATATCTTACTCATTTTCTGTTTATTTTTCTCTGAATTTTGCTTCAAATACTCTAACACTGTGCTATTAGGTGCATAACAGTTTGGGATTATTATGTTGTATTGACAATTTGATCCCCATAGAGCTGTGATATTCTTTACTCTGTAATCTGCTTTGTCTGATAATAATACTATCACTCCAGCTTTGTTTTGATTAGTGTTAGCATGGTATATCTTTTTTCATCCTTTTATTTTTAACTTATATGTGACTGTATTTAAAGTATGTTTTTGTAGGCAGAATATAGTTAAGTCTTGGTTTTATCTTCAATCTGACAACCTTTGCTTTTTAATTGGGGGATTTAGACCATTTGTACTTAATGTGATTATTTATTTGGTTAGGCCTAAATCTATCATCTAGCTATTTGTTTTGTATTTGTTCCATTTTTCTTTATTTTTTCTTCTTCTTATTCCTTTTGGATTAATTGAACCTTTTTAGTAATTCCATTTTATCTTTTTTGGTTCAGTAGCTGTTAACTCTGGTTTGCTTTTTTACATCTTTAATTGATCACATTTTAATTTTGGTACATCTTTGATTTATCACAGTTTACTTTACTTTCAAGTGACATAAAATCATTTCATGAGTAGTCTAACAATCTTCAGCAGCATATTCCATTTCTCCCTCCCTGACCCTTGTGCTACTATTGTCATGTTTAACTTTTACATATGTTACAAATCCTTACTATATTGTAGTTATTTTTATTTAAACAGTCAAGTATCTTTTAAAGAGATTTAAATAATAAGAAGAAATCTACATATTTATCCATGTGTTATCATTTCTGGTAATCTTCATTCCTTTATATAGATCCATGTTTCCATCTGGTATTATTTTCCTTTTTTCTGAAGGCCTTCTTTTAACATTTCTTATAGTGCAGGTCTTACAGGTAATACATTCTTCCAGCTTTTATATATCTGGAAGTCTTTATTTACTTTTGTTTTTCAAAGATGTTTTCACTGTACATAGAGCTCTATGTCTCCTCATCAGGGCATTTTCTGGGTGCTGGCTCAGTTTCCCCTTCCTGTGCCATGGCCTAGAAATTTTCTCAAGGCTGTAAGCTGAGGTAATCTTAGGGTTCATTTTATTCATTTTGTATCTGCTAGGGATCACCATTTTCCACTGCCAAATGTCCAGTTTTTCGTATATTTTGACCATTATTTATTTGTTTCTGGCAGGAGGGTATATCTAGTTCTTGTTACTCCATCTTTGTTAAAAGTGGAAGTCCCTGTAATTGGATTGTAAATGACCTTCGCGTTAAACTTTTTTCTTTGTATATTTACCTCCCATATGTTTGATGCACGCAGGTCTATAAATGTTGAATCATTAAATGTTGAATCATTAAAAAAATTCAACTTTTGATTACATAATTTTCCTTTTTATTTAGTACTTAAATTTATTTTTCTTTTTTTGTGATTAATATTGCTACTCTTGCTTTATTTTGTTTTCTATCTGTTTGGAATTTCTTTGATCATCCCATCATTTGGTTTTATTGTTTTAAATTTACATTTTATTTTAATCAAAGTATATAATATCATGTAATGAATGCAGAATATTACAAGGCCTGTGATACATAATATTGCAGGTGCCCTTAGTCCTAAGTCCTATTCCCTGGTGGCAATTACTTTCAAAATTTTTGGTGTTTTCTCTGTTATTTTCTTGGATATTTTAGAATGAAAAAATACTGCATTGAGTGATTTTTTTCATTTTTAGACATTATCAATGGACTTCCTATTAGTGTTGATGAGTTTTAATTTTCTTATGTCTTTCCCCTCTCACAACCACACACACAGTTCTATTCCTTCTGTCCTCTCATTATAGAGATGTCATGTTTGGTTAAGTCAATAACCAGAGTTGTTATTATCCTGATGACAGAAACATATACAACTGTATCTTTTTTTGTGTGCTATGTAAACATTATCTTGCATGTTCAACCTTTTGTTTTTCCTGGATTTGGTAATTGTTTTGTATTTCTCATTTTATTTTCTATATATTAATATGTATTACCAATTCAGCCTCACATTCTTTGCCAAGTTGTGAAATGTAATTAAAAGCTACAGATAATTTCTCAATGATATTTATTTTCTCATAGACATTTCTCCTGGAACCTTCTATCATTGTGCTTCACTATGGACTGCTTGTTTTCCAAGCATGTTGCAGAGTCATCAACCTGGGACTTCCTTCAGCACCATCCTGTGAATTCCTGTCACCAATCCTTTGTGTTGGATCGCCTAATTTTTGTATCCTGTCTTCCTCTTCCTTGCTTTAAGCTTTCAGTTTTGTCATAACTCATAGCTTCCTGAGAAATGGTACATTGGAGGTAATTTTTTTTGAGATCTTGCACATTTGAAAATGTCTTTAGTCTCCTTTCATTTTTCTTTTAGAATTTTTGTGAGACACAGTTGCTTTTGGAGTTGCTGTTGAGAGGTCAAATGCTATTCTGAGTTCTTATACTTAGTGTGAGACATATTTTTTCACTTTGAGAGTTTTTAGATCTTTTCATTTTTAAAACAGATTATGTGCTCTGGAGGGAGTCTCCTTACATTCATTATATTGGACACCAGCTGGAAACTCATGTCCTTTAATTATGAATTTTTTAAAATATCATAACTTTGATAATTTCCTTTTCCCTCTATTTTTTCTTTCTGGACCTCATATGAATATCTAAACTTTATTCAGAATTTACTGTGTGTGGCAGACTGTCTTCTAATGGCTTTGCTTGTATTAGGTTGCAGCAGGTATCATTATCATCTTCATTTTCCAGATGAAGAAATTGAACTCAGAGAGGTCAATGTGTCTCAGATTATGCAGGTGATACATAGTGGAACTGGGATTCAAACCTTGGCTGTGCTGAATTGGGGTAGGGATTTTAATTCCTCTTTATACAAACTTTCAAGTGCCCTGAATCCCAAACTTTAGAGTTGTGTGGTGTCTCTCTTGAGCCTTTCTGAAGTTGTGCAGCTATGACTAGACTAGATTTTGCTCTCTCTGATCAGCTGAGTCTACTAGTCTGACAGCTTTCCAGTTCAAATACTTTGTAGTATTAATTTATTTTCAGATGTAAAATATAAATATTATATACCATATAACTAATTATTGTTTCTTAATGCATTTTGATAGTGTCTGTCTCTTAGTGCAACACTCAATTAGCTTAATTATATTCTGTACATCTCACTTTATGTTTATTGCTTTCTTTTAATTTTTCTCATAGAGTTTTCATGAGGATTAAATGACAATATATGTAATGCACATACAACAGCGTGTGGTACATATTACACACTATATAGATAACTTTCATCATTATTATTTCAAATTAAAACTAGATATCTGCAAAAGACACTATTCTCCCAATAAATTCAACTCTTAAGAACATTTTCAGTTCTCTACTTTCTCCTTTTTTCTCATTCTCAAGGAACAACAAGGAATATTTTATTTCTTCTCATTCCTCTTCTACTCTCATTGTCCTACATTTTGCTGAGATAATTTACTACTTTATCCAAGTTTATGATCAGAAGTTCTATTGTATCTTGGGTGATATTTTCCCTGACTTATTACGTGTTTACAAATGTTTTTCTTTCATATTTTGACTGGGTCCCCAAATCTTGGTGTTCATTCTGCCCCCTCACACTAATCTTAAAAATATTATTCCATTATCATCTAGGTTCCAGTGTTGCAGATGAAATGTCTGATGTCAGCCTCATTTCTTTTTTCTTTATTTGTAACTTGCACATACTGTCTTGAAAATTGTCATATTTTCTTTTTATCCTTGGAGTTCAGAAATTTTTCAGGATGCCTGAGTGTGTGTTTCTTCTTACTCTTACCTGAAACTACACAACCCTTTTCCCTCGGTAGGCTTTAGCTCAGGGACAGTTTTTCATGTTATTTAATTATTGCCTCTCCTCTACAGTTTTACTCTTCTCCTTGTGTAACTGCTATTATTCACCTCCTGGATTTCCAGTGTCTATTTCCCCAGGCCTTGGATCTTTTCCTTTTTGATGCTAATCTCTGTTTTTATCTAGATTTTAAAATATTTCTTCTGTTTTAACTGATATGCCATTATTTCAGGGCTCAACAGTGACTATTTACCCTTCCATTAATGTAATTATTATTTATGTAATCTTAATGTGCTGCAGGGCTTTCTAGGCTTATTACTAAAAGATAAAACTAGAAAGAAAAGTCCAGTTGTGGTGGCTCACGCCTGTAATCCCAGCACTTTGAGAGGCTGAGGTGGGCGTATCACCTGAGGCTGGGAGTTCGAGACCAGCCTGACCAACATGGAGAAACCCTGTCTCTACTAAAAATACAAAATTAGCCAGGCATGGTGGTGCATGCCTGTAATCCCAGTTACTCGGGAGGCTGAGGCAGGAGAATCACTTGAACCCAGGAGATGGAGGTTGTAGTGAGCCAAGATCATGCCATTGCACTCCAGCCTAGGCAACAAGAGTGAAACTCTGTCTCAAGAAAAAAAAAAAAAAAACTAGAAAGAAAATTACTGGTAGCTTTGTCTATATAAAACAAGGACAAAAAATAAATTCATAAAATAACTGTAATACATGTGCCAAAGTGCTAGTATTCTATATATGAAGTTTTTACAAATCAAGAAGATAACCATATCAATTGAAAAAATATATTAGCAGAAAATATACTGAAGAAGAAATGCATATAACCAGTAAATTTCTGAAAACATTTTTAACCTCACTAGTAGTCAAAGAAATGCAAATTCAAATAACTTTCTATAAAATGACAATATTTTAAAAAGATTATTGTCATTAATTATGAAGAGTAATATAGATACTCTCCTATTGTGTGAGGATATATTTGGTTACAAGTAATAGAAAGCCCAGTTCGAATAACTTAATAAATGAGATTTATTGGCTCTTGTTATTTGAATTCCAGAGGATTGGTTTGTTTCAGGGACTCAGCAATACTATCTAGAACCTAGTTTCTTTTTCTTTCTCCTCTCTGCTTTCTAAAGTGTTGGCTTCATCCTAAGACTGGCTTCTCATTGCTGTCACCAGAAGATAGATTATCAACATTTCCTGAGACTCTCTGCTTCTTACTTGCAGGGTAAATGAGAGGGTTATTCTGGAAGCTTTCTTAGAAGGGGAGCAGTTTCCTTTGACAGAATCCCAATTTCTTTTTTAGATCCTTTTGGCCCAACTTGAGGCATATACTCATCCCTGAAACAACAGCTCGATCCATGTGGTTACATTACTTAGCTAAGTCTTGAGCTACATCTCCCATCTGGGATCAAGAGTGGGACCACCTTCCCTCAAAGTGTTGTGCTGGATAGAAGAGGCGAAAATGCCTGCATAGAAAATCGGGGATGCTGTCAAGAGACAGACAAAAGATTTTGGGGAAGCACATAAGATGTCTACTATCCATGCATTGCTTCTGGACATAAAAATTGACATATACTTCCTGTTATGAAACTGGCAATAGGAATTAAAAACTTTAAAATGTGCTTATAATGTTATTCAGAAATTCAGTTTCTTGGAATTTATATCAGAGAAATAGTTATGGATATATAATACAATAATATCTGGCTATTATGTAACTGAAGCTGCATCATTTATAGTAACTAAACATTTGGAAATATTTAAATGTCTAACTGCATGGATTTGATGAAATTGTGTATTGAACAGTCAATATTCATACAATGAAATATTATTTAACAATGAAAAATGATGCTATTAAGAATATTTAAGGGCGTGGGAAAGAGTTCACTATGTGTTATTAGGTAGAAAAAGCAGGCTACAAAATCTATGATCTTTTTTTGGGGAAAAAGCATATATATTTATAGAAGCTATAGAAGAAAGAAGGCTATATAACAAAATATTAACAGTGGTAGGTTGGGTGGTAGAAATATATGCTTGCATATCTATATTTTCATACATTTCTTGCAATAAATCTTTAATATATTAATTTCTTCTTCTCCAATCTTTATGCGTCTTTTTCCTTATTGCACTGGCTAGAACTTTTAGTACAATATTGAAAAGATTTGGTAAGCGTGGACACCGTTGCCTTGTTCCTGATCTCAGGGAAAGAGAGTTACTGTTTCACAATTAAGTACAATGATAGGCATGGGTTTTGTAGATGTCCTTCATCAGATTGAGATAGTTCTTTTTTTACTTCTAATTTGCTGAAGTTTAATCATAAAGGGGTGTTGAATATTGTCAAATGATTTTTTAAACATCTCTTGAGATGATAGTATGATCTTTTTCTTATTCTATGAATGTGGCATATTACACTGATTGATTTTCAAAAGTTAATCAACCTTGAATTTATGAGATAGACCCTACTTGGTCATGGTGTATTACTGTTCTAATATATTGCTGAATTTAATTTGCTAACATGTTGTTAAACATTTTTTTAACCTGTGTTCATGAAGGATACTGATCTATATATTTTTAATTATAATATCTTTGTCAGGCTTCTGTGCTGCTATGTAAAACAAGTTGATAAGTATTCTCGTCTTCTCTATTTTCTGAAAGAGTTTATATAGGATTGATATTACATCTTCTTTAAACATTTGGTGGAATTCACCAGTGAAGCTATCTGGTTCGGAAGATTTTATAGTGAAGTTTTTGATTTTAAATTCAGTTTTTAAATAGATACCGGGTTATTTAGATTGTCAATTTCTTTTCATGTAAATTTTGGTAATATGTACTTGTCAAGGAATTTTTCATTTCATGTAAGTTGTTAAATTTATTGAAAGCTTATCATTTTAATATCTTTAGAATCTATAGTCACATTCCTGATATTGGTAACTTCTATTTCTTTTATTGATTAGTTTTGCTAGGGGTTTATCAACTTAATTAATTATTTTAAAGAACCAACTTTGATTTATTTATTTTTTCTACTAATTTGTCTGTTTTCTATTTCATTGATTTCCATTCTAATTTTTATTCTTTCCTTCCTCTTACTTACTGTGCATTCAATTTTCTCTATTTTGTTTTAGTTTCTCAAGATGGAGCTTAGATTATTGACGTTATACCTTTCTTTTTTTTATTATTATACTTTAAGTTCTAGGGTACATGTGCACAACATGCAGGTTTGTTACATATGTATACATGCGCCATGTTGGTGTGCTGTACCCATTAACTTGTCATTTACATTAGGTATATCTCCTAATGCTATCCCTCCCCCCTCCCCCACCCCACAGCAGGCCCCAGTGTGTGATGTTCTCCTTCCTGTGTCCAAGTGTTCTCATTGTTCAATTCCCACCTATGAGTGAGAACATGCGGTGTTTGGTTTTTTGTCCTTGCGATAGTTTGCTGAGAATGATGGTTTACCTTTCTTTTTAAAAAATTTTTTTATAAAAAAGCAGTTAAACTAAAAATTTCCCTGTAAGCACTGGTTAGGCTGTATCCCACAGTTTTGAAGTACTATGTTTCTATTATTTTCTCATCTTGTGATTTCTTCTTTGGTCATTTGTTATTTAAAAGTATACTGTTCAAATTCCAAATATTTGAGGGTATATTCTTGATAGCTACTCATAATTGATTTTTAATATAACACTTTTATGGTCAGAGAATATGCTCTGCATAATTTCAATCTTAAGATATTTATTGAGACTAGTTTTATGACTCAGCATGTCTGTTTTGGTGAATTTTCCTCGTGGACTTGAAAAGAATGTGTGTTCTGCTGATAACACTTTTATAATAAGAAATCCCATAAAATTATTTTAAGATCACTAATCCTGAGACATGTTTAAATTGACTGCTTTTTGACAGAATAGCAAAACAGTTAATATCTATCTTTAGCTCTCCCAGGGGGATTATTCTATTTTACTTGTTACCCAAAATTCCCTGTGCTGTGTTTACCCTTCTGTCAGTATGTCTTTCAGATCTTGTTTTTTCTTTCTTTCTTTCTTTTTTTTTTTTTTTTTTTTTGAGACGGAGTTTCGCTCTTGTTGCTTGGGCTGGAGTGCAATGGTGCGATCTTGGCTTACCGCAACCTCCGCCTCCTGGGTTCAAGTGATTCTCCTGCCTCAGCCTCCCGAGTAGCTGGGATTACAGGTGCCTGCCACCATGCCTGGCTAATTTTTGTATTTTTAGTAGAGACGGGGTTTCACCATGTTGGCCAGGCTGGTCTCAAACTTCTGACTTCAGGTGATCCATCCGCCTTGGCCTCCCAAAGTGCTGGAATTAAGGCGTTAGTCACCGCACCTGGCCCAGATCTTTTCTTGTATCTGTAAAAAATTATATTAGCATAAGTTGCTGGTGTAATTTATGATAACTACTTAAGATAACACTTTTTATATTTTTAAAAGTATATCTTAAATTCTTGTACTAAAGAAATAGAGTTATTACATCAGTATTTGAAGAATTCATGGACCCAAAGTGTCTCCTTCTATACTAAGTTATACAGAAATATCAGCTATGAAGCTGGTGCCCCATTCCCTGTTTTCATTCTCACATGTATGAGTGAATTAATGACGTGAAGGAAATAAGATTTAATCATCGAATTTTGGGCACACTGAACAGGTATATTAATGCTGGTAGGACTCTTGTATACCTCAGTCTGTATTAAACTTTTCTTGCAAACAGAACAAATGCTCTGTGATGGCAGTGAGCCTGTTTCACATGAGGAAGTATAAGGGGCCAGTAAGGTGGGAGTATGGAGAATAAAAGGAGATGGATAAGAAAGGCAGGACTGAACTCAGAGGGCTTTGTTGGTTTGTTGAGGATGTTGATCTTTATCCTAGCAGCAGAGAGACACCATAGAAGGGATTTAAGCAGGGAGATCATGTGCTTCAGAAAGACCCCTCTGGATACATGACGGAACATTGAATGGATTCAAGAGGGAAAGTAAGAAGAAATTGGGAAATGATTGCTAGTTTCTAGGCAAGAGATAATGGCAGATTGGATTATGGAGGTGATGGTGGAGGTGGAGAGAAGTTGAGTTGGTGTGTGTGTCTCCTTCCACCGCTGCCCATCCGCGTCTCCTTAATCTACTGTAGGACCCAGGCAAAAAGAAGATCAGGAGATATCCCTAAGAGGAAGGCCAATAAAAGTGAAGAAAAGGCTAACCTATAACAAACTTCAAATACTCAGAGGTTCTTAGGATAGTACTCGCAGGAAGTAAACCATGCTTAGTTTCAGTAAGTGCTAAATCTCTTATGGATTACATGCATGTTTAGCTTAACAGATGCGTCAGTAAAGCTCAGTCTCACACTCCTGTAAGGGTACAGGAAGCCATCTGTTCAACAGTAATTTTAAATGTAGAATCCTGAGGCAATTAATATGAAAGAACAGGTAGTAGTCTTTGATTGATATTTTTAATGCAACCCATTAAAAATACTGGGTAAAACAGAGTGATAAATGGCATTATTATTGTATCTCTGTAGGTTGTAAGGCCAATGCTTTACATTCATATGTTTCTTAATTAACACAGCTGTTTCCAACTTTCCATTTCTGTCTTTTATGTATAATTTCAAACAAACAAACTATAGTGGCTCCAGCATGTTTTACTGTCTTTCTCTAAGAATAAGTAAAAGAAAAATGTACACAAACAAAGATATCCTTTGGTGTTAGATCCCAGCAGCACAGCATCATGACATCTACCTATAATGTATCCAACAAAGATCAAGAGGAAAAGCCAAAATGTGTGTATTTGTATGTGGAGGTTTTTTCCTTGCAGATGGACAACATTATTAACAACCCCATACGAAGAGGATTTTGAGTGAGTGATTCTGAGTGAATAGAAAATAGAAGCCATTAAAAGAATAAAAGGACAGAGAGTCATTTCTTGAAAAGGACACAAAACATTTATATTATGCTTAGTATTTTTTTGTTCTTGGCAAAGTATTTTTTTTTTTTTAGAATCATTTCCTACTGAGTTCAAGTAATTCTTTATACCTTTTCTGTGATTTCTGTGACTTTAATTATGTTCTCTGCCTAAAATGACAATTTCATCCATTACCCATATAATTGTTATTTTCTGATAGGTTTCCATTTTTAGGTTAATTCTCCAGATATCCTATTTATCAAATTGTGTGGGGGAGGGCAGGAGAATGAGGTCTTTGTCATTTTTTTTCTCTTTCTGTCTCAGTCATGTATGTTTTACCTGGTGGTTACATAGTCTTTTACTTTATTTTGTGGCATGTAGTTTTGTCCTTAATTAGAATAAAAGGTATTATCTAGATTTCCCTATATTGATAGAAAAATTATAGTTTATGTTTCTCTTTCTGTTATGTCCTTGGTCTGCTACTCCTAATATTGTCATTCAGTTGAGTTGACTTGAATGGTTATAATCCACAGAAATATAATTAATGTCAGTGATGTTTCCAACACATTGTCATTCTGAAGAAAACATTAAGTTTTTTTAAAGGCATGTGATTATATGAAGGATGATCTCCAAATATTCTGTATCTTAATAGAATATATAATCAGAGAATGCAAAATTCATCTGAAGTAATGACACTAAGCTGACAAATTGTCTGAGTACCTGTCTCTGGTTGGTGGGGCAGAATCAGCTCTGCAGGGTGGGCAGGCAAAGAAAAGAATAAAGGTTTTAGAGAAAACTAAGCTGGCTGATGGGAGAGCCATAGAAAGAGGCTGGCTGATGGATTGGCTATTTCCTGTAAAGCAGCAGGTGATGCTGAAATCAGGAGTGTGCATAGTAAGATTTCATCAGAAATCCAAGGTTCATAGGCCAAATAGATCATTGAATGAGTGAAGAAATCAGAGTCAGAGACCAAATTCCAAAGCATGGAACCAGGCTATGGAAACAGGTGGCAAAAGGCCACCTCCAGGCAAGTGGCCCTGGGTCACTTGGGTTATCCTAATACAGACATGAGTTCGTCTGGCCTACCTTGTCTTTTATTGGTTTGTTCAATGCCAGAAAGTACCTAGGGTGTTTAAAGGGTCAGAGACAAAGCTGAGGAATAACAAGGATGACTTTTCTAACAATAGATCTGATGAAGTACTGGACCAGCCAAGGGAATATCGGACAACTCCTTCCTAGACATTTGCTGAACAACTGACTTTAGATGAAGTCCTACTCATAGGTGGGAATTTGAATTACTAGCTTATTGACATTTCTTCTGGCTTCAAGAATTCTATGATTTTGTCTTTTATAGTATATTATTGGAGTATACAAGGTCAATTTCTTGTTCAGGAAGCCTATATTGAGCAGTCTTTTTAATAGAAGTACTCTTAAGCAGCTGTAAAAATATTAAATGCCCTCTGCTCTAGAACTGACAATCCTGTGTCATAGCAGTCTCAAATTACAATGTCCGTTCATTAGTAAGAATGGTATTACTTAAGCACACAAGTGGATTTTTCTTTCCCTTTCAGGTACAAGATAATGTTGGTCTAGCTACATTTATTTTTAATTTTTATTTCTATTTCAATATTTTTTGGGGGTACAGGTGGCTTTTTGTTACATGGATACATTCTTTAGCGGTATTTCTGAGATTTTACTGCACCTGTTGCCCAAGCAGTGTACACTGTACCCAATATGTAGAGTTTTATCCCTCACCCCCATCTCAACCTTCCCTTACCTGAGTCCCCAAAGTTCATTATGTCATTCTTATGCCTTTGCATCCTCATAGCTTAGCACGGTCTGGCTACATTTAAAAGGCATGGTATACTAGGTCCTTTGGTTTGTCATTTGACTTTAGAGGTGACAAATGGCAGTGTCTAAGCCTGCTTTCAGTTCTGACCACCTTCTGATAATTCACATTGGATGCCATGGGACCACCTTAGTATAATCACAGTTTTTTTCTTGAGATACATTACCAGGCAGTTATATGGGTATCTGCATTGATCAGTGGCCAGACCAGCTTCTACAATACAAGTAGTATCCTGTCAACTAAACATAAAAGCTTAAATGGGACTTTCGTAATTGCCAGGCACTGTGAGGTTTTGTAAGAAGGCAATGGAAAACCAGTGAAGAATTTCAAGTAAGGGACTCTATTTGTTTAACAAATATTAATAGCATCAGGCATTGTGCTAAGAACTGGGGATTCACAAGTGAAAGAGCAGACATAGTTCCTATTTTCAAAGAACCTATGTAGATAAGAAAAAAGGCAATTACAAAATAGTGTGATAGACGCTATAATGGGAAGAATTACAAGATGAGAATATTTAAGGAAGGAAAATAACATGGAATTAGATGGGGTGGGGGTGGTCAAGGAAGTCATCTTAGAAAAGGTGATATGTAAGACCAAGGAGCCAGATGACAAATAAGGAAGTGTGTCCCAGGCAAAGGATGAACATATACAAAGAGTCAGGGAGACAGAAGATGGAGCACTGTGAGAAGTGAAGATTATTGAGGGTAGTTGGAAGGTCAAGTGCTTTGATCAGAGTAGTCTATGTGGACTCACAAGTCAATACTCATAGGGTTTTCTAGCCTGAATTCATACTGTCTAAATGTGAAGAAACTGTAACCTAATCTAAGTATATATAAGTTAGGAGTAGATGACTAAAAGGCAAGTGTTCTAATGCTCTTGTGGTGTTTTTGGGAGGTAAATATATTGGCGAGCTTTTGACTTGGATAAGTTTTTGTACACCTCTTAAAGAATAAAAACAAAATATATAATTTTTAAATTAGTAGAGGAGAAAAATGGAAAGACAACAAACAAAAACCCAAAAGAATACAAAAAAATGGGGAGGGGAAGGGAGAAAAGACTACATAAATAGAAAACCTGAAATAAGATGGTAGATATAAATACAAATATGTCTGTAATTACATTAAGTGTAAATGGTCTAAATTTGAGGACAAAAGTTATCAGATTGAGTTAAAAAAGAACAAGCAAAATCCAACAATGTGTTATTGATAAGAAAGACATGTGAAACATAAGCAAATAGACTGAAAATAAAAGCATGGGAAATGGTATACCAGGAAAATTTGAAACGAAGGGAAGATTGTGTAGTTATATTAATATAAGATGAAATACATTTTAAGACAACTAATATTACTGAAGATAAAGAGGATCATTTTGTAACTATAAAGTGTCTTATTCACCAGGAAAATACAATAATTACAATTTTTATTGACCTAGTAACAAAGTCTCAAAATATATAGAGCAAAAATTGGAGAACTATAAGGAAAAGTAGATAAAACCACAATAATCTCTCTCAGAAATTGGTAGTTCAATTAGACAAAAATTCTGTAAGGGTATGGAAAATTTGATCGACACAATTAAACTTAACCTAATAGACATATGTAAAACACTCTACCCAACAACTCCAGAATACATATATTTTCAAATACATATGGAATATTTATACAAATTGACCATATTCTGGATCTTGAAGGAAGTCACAAAATATTTGAAGGCATTTAAATTATATAGTCTACATTCTCTGATCTCAATGTAATCCATAATAAAAAATAACTAAAATTACCTCGCATAAATTTATCAAAGTTTAATAAGAACCATTTTGGGTATTTCAAACAGGATGCAGGAAATGTGTTGCAAAGGTGTTGAAAGACCTGGAAAAACAAAATAGAATATATGGTTATACAAAATCGATGATTTATGTGCTTTTGGGATGCCACTGTCATGCCTTTGCTGCTACTGCCATCACTGCCAGAGTCACAGCCAGAAGCACTGGTAGAGGCCAGGAGAAAGTAGTTTCAGCCAGGAGAAAGTAGCTTCTTCCTTCCTCTGGCTTCCAGTCTCTTATTAGTGCCTCTCACTGGCAGACCCAACAGGAGGACAGCTGGAAAGGGAGTCTGGGAAGTGTAATTGCAGGCTTCCAGTCCTGGCATTAGAAAGAACATGGCTGAAGAGCAAATGCAGGACAGTAGACACTGTTCAGCACAATCCACTCCTTTGGCTATTCAGCACCCATATATACACTCTTATATTTAAAACAACAATAAAAATAACATTATGCTTCTGACTTACAGTGTGCAAATATCTTTTATACAAAGATGCAGCCGCTTTCTCCCTAAAATGGAAGTATGTGATCCTATTACTGGATCCATCTCAGAATGTTGTTAATTTTTCTTCTGATTCAGTAACAATTCCTCCTGGATATTCTGTAACATAAAGACTAAATTGTAAATTTAGCCACTTAACATGAAATAAAATGATGCGGAAAGGGAGGTAGATGTGGGCAGGATGGGGGGGGCAGATGAATATATGCAAATATGTAGATACAAGTAAGGAAAATATGCTTGGGTGTTATAATGTAATTATAGAAATCAATAACTAAATGTAATGAAACTAAATGTATAATGTATAATAACTAAGTATATAATGTAATTTAGAAATCAACAACTAAAATGAAACTGGAAAAATCAGAAAAAGCTTGTGTTAGGAAATGAAAAAATAACAGTTAAAGATTCAATAAATGAATTACAATGAGAATTAGAAAATACTTAGAACTGATTTATAATAAAAATATTAAATGTCAAATCTGGTAGAAGACAGCTAAAGCAGAACTTAGAGGGAATTTTATGACATTGAAAGCTACAACAGAAAAGAAGGAAGGATAAAAATTAATGCAACAAGCTTCCTCCTTAATTAAATGCAAAGAAAGTAGAAGGAAGAAAGTAATAAGTGTAAAAACAGAAATCAATACAATAGAAATTAAGCTTTTAATAAAGATAATCTACAAAGCTAAGTAAGTTATTTGAAAAGACTAATATAATTGACAACCCCCTAGTGATATTGATCAAAGAATAGTAATCATTATCATGACTGAAAAAACCTTAATTATTGGTGTTCTGGATATTACAATGACAAAAGATTATAATGATAAATTTCAAGCTGTAACTTTGTGTATTAGTCCCCATTCTTATGCTGCTATGAAGAAATACCCAAGACTGAGTAATTTATAAAGTAAAGAGATTTAATTGACTCACAGTTCTGCATGGCTGGGGAAACTTCAGGAAACTTACAATCATGGCTTAAGGCACCTCTTCACAGGTTGGCAGGAGAATGATTGCAAGCAGGGGAAATGCCAGACAATGCTTATAAAACCATCAGATCTCATGAGACTCACTCACTGCCATGAGAACAGCATGGGGGAAACTGCCCCCATGATCTCAATACCTCCACCTGGTCCTGCTGTTGACATGGAGATTATGAGGATTCCAGTCGAAGGTGAGATTTGGGTGGGGACACAGAGCCAAACCATATCACTTTGAAAGTTGTTAAGAAATGGACAAAATCTTAGAAAAATACAGTGGACCCAAATTGACTCAAGAACAAATAGAAAACCCAAGCAATAACAAAATCATTAAAACAATTACTCCATAGTCAAAAATATTTCCACAAACCCCCTCCAATCCCAGCAAAATCAATCATTCAAGAAAAAAATTCAAAATTCACTATATTCCAGAGCATAGAATACAAATTAGCATGTCTTTGATACCAAAACCTGAAACAGATAATAGAAGAAAGAATTGTAGACCAATATTATAATGAAATACATGGGAAAATCCTGTGCAAAATATTAGCAAACCCAAAAGAGTAATATATATATAAAGGGTAAAGAATCATGAGCAAACTGTTCTTGTCACAGGAATATAAGGTTGGTTCTACTTTAGAAAATCAATTGTTATTTACCACATTAGTATATTAAAGATAAAAATCATATGATTACCTTAATAGATGCAAAGCATTGAATGAAACTCAATACAATTAGGAAATACTCTTAGCAAACTGATACAAGAAGGGAAATTCCTTAAACTGGTTAAGGGTTTCTAAAAAAAGAAGTACTTTCATACTTCTAGTAAAACTTTGACCTTATATTTGAGATTAGCGAAAGACA
This sequence comes from Homo sapiens, assembly GCF_000001405.40. Lineage (NCBI taxonomy): Eukaryota > Metazoa > Chordata > Mammalia > Primates > Hominidae > Homo > Homo sapiens. Next base: position 74,148,902 of record NC_000016.10, on the reverse strand, counting down.
AGAATGTCACATGCACACGTATGTTTATTGCGGCAGTATTCACAATAGCAAAGACTTGGAACCAACCCAAATGTCCAACAATGATAGACTGGATTAAGAAAATGTGGCACATATACACCATGGAATACTATGCAGCCATAAAAAATGATGAGTTCATGTCCTTTGTAGGGACATGGATGATATTGGAAATCATCATTCTCAGTAAACTATCGCAAGAACAAAAAACCAAACACCGCATATTCTCACTCATAGGTGGGAACTGAACAATGAGATCACATGGACACAGGAAGGGGAATATCACACTCTGGGGACTGTTGTGGGGTGGGGGGAGAGGGGAGGGATAGCATCGGGAGATATACCTAATGCTAGATGACGAGTTAGTGGGTGCAGCACACCAGCATGGCACATGTATACATATGTAACTAACCTGCACAATGTGCACATGTACCCTAAAACTTAAAGTGTAATAATAAAAAAAAAGAAAGACAAGAATGTCCCTATAGTTACTTTATTCAACAATCTATTAAGGCCGGGTATGGTGGCTCACGCCTGTAATCCCAGCACTGTGGGAGAGGCAGGTGGATGGCTTGAGCTCAGGAGTTTGAGACCAGCCTGAGCAATATGGCGGAAACCCATTTCTACAAAAAATTAGCCAGGTGTGGTGGCATGTGCCTGTAGTCCCAGCTACTCGGGAGGCTGAGGTTGGAGGCTCTATTGAAGGTTCTCAAGTATAGCAAAGAAAAGCAAGGAATAAACGGTATCAGGAATGGATGGGAGGAAAGAAACCTGTTACTATTTACAAGTGATAGGATTATGTACAAAACACAAAGGAATCTGTGCATAATTTATTAGAATTAATAAGTGAGTTTAGAAAGGTAGTTAAATTAAAAAAAAATGTACAAAAATCAATTGCATTTCTACATGCCAGCAACAAACATTTAGAAAATGAATAAAAGCTGCTTGTAATAACTTAAGATATGAAACACTGAGGAAGAAATGTAACAAAACATATGCAAGACCTTTATGGAAAAAGTGTAAAATTTTATTGAGAGATATTAAAGCAGATCTAACTAAATAGATAAGTAAGCCCTGCTTCTGGATCAGAAGACTCAATATGGTAAAGATGTCGATTCTTCTATAATTGATTTAGATTCAATGTAATTCTGTTTAGAATTCATACAGGATTTATTTTTCTTTTGTGAAATTTGATAAGCTACTTATAAAGTATATATGGCAATGCAAGGGGCCGAAAACACCAGTATTCTTCATGAAAAAGACAGAATTCAGGAAGTTGCCTACCAAGATCAAGATTTCAAAGCTATAGTAATTGAGATGCTTTGGTGGTGTTATAGGCATAGAGCAGCAGGAGAGCAGAGGTAGCCCAGTTAGAGATCCACACATATGAGGGCCTTTGATACATGACAGATGTGATATTGCAGATTAGTGGAGGGCAGGATAAATGGTGCTGGGACATTGGAGTATGGATATGAAAATAAATTGGAATTGTACCTTTATCTTATACTATATGGAGAAATCAATATCAGGTGCATTACAGTTCTTAATGAGTCTTTAAGCTATAGTTTTTAAAGAATAAGACTTTCAGAAAATAACATAGGAGATTATTTTCATGACCCCGAGGTAGGGAAGGATTTCTTAAACATGAAACACAAACCCTAAGCATAAAGGAAGAGATTGATGACTGCTTATGTACCCCAAACCTCAGCATCATGCAATATACCCATGTAACAAATCTGTGCATGGCCCCCTGAATCTAAAATAAATGTTGAAATAAAAAAATTAAAAAAAATAAGAATTCATCCAAAGCTAGCACACAGAGAAAAAGAACAACAGCCACAGACACAAAGATCTATAAACTTGGAGAAGGTATTTTAATGCAGAATCTGTCAAAGAACGTGTATCCAGAAACTTTAGAGAAGCCCTATGTGATGCTGGAGCTGACATTTCACAAACCACATTTCCCAGACTTCTGAGCAACTGGTTTCTAGTTTGTTTCTGCAGATGGGGACCTGCTGGGAGGCTCAGGAGGAGGAGGGGGTGAAGTATTTCCTTTCTGTTTTCTTCCTCTTGCCACAGTTGGCACCTGCTTCCAGCTTCTTTCAGTACCTCCAGCCATGACTGCCCTTTGACTGTGATGCAGGGCAGGCAAGCCCCAAAACTGGGGCTTAGCCTAGGAGGGTTCATGGCTTCCCCCAGGAAAGAATTCAAGAGCAAGCCGGTGGTGTTAGACAGCAACTTTTATTGAAGCCACAGTGTGTATAGCAGTGACAGCAGAGGTACTGCTCCTTGCGGAGCAGGGCTACCCCATAGGCAGTTTGCCCAGAGTAGCAGCTCAGGGGCAGTTCTGCAGTCATATTTATACCCACTTTTAATTACATGCAAATTAATGGTGGATTTTGCAGACATTTCTAGAAAAGGTTGGTAACTTCCATGTCATTGGTTCATTGCTACAGAAAGGGGCAGTCACTTCCAAGTGTTGCCATGGCAATGGTAAATTGACAAGGCACACCAGTGGGCCTGTCTTATGGAGAGGTGCTTTCACCTCTACCCTGTTTTACCTAGTCCTAAATCTGGTCCAGTGTCTGAGCCCCACCTCCAGAGTCAAGTCCCATCTCCTACCTGAAATGGGCAAGAGGGTTCCTCTGCGCTGAGCCCTGAGCATTAAAGGGCCCTCCCCTCGGCCTCTTCTGACTGTGCTCCTAATGATGGGACAAGGTGTCTGCATGGCCAAAGGGGTGTGGCTACATGGAATCTGTCCTGCCTGCCCTCTGTTGTGGCCTGGGTAGCCTTGAACCATGACCATTCCCCATGCAAAGCACCCTGAGTTCCTCCTTTCAGGGGTGGTCCATGCTATCGTGCCTTAAGGGGTAGCTGTTTGTGTCTAATTGTGTGTGGTTGGGGGTGAATGGAGCTTGGATTTGTAGTCTTGGGTGATCACATGTACGCACTTGAGGCTCCTAATGGAGCAAGGTGATGCCTGGTGAGGAGGGGCTGGGACAGGGGTCTGAGCTGAGAGTACGGCTATCCCCAGGTGCTGCCACTTTCTGGCTAGGCACTTTGGGAGTCTGAGAAGTCTAAACAAATCTATGGCTTCTCACACTAACTGCAGTGAAAATCCAGTTAGTTTTTGAATTTTAAATTTGTTGTAGACTAGTGCTTTTGTTAAATACAATAAAAATAAATTATAAGAAAAGTGAAATTCCAAAAAGTATACAAGCAACATAACATGACTATCAAATAGGCATAAAAATTTCAAAACACCCTCAATTTCTACACTTATTTAGCATGGACTCATAATATAATTTTCAGACTTGCATTGCAAGAAGCACTTCACTCTAAGAATGCATACAGTATGTGTTTATTTCTATAAAGACTCAAAGTAGCCATATGGAACAATATGCTGTCTGGGTATAGACACACAGGTGGTAAAACAATAACCAAAACAAGAGTTAGGATAGATGTTACCTTCTGAGGGAGAGTAGGTGATTTGATGGTGGAGACACAGGAGTCCCTAAGTGGCCATGCTCTATTTCTTAATCTGAATAGAAAGAAGAGCAGCATTTTATTAGTATTCATTTTATTAGTATTTTAACTTGTTAACTCTGTATTGTAAGTCTATTGGAATTGTACCTTTATCTTATACTATATGCAGAAATCAATATCAGGTGCATTACAGTTCTTAATGAGTCTTTAAGCTATAGTTTTTAAAGAATAAGACTTTCAGAAAATAACATAGGAGGTGATTTTCATGACCCCAAGGTAGGGAAAGATTTCTTAAACATGAAACACAAACCCTAAAGGAAGAGATTGATGACTCCTAATGTACCCCAAACCTCAGCATCATGCAATATGCCCATGTAACAAATCTGTGCATGGCCCCCTGAATCTAAAATAAATGTTGAAATAAAAAAATGAAAAAAATAAGAATTCATCCAAAGCTAGCACACAGAGAAAAATATTTTACACATATATTTCATATATAAAAATCAAAATAAAGTGAGGAACAAAATAAAAAGGAAAGAACCCTCCCCTTAGTAATTGCCTGAACTGTTTATTCATTTACACAACAGGTTATTTTTTTTTCTAGAGTAAGACAAAAATTTAAATTGTGCTTGGGTATCTGGGAAATGTAAATAAAATGATATTGATGCATAATTTTGATATGAGTGTTCCTGATATGTAGACATAAACTTTTGGCTATTAAAACAACAAAATGAAACTGAGAATTGGATATCAGCCAGTATATTTATAGGATAGAAACCTCTAATTTAGACAGACATGCCTATCTGTCAGGAAGTATTTATTTGAGTACCTGTTATATGTGTAAGGAAATTTGAGAGTATAGAGGAATATTTAATCTAGTTATCAAGATGGGATCAATATACCAAACAATAACCTAAGACATTGTATTATTTGTCACTAAATTGTGTGGGACCAATAGAAAGTGCTAACAGTAACATCTGAGAATCTCAGATATGGTGCACAGATATAATCCACATCTTTATTTTAGAATCAGTGGTAACCTGAGTGTGGTGTTTCATAGTCAGTTTTTATTGTCACATTAAAGGAAAAGATTATACAAAATGATTTGCTGTTGTGCATTTGTATGAACATATGAATACCAGGTATCTTCAACGTTTAGTAATTTCACAAACACTCCAGCCAACATGCCCATCTTCCACTTTATGATTCTTCATCTGCCCAGAGTATTCCCATGATTTTCTTTCCATATTAAGTAGGCACAAAACACTCTCGGAAGAGTGGACCATTCTTTCTATATTTCTGTTTTACATATTCTTCCGTGTGAATGAGATGATTAAGTATTTTAGTTTAAAACTCCCAGCTGGGCTGTACCACAGTATAAGTAATCAAGAGATAAGGAATACCACAACTTCTATAATTTTTAATTTATTCTGGTTAATTATTTCAGTAAGAACATGAAAACAAAACAAGCTGGTAATTGGGAATTGTCTTCATGAAATGAATTAAAGGAAGAATTTAAAGTCACTTTTGGAGTAAATTTTATGTTTGGTAGTGCTTTTCTGTGTTTTAAGATGTTGATCAGCAATTTTGATTCGTACCCATATATCATCAATTGTTGATAGTTTTCCTTTGGAGCTCTGGAAAGAAGGAAAACCACTTCAAAGTCTTGCAGCCAAATGAGCTTCTACTTGAGGTGTACACAGCTGGCAAGATCCAAGAACAAAACTGGCTATGTTTATTGCTTGATACAGCTCTACTTTTCATAAATACATTTTGAGAAGCAAAACGTTTAGTTTTTATGCTGTGCTTTGATGTATGGCTAGAGCTCAAAATAAATGGTATGTTTTAGTAAACTATTGAAAAGTGTGACTTTACTATAATGGTGACTCGGTTCTTTATTATTTACGGATTTGCTTTGAAATATTTTATCTTTGGAAATATTTGCATAAGCTTGCAATGCAGTAGTAGTTGCATTTGCTCTTTTGCTAAATTCTCCCTCTTGCCCTTTCCCAATTCTGGTCACCTCACCCTCCCACGCTGTGTTAATATTGAGAATTATCCAAGAGGAAAGGTGGAAATGAGACAAGAATGGCCTCAGAGGTATGTGTTTATCTTTTGCTTTATTTTATTTGACATTGTTTTGGCCTTAAGCAAAAAAAGGAAATTTGCTTTTGTGATACACTTGCTTATATAAAGGAAAAAGAACCTTCTGACTTTTTTTTAAAGAAAGACATCTTTAATAATTCTGTTTTAGGATTTCTTCAAGGTATGACATATACCCTAGAGTAAAGGTATTCGTATAGTCAGCAGGAATCTAGCCTCAGTTCAAATTAATGTCTATAAGAGTCGATTCTTCTCCAACACTATTTCTAGGGATGAAATTAACAGCAAGGTGCAACAGCTCACAGATGTCAGAATAATAACTGGCCATTTGAATGTCAAGAGTTGGTTTGGAGCCATATCTGCCTGGGAATGTTAAATGTCCTGAAGGGTTTACAGAAACTATGATCAGTCTCAGTCTGACTTTGTTTTCTCCCCAGTTGTTCTCATTGGGAAGTTTAAGCTACAAGTTCTGTTCTGCGTTTAAGTAGGTTATTCCTTGCAGTATACCAAAATGAGCAGCAATTATGTTAGCAGGGGATAGGTGTGTGGGAATATGGTTTAAGAAAACTGCAGCGTGCCCAGAGGTAATGATGTTTAGACAGATTGAAATTCAGTGAGAATGGAGGATTCCTTGACACACTTCCAAAGGATGTCCTTCCAGTTTTAAGCTCTTTGAGGTATTTGGTAGAGAGGCACTATTCAAATGTACATGTAAATAAACACTTCCCATTCTGTTATGATTCCTGAATTTTTGATTTATGTTAACCAGGCCTGGTTAATATTTTTTTCCTTCCATATACTGAGAGTTCCTTAATAATCTCCTTGAGGGAAGGACAGTGTCACTTTCACTGTATCCCTAGGGTGCTCAAAGATATTTGTGAAATGTAAGACCCAATGAGAGTATCCATTTGGGTTAAAGGAAGGCTTGTGCTCCCATTTTCATGTTGTAACTACTTCTGAAATAATTATTCCCTTCCTCCTCTTATTCCTCTGTTATCTCCAAAAAAGCATTCATTGAGGGCTTGTGTTGAGTTTTCACAAGTGACACTACCCATCCTGTTGCCTAGGTTGTATTCATAATCTCAACAAGGAAGAGTTTCATGTTTGAAGTGATAGGGGTCTCTGCAAGGTGTCTGCCTGTTTGTTTGCAGACAAATACACTGCCCTTCCCTACTCTTCTCTGTATCATAGGGCCAACACCTGCAAACCACATTTCTCAGATTCCCCTGCTAACTGGTTTGTGGCCAGGATTGGCCAATACCAACAGAATTGTGGGCGGGAGGAAGGGAAAAATCAGGGGGTTCTGCTTATTAATGAGTGCCTGGCTGTGACTGTGTCCCCTCCCTGGGGCCAGCTCCCACCACATGCTCCTTCTGTAGTGGCTCCAGTTTCTGCTAGGGGGCCTGGCTCTTAAGTTCTGGTAAAACCTCATCTCTTTGTCTCTCTTTCCCAAGAGGTGATCAATGATTGTGGCTCCTTTTTCTCCTTCCTTCTTTTCTTTTCTTTTTCTTTTTTTTTTTTTTTTTTGAGACAGAGTCTCATTCTGTCGCTGTTGCTCAGCTTGGAAAGCAGTGGCGTGTGATCTCAGCTCACTGCAACCTCCGCTTCCAAGGCTCAAGAGATTCTCCTGCCTCAGCCTCCCAAGTAGCTGGGATTACAGGCACGTGCCACCATGCCTGGCTAATTTTTGTATTTTTAGTGGAAATGGCATTTCACCCTGTTGGCCAGGCTGGTCTCAAACTCCTGACCTCATGTGATCCACCCACCTCAGCCTCCTAGTGTTGGGATTACAGGCGTGAGGCACCGTGCCCGGCCCTTTCCTTCTTTTCTTTCTCCCTCCCTCCCTCCCTTCCTTTTGAGATAGAATTTAGATTCTAAAAAATTCACCCTTTTAAAATGTACAGTCCAGTGAGTTTTAATGTATTCACAGGCTTGTGAAACCATCATCACTATCTAATTCTGGAGCATTTTCATCATCCCCCTCAGAAAAACACCCCATACTCATTCTCAGTCTCTCCTCATTCTCCTCTCCTCAAAGCCCCTGGCAACCATTCTTCTACTTTCTGTCTATGGATTTGCTTATTCTGCACATTTTATCTGTGGAATCGTACAACATGTGGCCTTTCATGACCAGCTTCTTTCACTTAGTGTACTGTCTTCAAGGCTCATCTGTGTTGTGGTATGTATCAGTACTTTTTTTTTTTTTTTTTGTGAAACAGAGTATTGCTCTGTCACCCAGGCTGGAGTGCGATGGCATGATCTCGCCTCACTTCAACCTCCACCTCCTGGGTTCAAATGATTCTCCTGCCTCAGCCTCCCAAGTAGCTGAGACTACAGGCACCTACCACCATGCCTGGCTAATTTTTGTATTTTTAGTAGAGATGAAGTTTCATCATGTTGGCCAGACTGGTCTCGAACTCCCGACCCCAGGTAATCTGCCCACCTTGGCCTCCCAAAATGCTGGGATTACAGGCATGAGCCACCATCCCCGGCCAGTACTTCATTTTTATGGCTTAGTAATATTCCATTGTATGGACATACCACATTTTCCTTATCTGGCCATTCATCAGTTGATGGACATTTGCATTGTTTCTGGGTTTTTTGGGCTATTATGAATAATGCTGCTATAAACATTCATGTATAAGTTTTTGTATAGACATATGTTTTCAATTCTCTTGGATACCCATACCTAGGAGAATTGCTGGATCCTATGGCAACTCTGCATTTAACTTACTAAAAAACCGGAGAGTGGTTTCTTTCTGTTGCAAATGTCTCCATTGTCTCATTCTTTTCTTTGACGATTTGTTTTTCCAGCCCCTTTATAAGTACTTCCCTATATAAAATATCCTGCATTAAAATTCCAGGCATGGACTTCTATTTTCTTGATTGAGCCTTGACTGAGAATTTCCTCTGTGTTATACATGAAAGTGAAGGCTATTTTCTCCGGCCCACCAGAGTTTCTTCTCTTTTGTATAGATGATAGTGAAAGAAGCCAAAAGTTATTAGCACTGTCCAGCAACAGAGTATCTGGTTAATGAGATTTTGCAATCATATTTAGTAATTTGCTGCCATCACTAACCTGGTGACAGTTCTTTTAAACCCACCTTATTTTCTCAATAGTCCCCAACTTTGAGTGTAGGTAATACAGACAGAAGATAGGGAAATACTGGGTAGAAGAGGGCAGTTCCTTGGCAAAGGCCCACCCTCAAGCCTGGATACCCATGGCCTTAAATGAGGAAAGGCATTCCTGTTTTTGCACCCAAAATCTGCCTTTTGGCCCACCACACCCCCTAGGCTGTACCCACATAAACCCCAGACCCCAGGCTCCAGAAGCAGACAAGGAGATGATCAGACAAATGGAAGAGCAGACGGCACAGCAGAGAAAAGAGAATAGGAGTCTGAATGTCGAGAGGAATTTGGCTGGGGTTGATCAGAGGAGATAGGCTGCTGGACAACCAGACTCCAGGGGAAGATCATCTTCCCACTCCATCCCCCTTCTAGCTCCCCATCCATCCCACTGAGAGCCACCTCCACCACTGAATAAAACCCCTGCATTCATCTTTCAAGTCCGTGTGTGACCCGATTCTTCCAGGATGCTGGACGAGAGCTTGAGATACAGAAAGCTGTCATACTGGCCCTGTGCTGTCATAGTGGCCCTGTGCGCTTACAAAAATGTAGAGGGTCCACTGAGCTGGTTAACACTTAAGCCATCCACAGATGGCAAGGCTAAAAGAGCGCACTGTAGCACACTCCCATTTGGGCTTTGGGAGTCACAGGCTCCCACTCCTAGATGCTGCCATGGGGCCAGAGTCCAGCGCCCTGGCTCCTGCACCTGCCTATCTGCATGTTCCCCCTCCCATAAGAGGTTTGAGCAGCAGTGCCCAAAAAGATGAGCCACACCCCTATTGCACATCCTGTGAGGGGAGTCAGGGAACTCTCCTGTATCACAGGTATTTGGAAAGTGACTCCAGGAAGGGTATGGGGAAGTGAGACAGGGGAGGGAAAAAGGCCAGTCAAGGTGCATTAAAAAGAAGGTGACTATTGAGGGCAACTGGGGCTCAGTTCTACTGAAGACCTTGGAGGAACTCTACAGCATATGTCCCAGAGTTGTCCTGCCTGAGGAACAAGGAAGCTGGGCTTTCTCTCTACTGTATTTCACTGGTCATTGGTCAAGGGCTGCTCACCAAGGAATTACTTTCCTAAGGACTTCAGGTCTTGTGGCCAGAGAAAGCTCTTAGACAGAGTCCCAGGCATTTGCAGAAAGAGGCTGTGTGTGTGTGTGTGTGTGTGTGTGTGTGTGTGTGTGTGTGTATGTGAGTGTACATAAGAGGAGTCTGTAAACTCCTTGAGTATGAGACCTTGCATTTGTATGTAACTTCTACTTGTAAATAATGATTTACAAGTAAATGCATTGATTTTATGCATTTATGAAGGAAACTGCCCAGAAAAAGATGCTTCCTGAATTGTTTATAGGAACTGTCGCTCTATGTTTATCCTGGAACTTTTCTTCCAGGTTTTGGTTGATCTCACAATTATGTGTTTCTAGAAAGTACCACAAATTCTCAATTTGTAACTAGACCATGAGCTGCACTGTCAACATGCTTTGAAAGAAGCCTCATAAAAATACAAAGTTCAAATGTTCTAGATGTCTTTAGCTGCAGAGGATAAAACCTAGAAGGGAAAATAACATCTCACTCCCAGACTTTTCACAGGCACAAAGCAGAATGCTTCAGAAATCCCTGAGAAATGACAGGTGTTTTTTATTTTTATTATGTATGTATTTATTTTTGAGATGGAATCTCTCTCTGTTGCTCAGGCTAGAGTGCAGTGGCGCGATCTCGGCTCACTGCAACCTCCGCCTCCAGGGTTCAAGCAATTCTTATGCTGCACGCCACCACGCTCAGCTAATTTTTGTATTTTTAGGAGAAACAGGGTTTCACCATGTTGGCCAAGCTGGTCTCAAACTCCTGACCTCAGGTGGTCTGCCTGCCTCAGCCTCCCAAAGTGCTGAGATTACAGGTGTGAGCCACCGTGCCGGCTGATGGCCCTAATTTAGGCATTCGCTTCTTTCACTCTCAGAGACCCACCCTTCCCCTCTGCTTTCCAGCCCCCAACTGGCTCCTCATCCCACCATGGATTTTCCTGCAGCCCAGCCACATGGATTCCCCAGGCAGAAGCAGCCCTGGCCTGGTGCCTGAGGCCAGTTCTGGGATCTGGAGACAAGGTGTTATAGGAAAAGTGAGATGGAGATGTAGCACGCAATTCTGGTTCATGTTCGCATGAGATCATAGGTGCTAGAAGCTCCCACCTAGGTTGGAGTTGTCACTTTTCTCTTTAAGGGTAATATAAGCTTCAGCCAAATCTCACCATCTCTCTGAGCCTCAGTTTCCCCAGCAGATAATAGTAGCTACTTTGAAGGTGTTGTGAAAGTTAAATGAGAAAATGCATACTGGTGGCTTTATGCAATGCCTAGATATAGTAGTGCTGAGTAATGGTAGCAGTTATCATTATAAGCTGGACCCTTTAACCCCATTCATCTGTTCAACAATATGGAAGGCCTTTTCTGAAAGACCTGGTTATTAATCCATCTAAAGAACCCATCTGAGGTCTGGTGCGTGGTGGCTCATGCTCATAATCCCAGCACTTTGGGAGGCTGAGGTGGGCGGATCACCCAAGGTCAGGAGTTTGAGACCAGCCTGGCCAACATGGTGAAACCCCATCTCTACTAAAAATACAGAAATTAGCCAGGCATGGTGGCATGAGCCTGTAGTCCCAGCTACTCAGGAGGCTGAGACAGGAGAATTGCTTGAACCCAGGAGGTGAAGTTTGCAGCGAGATGAAATCATGCTACTGCACTCCAGCCTGGACAACAGAGCAAGACTTGGCTCAAAAAAAAAAAAAAAAAAAAAAAAAAAAAAAAAGAACCCATCTGAAGAACTCATCAACAATTGTGAACATTATGAGGAGACACTGGAACTTGCTAGAAGGTCCTTGCAAGGATTTTCTCAAATTGTGTGCCAGGGGTGAGTATATAAGGATCTTTCATTCATTATTTTTCACATATTACCAAATACTTGAAACATCTAGGTAGAACAAGTTTCTGGTGCTTTGGTCAGAAGGCTTCTTCACACCAAGCTAATTTTTGTATTTTTTGTAGAGACAGAATTTTGCCACTTTCCCCAGGCTCATCTGGAACTCCTGGGCTCAATCAATCCACCTGCCTTAGCCTCCCAAAGTGCTGTGATTCCATGCTTCAGCCACCGTGCCTGGCCTGAGTTCATCTTTTTTAGATTCCATGTATAAGTGAGATTATGCAGAAATACAAAAAAGGAAAACAAAGAGATTAACCTTTTGTATTTTTAATAGAGATGGGATTTCACCAGTTGGCCAGGCTGGTCTCGAACTCCTGGCCTCATGTGATCCACCTGCCTCGGCCTCCCAAAGTGCTGGGATTACATGTGTGAGCCACCACACCTGGTCTTTTTTTTTTTTTGGTACAGATGGGGCTCACTATGTTGCCCAGGATGATCTTGAACTCCTGGCCTCAAGTGATCCTCCCACCTTGACCTCCCAAAGTGTTAGGATTACAGGTGTGAGCCACTATACCCAGCCTAAATCTCTTATTATATTAACTGATTCTCAACAGTTGCAGTCTCATCACTGAGGAATCTATTTTGGGGTATGCATTTTTATAATTCAGTCAGATTTATTATGCTGTGTATTTCATTATTAAAATTCTATTTTCATTAAAAATTTGATAAACATTTTATGGATACCTTAGAGCAAGGGACCTCAACTCCTGGGCCACTGACTTGTACCAGTCTGTGGCTTGTTAGGAACCAGACCCCACAGCCAGAGTTCACTGGTGGGCAAGCGAGCATTACCACCTGAGCTTCACCTCCTGTGAGATCAGCAGAGGCATTAGACTCTCAAAGGAACATGAACAACCCTATTGTGAACTGTGCATGCAAGAGGTCTAGGTTGCGTGCTTCTTATGAGAATGTAATGTCTGATGTGCCTGATGATCTGAGGTGGAATTTTTTTTTTTTTTTCTTAAGATGTAGTCTCGCTCTGTTGCCCAGGCTGGAGTGCAATGGCAGGGTCTCGGCTCACTGCAGCCTCTGAGAGGTGGAATAGTTTAATTCTGAAATCATCCCTGTCCTCCCACAGATGATGAGAAAATTGTCTTCCATGAAACCAATCCCTAGTGCCAAAAAGGTAGGGGACCGCTTTTTTATAGAATGGCAAGCAGTATTTTCCATTTGTAGTAGTGATATGATGCTTCCTCTTAAATGTATATAAGTAAAAAAAAAAAAAAAAAAAGAAGAGGGAGAAAGCTGACCTAATAAAAATTTAAAATACAATGAAGCAAAATAGAAGAGTGGGTTGCTTATAGAAATGACAAAAATTGTGAAGTGTGCTTTGTGACAGTTGGCACTTGGGAACACTAGCCTCACTGCATTCAGACTCAGCATGGCCTCTGTCCTGGGTTGAATAGTGTCCCCCCAACATTCATTCATCTCCACCTGGCACCTCCAAATGTCACCTTATGTGGCTGCAGATGTCATTAGTTAGGATGAGGTCCTATTGGGTTAGGGTGGGCCTTAACGCCCTAATCCCCACAATGAATGTCCTTGTAAGAAGACCACATGAAGATACACGTGGAGAGACACCATGTAACAATGCAGGAGAGATTGGAGTGGTGCGGCTGCACACTAAGGAATGCCGAGGACCACCTGGAGCCACCACGAGGTAGGAGAAAGTCAAAAGACATTCTCCCCCACAGCCTTCAGAAGGAACCCATCGTGTCAACACCTTGATTTTGAACGCATGGCCTCCAGAACTGTGAGAGAATGAACTTCTATTATTTGGAGCCGTCCAGGACATGGTGACTTGTTGTACCACTTTCTAGAAAGTGAATCCAGCTTCCCTTCTGTATTAGTCAGGATTCTCTAGAGGGACAGAACTAATGGAATATATATATATGGGAGTTTATTAAGTATTTTTTTAAGCAGAAAGGTTTTTATTTTTATTTATATATATATATTATGCTTTAAGTTCTAGGGTACATGTGCACAATGTGCAGGTTTGTTACATATGTATACATGTGCCATGTTGGTGTGCTGCACCCATTAACTTGTCATTTACATTAGGTATATCTCCTAATGCTATCCCTCCCTCCTCCCTGAATCCCACGACAGGCCCTGGCGTGTGATGTTCCCCATTCTGTGTCCAAGTGTTCTCATTGTTCAATTCCCACCTATGAGTGAGAACATGCGGTGTTTGGTTTTTCGTCCTTATGATAGTTTGCTGAGAATGATGGTTTCCAGCTTCATCCATGTCCCTACAAAGGACATGAACTCATCATTTTTTATGGCTGCATAGTATTCCATGGTGTATATGTGCCACATTTTCTTAATCCAGTCTATCATTGTTGGACACGTGGGTTGGTTCCAAGTCTTTGCTATTGTGAATAGTGCCACAATAAACATACGTGTACATGTGTCTTTATAGCAGCATGATTTATAATCTTTTGGATATATACCCAGTAATGGGATGGCTGGGTCAAATGGTATTTCTAGTTCTAGATCCCTGAGGAATCGCCACACTGTCTTCCACAATGGTTGAACTAGTTTACAGTCCCACCAACAGTGTAAAAGTGTTCCTATTTCTGCACATCCTCTCCAGCACCTGTTGTTTCCTGACTTTTTAATGATCGCCATTCTAACTGGTGTGAGATGATATCTCATTGTGGTTTTGATTTGCATTTCTCTGATGGCCAGTGATGATGAGCATGTTTTCATGTGTCTGTTGGCTGTATAAATGCCTTCTTTTGAGAAGTGTCTGTTCATATCCTTCGCCCACTTTTTGATGGGGTTGTTTGTTTTTTTCTTGTATATTTGTTTGCGTTCTTTGTAGATTCTGGATATTAGCCCTTTGTCAGATGAGTAGATTGCAAAAATTTTCTCCCATTCTGTAGGTTGCCTGTTCATTCTGATGGTAGTTTCTTTTGCTGTGCAGAAGCTCTTTAGTTTAATTAGATCCCATTTGTCAATTTTGGCTTTTGTTGCCATTGCTTTTGGTGTTTTAGACATGAAGTCCTTGCCCATGCCTATGTCCTGAATGGTATTGCCTAGGTTTTCTTGTAGGGTTTTTATGGTTTTAGGTCTAACCTTTAAGTCTTTAATCCATCTTGAATTAATTTTTGTATAAGGTGTAAGGAAGGGATCCAGTTTCAGCTTTCTACATATGGCTAGCCAGTTTTCCCAGCACCGTTTATTAAATAGGGAATCCTTTCCCCATTTCTTGTTTTTGTCAGGTTTGTCAAAGATCAGATAGTTGTAGATGTGTGGTATTATTTCTGAGGGCTCTGTTCTGTTCCATTGGTCTATATCTCTGTTTTGGTACCAGTACCATGTTAACTCACACGATCACAGGGTCCCACAATAGGACATCTGCAGGCTGAAGAACAAGGAGAGCCAGTCCGAGTTCCAAAACTGAAGAACTTGGAGTCCAGTGTTCAAGGGGAGGAAGCATCTAGCTTTGGGAGAAAGATGTAGGCTGGGAGGCTAGGCCAGTCTCTCTCTTCACATTTTTCTGCCTGCTTATATTCTAGGTGCGCTGGCAGCTGATTAGATGGTGCCCATCCAGATTAAGGGTGAGTCTGCCTTTCCCAGCCCATTGACTCAAATGTTAATCTCCTTTGGCAACACCCTCACAGACACACCCAGGATTGATAATTTGTATCCTTCAATCCAATTAAGTTGACACTCAGTATTAACCATCACACCTTCTGAGACCTGCTCATCATCATACTCATTCTTAACATTTCCTGAAGGTGCGTGGTGCTTCCAGGCTTCTGTTCTCTTCCTCCTCACCTCCAGCTTCATCTCTGCATAGTCAGTCTTTCATTCCTAGCCCTTTACGGCACTTATTTCATTGTCAGATTTTCGTTTCCTACAGTGTTTGACGTAGCTTGTTGTTCAGAGTCATTTCCTGTATTAACCCATGGACATCCTAAAGGTTGGGATTATTTCATCTTTTTATTCCCACAACTCGGGATATGACTGGCACATAATTGGCTCCCACTCGATATTTAATGAAAGTTTCTCTTAAGTTTTTTTTTTTAATTTTTGGTCTCTATATTTTAAAAATCAAGCCCCTTTCTTTCATTCTCTTTGGAAGATGTGTGTGAAAATAAATGCCACTTTGAATGTAAAAACAGGTCATCGTGAGATCAAAAGTTAAGTCTTCCTGGCCTGGCTATTAGAAACTGCTATTTAAAATTTGCTTAATTTGGAACTTATTTTATTTTATGAAGATAAATGATGGAGTAAAAGGAATAAACCAGTAAATAACTGTCTTGAAATTGTAGAGAGTGAAAGCCGCGGTGGCTTCATTGAAGGCTATTAAGAGCAAGGTCACAGGCAGCAAATCAGAGAAATATTTCCACCTAATTGATGGAGGTGAGTTCATGTTATTAAAGACCTGAAAAGCTTTTATGCCCAGAATTATTCTTCATACCATCTCCTGCCACAGTGTGTGGGAAATGGGTCAGGGAGAAAATTTGTGGGAAGGGGTGGAAAACTTTTTTATATTCCATAATTAGTTGAAGGTGATAATAAGACAGCCAAGTCATTTAAAGAGTAAGAATGATTTTACTCTAAGGAAAGAAAGAGAATTACAAAAGAGAAGGCCAAGCATTTCAAGGACTCCATGTCTGTCGAATAATCTTGTGTTTTTGAACCATTTTATGCCATCATGGCATTGGCTGCTAGTTAATTAATTTATTATTCACAAAAGGGAGGAATATCCTGAGTCCAACATGTCCTGAAACCATAAATCAAATCCCAGTGAAGTTATGAATTTGAAAGGGCTGACTGTGGTTGTATCTTAAATATCAGTTCTGTGTAGGGAGAGAAAAAATATTAGCCAAGTGGCTTTTGGTAATAAATTCAGATTTCCTGAAAGTGAGACATAAGTTGCAAGTTGTTTTTCTATGAGCTCTGTCAGAAAGATTTTTAATAAAACATTCTTTCATCTGTAGTGAGAAAGAATTGCCCTTTTACCAGAAGCATTCTGGCTGTTTTCACTGGCTGGGTCCCTTCTTGTAGCCTCTAACCAGTGAATCTGGGGTTGTCCTACAAAGAAAATTGTTTTTGGAATCACAGCTCCTAGTGCACCTACACCAATAATAATCTGTTAAGAGGGGAAAGACAAGGCTGGACATGGGTGGCGCCTGTAATCCCAGCACTTTGAGAGTGTGAGAAAGGAGGATAGCTTGAGGCCAGGAGTTTGAGACCAGCCTTGGCAACATAGTGAGACCCTGTTTCTATAAAAAATAATAAAAAAACAGCCGGGTATCGTGGTGCTTGGAGGCTGAGGTGGGAGGTTCACTGAAGCCCAGGAATTGGAGGTTGCATTGAGCTATGATTATGTCACTGCTCTCAAGCCTGGACAGTAGAGTGATACACTGTCTCTTAAAAAATAAGAGAGAGAGACAGAAGGAGAGAGAGAATAAAGATGATTTGATTAGCAGCTTCTGATGGTCTTAGGCTACAGATAATTACAGTTCATAGTTGGCAGGTTTAGACTCTGTTTCATGTCTATTACCCAAAACTTTAATTGTTTTTTTTCTCATGATTCTGTGGGTCTGTGGGTTGACTGGGCTTAACTGAGTGGTTTTCCTGCCTCATATGTCAACTGGGTTTACTCATGTTGCTGCATTTAGTTGGCATCTTGGCTAGGCTGGAAGTTCCAAGAAAACTTCGCTCAATGTCTCGACTTTGGTGCTTCTCCACGTGTGCTTGTCATTTGCTAGGTTGGGCCTCCTAGCAACATGGAGGCCTTGAGTTGGTCAGACTTCTTACACTGCAGTGAGGTTCAATGGGGAAAGCAGTAGCAGCATGCTTCTTCAAGGGTTGGCCTGGGTCTGGCACAGTGTCACTCTCACTGAAGTTAAAGAGCCAACCCAAATTAAGGGGAAGGGAAGTGGACTCAACTTCTGGATAGGCAGAGTGACATACTTCTACAGGGAGAGGAGGAATTGAGGGTGGCTGTCTTTGGAGAAGACCTATTACAGCCTCATTATTCACTTTAAATTAGCACCATTTAATTTTTTTTAAATTATTTTTTATGAATACATCATAATTGTACATATTTATGGGGTTCATGTGATATTTTGATGCAAGCATACAATGCGTAATGATCAAATCACAGTAACTGGGATCTCCATCACCTTAAACGTTTGTCATTCCCTTGTGTTAGGAACATTTCAGTTCTCCTCTTTTAGTTATTTTGAAATATGCAATAAATTGTTGTTAACTATAGTCACCCTATTTTGCTGTGCAACACTAGATCTAATTTCTTCTATCTAATTGTGTTTTTGTACCCCTTAACCAACCCATTTTAGTCCCTCCTTCCCCTCTACCCTTCCCAGCCTCAGCCTCTGGTAACCATCATCTATTCTCTTCCTCCATGAGATCACCTTTATAGCTCCCACATATGAATAAGAACGTGTTGAATTCTTCCTTCCTTCCTTTCTCTCTCTCTCTCTTTCCTTCTTTCCTTCCTTCCTTTCCTCCCTTCCTTTCCTCTTCCCCTTCCTCCCTCCTTCCCTCCCTCCCTCCCTCCCTCCCTTCCTTCCTTCCTTCCTTCCCTCCTTCTTTTCTTTTCTTTTCTTTTTTAACAGAGTCTTGCTGTGTCACCTAGGCTGGAGTGCAGTGATGCGATCTTGGCTCACTGCAACCCCCATCTCCTGAGTTCAAGCAAGTCTCGTTCCTCAGCCTCCTGAGTAGCTGGGATTACAGGTGTGTGCCACCATGCCCGACTAATTGTTGTATTTTTAGTACAGACGAGGTTTCATTATGTTGGCCATGCTGGTCTCGAACTCCTGACTTCAGGTGATCCAATGCCTTAGCGTCCCAAAGTGCTGGGATTACAGGTGTGAGCCACCATGCCCAGCCTTGTCTTTCTGTTTCTGGCCTATTTCATTTAACATAATGTCCTCCAGTTCCATCAATGTTGCAAATGATAGAATTTCATTCTTTTTAAATAGCTGAATAATATTCCATTTGCATATGTACCACATTTTCTTTATCCATTCATTTGTTGATGGACATTTAGCTTGTCCATCATACCTTGGCTATTGTGAATAGAAGCACTGTTTAATTACATAAATTATATTTTCTCATGTATCTTCAGTTCTCCTTATAAAAACAATCTTATATTCACTTTTTAGTTCCAGCCATCATTTTCTGGTCCTTTGGGAAAGGTGTTCCTAATTATTCTTAATAATTTGTACTATTTAGGCCTTACTGTGTGCTCAGAACTGAGTTTAGTTCTTTATGTTCATGAGCGAATCCTTTCAACAACTCAGTGAGGAAGATAGCTCTATTTTCTTGGTTTAAAAAACTTGGTCTTTGAGCAAGCCAGAAACTTGTTCAAGTTCTTACAGCTTATAAATTGGCAGAGCCAGCATTGGAAACCGGAAGTTACTGACTTTAAAGATGTTGTTGTTGTTGTTTTCTTTTTCTTTTTTTTTTTTTTTGAGACAGATTCTCGCTCTGTCACCCATGCTGGAGTGCAGTGTCCCAATCTTGGCTCACTGCAACCTCTGTCTCCCGGGTTCAAGTAGCTGGGATTACAGGTGCCCGCCACCACACCCGTCTATTTTTTTTGTATTTTTGGTAGAGATGAAGCTTCACTATGTTGGCTAGGCTGGTCTTGAACGCCTGACCTCAAGTGATCCACCTGCCTCAGCCTCCCAAAGTGCTGGGATTATAGGAGTGAGTCACCCTCCCTGGCCTGTTTTTTTTTTTGTTTGTTTTTTGCACTGAAACATGATACTTTTTTTTTTTTTTTAGGTCTGCTATGAAGTTTCTTTTTGATTTTGTTTTATTTCATTTTTTTTCGTTTTTGTGGGTACATAGTAGGTGTATATATTTATGGGACCCATGAGATATTTTGATACAGGTGTACAATATATAATAATCACATCAGGGTAAACGGGGTATACATCACCTCAAGCATTTATCCTTTCTTCGTGTTGCAGACATTCCAGTTATACCTTTTTAGTTATTTTTAAATGTACAATAAATTATCGTTGACTGTTGTCACCCTGTTGTGCTATCAAATACTAGATCCTTTTCATTCTACCTAACTATATTTTTGTATCCATTAATCATCCCCCTACTATGAAGTCTGTATTTGAAACTGCTGTCAAATTTATCTGTACCAGATTTGTTAATTTCTCTGAATTTTGCTCACAGAATTTCCCTAAAATAGTTATTCTTGTTCTCAGCATGCAGACTGGGACAAGGTCTGTGAGATTTCTCCATTAACGGAAACTGCTTCCAAGCTTTGTGATTTATTGCTTCTCTAATAACAAAAACAGTTTTCAGGACTTCAGGACTTCTGCAGTTCTACAGTCCTCTTCCACCATGCCAAATAAACCTCACCATTCCATGTTCAAGTATTGCCCACTTGAGTGGTATGGAAGGCATTTCCACATTCCTGGGTCTTAATTTTTTTGTCCAATATTAGCATATCTTAATTACATTTTCACTGCTGAAGTCTTAGACTGTGGCTGTCCAGACTACAGTGAATTTTTCAGTGAGTTAAACAAATATAAGATTGACTTTTACTGTTTTGAACATTAGATTCTTGTCGAGTTCTCTTGTGAGCTTTATAGTCTGTTAAACCCTCTGCTACATTCCTTTAGGCTCTCAATACTTTCTGAGCCTTTCTATATTTCACTTTGATGTTAATATTTTATATTTCTGGTCATGTATTTACTGTTCACTATCACTAAAAATAGTTAAATTACTCAGTCTCAGGCTTGGATTTTTTATAACTCTTCAATTCCCTGAAACCTGTTTCTCTGGTAGAAATGACAAATATATCCAGAAATTAGTTAGAGTTGGGTGTTTGTTTAAATACTATAATCCTATTATGATTTTCTTGTATTTCTCAGAGAAGACAAATAGAGGTATAACTAAAAAAGATCATAAAAAGACCATAAGTAGATTAACTTCCATCTTTTTATACCATGAGTACAAAAGTTGGGCCGTCATGATGACACCGTTCTATTGTTTCAATGCCAGGGTGAAGATTTTTAGTCAACGTTGAAATTGATATTGCATCTTAGACCTCAAATACTGGATGAGCCTCCTAAATGTAATCCTAGTTACCATCATTGTTTTAGAAGAAATTTTTGATTCCAAGAAATACAGTGAAGAATAGAGCTACAAATTTCAATATGCTGTGCTTTCGTTTTCACTCACTTCCAAATATAGTGTAATTTCTGTTTGATTTCTTCCTTTACCCATGTATTATATTCAGGTGTATAATTTAGTTTTCAAACATTTGAGGATTTTCTAGAAATCTTTCTATTATTGATTTCTAATTTAATTCCAATGTGACCATAGAAACATTTATGTGACTTGAATGCTTTTTAAATTTATTAAGAATTCTTTTATGATCCCAAATATGGTCTATCTTATGTATACCATAGGCATGTGAAACAGATGTCTAGTCTGCTGTCATTGGGTGGAGTATTCTATGATTGTCATTTAGATAAAGTTGGTTAATAGCATTTTTCATAAGTTGTGTGTCTTTACTAATTTTCTGTCTCCTTGTTCCATCAATTATTGAAATGAGTGAAAATCTTACAGTATAATTGTAGATTTCTCTATTTTCCTTTTTAGTTCTTTCAGTTTTTGCTTCATGTATTTTGAAGCTCTGTTATTAAACACACAAATATTTATGACTTTTATGTCTTCTTGATGAATCAAGTCCTATATTATTATAAAATGACCTTTTTCATCCCTGATAATAATTTTTGCTCTGAAATCTACTTTGGCTGATATTAATATAGCCATTTTCACTTTCTTTCAACTTACATTAGTAAGAATATATTTTTCCATCCTTTTTACTTAAAAAAAATGTAGCAGCATAGAGTGGGTGTTATTTTCTTTCCTCCTAATCTGATAATCTCTGCCTTTTAATTTGGTTGCTTAGACCATTTACATTTAATGTGATGAACTAATATGATTGATTTGAATCTAAAGTCTTGCTATTTGTTTTCTGTGTGTCTTTTTTGTTCTTTATTCTCTTTGTCCTCTATTTCTATATTCTTTTAGATTAATATTTTTATAATTCTATATTTCTACTTTATTTGCTTATTAGCTCTGTTTTTAAAGAATTAGTTGTTTAGGAATTTATATTATATATTTTTAACATATTATAGTCTATCTTCAAGTGACTTTGTGCTACTTATAGTATAAAAACCTTACAATAATATATTTTAATTTCTCCTTCGCCTCCTGGCCTTTGAGCTACTGTGATCATACATTTCACTTTTACACGTTAAAATCTCTGTAATACATTGCTATTATTTTTGCCTTAAGCTATTGATTATCTTTTAAGGAGGTTTAAATTTAAAATAATTCTTTATATTTACTTTTGTAGTTTCTATTTCTAGGATTCTTCTTTCATTTGTGTACATCTGGTCTCACTTGTATTCTCTTTGAAGCACTTATCTACCATTTCTCATAGTGTCAGTCTTCTGGTGATTAATTCTTTCAATATTTGTATGTCTGGAAAATGTCTTTATTTCATCTTCATTTTTTAGCAGTTTTCACTGATTTCCTCCCCTATATTCCAGCCAGTATTTTAAAGATGTTGGTTCACCATTATCTAGCTTATATTGTTTCCAGAGAGAAACCTGCCTTCCTCTTTATCTATTTCTCCATATACAATATGTCTCTTTTTCTCCTCTCTGGCTGCTTTTAACATTTTTCTCTTATTGCTGGTATTAAACAGTTTGATTATGACATGCCTTAATTTTGTGTTTGTTATGCTTGGAGTTCATTGAGTTTCTTGGATTCATAGGCTTATAGTTTTTATCAAATTTGGAAAAATTTCAGCCATTAATGATTTCTTTAAATATTTATCGCCTCTGTATTCTTTTAGGGATGCCAATTACGTTGTATTTGGCCATTTGAGGCTGTCTCATAGTTCACTAATGCTTTGTTCATTTTTTCCTGTCTTTTAATTTTTTTAATTGGTGTTCCATTTTATAGTTCCAGTTTATAGACACATTGCTATATCTTGAAGCTTGCCAATCTTTTCTTTTGCTTTGTCTAATCTCCTGTTAATCTCATATGGTATATTGTTCATCTCAAACATTATAGTTTTCATCGCCAGAAGTTCAATTTGTATCCTTTTTCTTTATATCTTTCAGGTCTTCACTTACTATGTTCAATCTTTTCTCTGTCATTTCTTCCATCATTTTTTCCTTTTAATTTTTGTGAGTTTTTAATTTTTATATTTTGAAGCTATATTGTGTTAGGAGCACAAGGTAATGCTTTGTGTGTGTGTGTGTGTGTGTGTGCTCATTTTCATGTACGTATGTGTGTGCATATGGGTGTGTGTACATTACTAAAATTACTACACCATCTACCAACTTTCTTCTGGTTAGTATTTGCCTGGTAAATTTTTTTCCCATATGTTTAGTTTCAGTCTTTCAAGATCCGTAATTTTAAAGCACCATAGAGCTGAATTTTGTTTTAATCATCTAATATGTCATTGAATTAGAAAGTTTAATCTATTTAAAAAGTTTTGCTCTCTGACTTCCTTTCTTGAACAGAGGCTGGAATTCCACTGACTCCCGTCAAATCATCTCTCCTCTTGCTGTGTAGGCCTGAAGGTGTAGATAGAGAAAATTGACCTTACTTTCCTTTTATTGGAGACTGTGCTCAAGGAACTCCCCCAGCCTCCCATCCCATACAAGAATAGATCTCTTTAAAACACTTATGCGCAGTATTATTTTGTATTTTGCTTGAAGGTTAATTTTAAACAGTACGAATCTTTTAAAAAATAACTATTTATCAGCATGTAGGCTTTCCAGTTGTCTCCATATCCTTTTTATATTATGGGTTGCTTTTGGGCCATTCCTTTTTAAGATGTCCATACACCAAGTTTACCTGATCAATGTCAGGGTGAAATTTTTTTTATTCTAATAGACTATACACCATGCAGGGTTATTTATAATGAAAACAAGGTAACATGCCTATTACATAAAAATAAAATAATTTTTTTGTGAAATGAATTGGAAGATGTGGCATAATTAAACAGTGGGCATTTGTATTCTCCTATTGGCACTTTAGAGCTGCAAAAAAAAATGGAAATAATTTATTTCATCTTGGTAATGCTCCTTCTTTCTGGTCCAACAATTTATCAGAAATGTTAATCCAGCAAGCAGTAAGTGGAAGGGGGAGAGGAGAGAGGGGATTTAAAATTAGCCTGGAAATATTGCATAACTCATTAAAAATGTAATCATGTGTAAAATGAGATCAATGAAAATTTATCTAAAAGTGCAAGGAAAAGGCATTTTCTAGTATGATACTGGATTTAATAGACTGGATTTTAATTTAGTCAGTTTGCTACAAAAAAATCCCTCCAGGCTAAATAAAACCGTTTTCCCTCCCAGTTATTGTACAGACAGCTAATTTTCAGACTCCTTCTTTCTGATATTCAATCTTATCTCTTGCTGGATACGAGTTTCAGTATATTGCAGAATTTGTTTTCTTTACATTTTCCATTACTGCTTTCATTTGCATGATAAATGATTAGAAGTAGAAACAGGAAAAAAAAAAACTCATGCAGAACATTTCTTTATTAATTTTGTTTAAATTAGAGTAACTTTTTAATTCACCCATACCCCTCCCCATTTAACAACCAGTGTGTCTGAGAGTTATTTTAATATTTTGTTGTACAGCTAGTGAAATGGGTTACACATTTTTTGCTTTGCGCTTTCTTCGTGTAACATTTTATTTCATTCATATATTTGTCGTTTACGTTTTGCTTTCTGTCTTGCACTGCTAATGACATTGATGAGTTTTTCTTTTAAAAGAGACCCCTATGTTTAAGGCTGAACCTAAGATGCAGAGCTTTAACATATGTTAATACTGGTGAAGGTAAGAGCTTTAAAGATTTATTTTACAGATGATAGCATCACAATTCCTAAACAATAAATAGAGTTTGTAAAATAGGGCTTCATTTAAGTTCTTCTGCCCCTTCTATCTTAGCTATTTTTCTAGTCTGTAATTTAGAAATGTGAAATTATGTAATTAACAAAACACAATGAAAATCATCTAATACCTTACTTTCCCTTCAGGTTCTAAATCAAAAGAAGCTAGCTTTATCAATAAAAACTTGCCCGGGCAAAAATTATTACACAAACTCAATGAGTGGTTTCTACAAAATTTGTCTCTAAGAGATGACTCATGTATGATCACCTTAGAATCATTCACATGGAGAACTTTTCTTTTGCTAGTACACAAATATTAAGTAAATATCTTCCTGTTGTAAAAAACCATCAAACAGTAGAATTAATTGAATGTCCCCTTGATCTTTCCTTCTATCCTATTCCCTTCCTTAAAAGTAGTACACTGTTCAGCATCTATCCTCCCTGACATTTTTCTCTGTAAAATAGAATATGTACCTGTAGAAATACAATAGTTTTAATTTTTGTTAAATTATCTTAATATAATAAGTATCACACCTCCTTTATTTCTGCATTTTGTCTATTTTACTTAACATAATGCCTTAGAAGTATTACCGTTTCAGCACACGTAACTCTATTTCATTCTGTTTAACTGTTGTATGGTATTCTATAGCATGGTGCTAGAAAGACCTGGAAAAAAGCCTGTGTTCATCAACAGAGGAATGGTTAACCATGACAAACAATAGTGCAATAAAAACCTTTGTACACGTCTTGGTGCACAGTGAAAATGTTCCTTTGAGGAATACCAAG
Source organism: Homo sapiens (assembly GCF_000001405.40). Lineage (NCBI taxonomy): Eukaryota > Metazoa > Chordata > Mammalia > Primates > Hominidae > Homo > Homo sapiens. The sequence continues at coordinate 74,123,479 of NC_000016.10, read as the reverse complement.
AAGTGGAAGAGCAGGGCCAGAAGTGCTTTTAAATTTTCCTTAAATACTGTTTTACCTAAATCATGATGACCTCATCATCATTCATTTCTAAATGTAGTTTGTAAGTTCTGTATTGATTTTTCTCCTAAACATAAGAGTTATTCTCAAGGGCGTTTTAAAGTTTCTAAGTCTATGGATTTTTTTCTATCTTTTTGATGATGAATCTAATTTTATTTCATTTTGATCAATCAATATGGCTTATATGATTTCTGCTTTACGGGAGTCGATGAGATTTTTCTTCATGACCTAATACATGATCAATTTTCTTTTGTGAGTGTCCTGACTGTCTCAGAAGGATGTTCTTCATTGTGTTCAATGTTATATTCTATATCTATTAGATCAAACTTGTTAATTAGATTAGCCAAATATTCTGTATTCTTACTTTTTGTTCATCTATTTTGTCTACTGGTTCCTGAAAGCTGCAATTGTCAAATATACCCAAAAGTTTATATGTTACATCTTCTTGGCAAACATCCCTTTTTATCCTTTTACTGCATTTGCCTAAAATTCTATCTTTTTTCCTGATATTCAGAATTGTTGGTATATCTTTTCTTATACTCTTGTCTTCTCTCTTTCTGTCATCTTTAGGTATGCCTTTAAGAATTAGCCTGTGTTTTTTTTTATTGCAAAATGAAAATTCTGTTTTAATATATAATTCATCCTTCACACAGATTATTATTACCAATGTGTTTGAACTTATTTATTTATTTTTCTGTGACACTGTGCCATTTTAGTTTCCCCTCTTTCTGCCTATTTTTGGTTGACTGGATTATCCCATCATCTATTTTATTCCATTTTTTCTTCTAGGTGGTTTCTAAGTTACACCTGCCATTCCTGTTCTTCTACACTTAGACTTTTAATACACATATTGATTATACATCTTCCCACCATCATGTAGACTACTGCTATGTTTTGAATGTGTCCCCTCCAAAATTCAGGTGTTGAAACTTAATAGCCAATGTGATGTGGAACCTTTAAGAGGTATTTGGTTTTGAAGGCTCAGCCCTCATGGATGGAATTAGACCCCTTACAAAAGGGCCGGAGGGAATGAGTTCACTTTCTTTTGTTCCTCCATCATGTGAGGACACAGCTTTTCTCTCCACTACACAGGATGGAGCTCAAGGCACCACCTTAGAAACAGAGAACAGCCCCCACCAGACAACGGAGCATGCTGGTGCCTTGATCTTGGACTTCGCGGTCTCCAGAATTATGAGAAAATAAGTTTCTGTTCTTTGTAAATTACCCAGTCTCAGATATCTTGTTATAGCAGCATACATGGTGTGATGATTAATACTGAGTGTCAACTTGATTGGATTGAAGAATGCAAAGTATTGATCCTGGGTGTGTCCCGAGGGTGTTGCCAAAGGAGATTAACATTTGAGTCAGTGGGGCTGGGAAAGGCAGACCCACTCTTAATCTGGGTGGGCACCATCTAATCAGCTGGCAGTGTGGCTAGAATACAAAGCAGGCAGAAAAACATGAAAAGACTAAACTGGCCTGACCTCTGAGCCTACATCTTTCTCTCGTGCTGGATGCTTCCTGCCCGTGAACATCGGACTCCAAGTTCTTCAGTTTTGAGACTTGGACTGGTTCTCCTTGCTCCCCAGCTTGCAGACGGCCTTTTGTGGAACCTTGTGCAAGTTAATAAACTCCTGAATGTGGAGAGACATATATATACACATATATACATATATATGTACATATATATAGAGATACACACATATATATGGAGATATATATATACACACACACATATATATGGAGATATATATACACACACATATATATGGAGATATAAATATGTATCTCCTATGAGTTCTATCCCTCTAGAGAACCCTGACTAGTACAGATGGACTAAGACAACTGCCCTTCCCCTGTCCCTGAATAAGGTGAAAACTTTGATGTATTTTTACTTCCTTTACTTCCTATCTTCTCCAACATTTCTGAAGTCTTTAGTTCCAAATTGTTAAAAGATATTTTTCTTTGCAATCAACATTTATTTAAATTTAATTAGTTTTCTGGTTTCTTTGCTCAACCCTGCTTTTTGTATCCAGTTTCTCTCTGATTCTTTTTTTCTTCCTGGAGTGCATTCTTTAAAAATTCTTTTAAAAGTTATTGGTTTAAATTTTTTTTTGGAAAATTATGGAATGTTTCACAAATTGGCATGTTATCCTTCCTTTCCACTTTAGTGTATGTGCTGCTGCAGTGAGTAGGAGAAACTTGTTGGAGAGTTTGTATATGACAAACGGAGTCTTTGCATGTCAGAAAGGTCTTTATTTTGAAAAATATTTTTACCTCTTATAGAATTTTAGATTCACATCTTTTCCTCTTTGGACATTAGTGTTATATTGTTCCATCAGAAATCTGAAATCAGTCTGTTTCTTATTTCCTTTTAGGTTATATATGTTTTCCTCTCTGGAATATTTCAAATTTTTATTTTTTATTATAGGTAATATATTTACATAATTCAAAATTAAAAATAATTAAAAGTTACACTCAGAATTCTTGCTTCCATCCCCTTCCCTCCTCATTGTTCTGCCCTCCATTGGTAACAATTTCTATTAGATTCCTGTTTATTTTTTCAGTGTATCTTTCATCAAAGGAAAGCAAATATAAATGTATATTCATTTCTTTCTGTTATTGAAAAGGTAGCATACTACACAATTAGCTTCAACTTTTGCTTTTTTTTTAAACAACAAATATTTTGGAGGTCTTTCCACATCAGTAAGTAGAAATAGTGTTCATACTTTCATTTGATTGCATAGTATTTGATTGGGTTAATATATCCGTAGTTTCTTCAGTCAACCTTCTATTCATGGACTGTTGGATCATTTCCAATCTTGTGCTATGGCAAATAATGCTGTAATGCATAATCTTCTACATATGCCATTTAATGTGGGTAGATCTATCTGTGGGATAGATTCCCAGAAGTAGGATTGCTAGGTGAAAAGGCAAGTGCAGTTGTATTTTTGGTAGAAATGGCCAGATTGCTCTCCATGGGAGTTGCACCGTTTTCTCTTTCTCACCAGCACAGTGTATTAGGTATTTTTTCTCCCTTCAGCCCCACTGACAAGAGTGTTGTCAGAGTTTTGGATTTTTGCCACTCTAATAGGTGGTACATGATATGTATCTCAGTGCAGTTTTATTGACCTTTATCTTACTGTGAGCAAGGTTGAGACATTTTTCATATGCTTGATGGCCATTTTCATGCATCCTGCCTGCAACCCCTGCAAGGACTGTTTGTGTCATTTGTCATCTTTATTTCAAATTGTTGGTCATTTTCTTTCTGAATTTTAGGTAATTTTTTTTTTTTTTTTAAAGACAGAGTCTCACTCTGTCACCAGGCTGAAGTGCAGTGGCGCAATCCCTGCTCAATGCAACCTCCGCCTCCGGGGTTCAAGCGATCCTCCTGCCTCAGCCCCCTGAGTAGCTGGGACTACAGGCACCCACCACCACGCCCGGCTAATTTTTGTATTTTTAGTAGAGACGGGGTTTCACACATTGGCCAGGATGGTCTCGATCTCTTGACTTCGTGATCTGCCCGCCTCGGCCTCCCAAAGTGCTGGGATTGCAGGCATGAGCCACCGCACCATGCCAGGTAATCTTTATAGATTAGGGAGCTCAGTCTTTGTAATATAAATTATTACCTCCCCATCTTCTCCAAATTAGTCATTTACCTTGTTTTTTTTTTTTTTTTTTTTTTTTTTTTTTGAGACGGAGTCTCACTCTTTCGCCCAGGCTGGACTGCAGTGGCGCTATCCCGGCTCACTGCAAGTTCCGCCTGCTGGGTTCACGCCATTCTCCTGCCTCAGCCTCCCGAGTAGCTGGGATTACAGGCGCCCACCACCACGCCCGGCTAATTTTTTGTATTGGCATGCAGAAGGTTTTGATTTTTTTTCAGTCAAATTTGTCAACCTTATATTGCTGCTGAATTTTGAAGTCTTACTTGCGAAAGCCTTCCCCACTCCGTTTTTAATCTTTAGCAGTTCTAGCACTTCATTTTCTACCTTTTAACATTGAATTCTTTGGGAAATTATACTTGTGCACAATGTGAAGTAGGGGACTTACGTTATCTTTTTTTCCCCAGACTGCCATCCAGTCGTCCCACTGTAATTTATTAAAATGCCCTTCTTCATCTCAGTAGTTTGGAATGTCCTCTTTATGATATAATACATTCCTTTATACATTTTGGTCTATTTCTGGACCTTCTATTCTGTTCCATGTGCTTATATGTTTCTTCAGATACCAATTGCACATTTTAAATTGGTGTATTTTGATACCTAGTAGGTCTGTTCTATAATTTCTCTTCATTTTCTGGCTATTTAAAATTTTATGTTTCCATGTTAATTTTAGAATCAATTTGTCTAGTTCTAGAAAAAAAATCCTGCTGTTATTTTTGTTGGATTGCTTTAAATTAAGAAGAATTGACTTTGAGTTTTCCTTTCCAAGAATATGCTGTTTCTTTTTCATAATACTTTTAAAGCCATTAGTAATACTTCCAAGTTTTTCTCATATTATTTGGTTTTGCATATTTTTAGTTAAGTTTGCTCCTAGCTGAAAGTGGGGTATTCCATCCTATTATATCTTCTGTTGTTTTACTATATAAAGGGTAACGATTTCTCTCTCTCTCTCTCTCTGTCTCTTTCACCTGCCTGCCTGCCTGCCTGTCTTCCCTCCCTCCCTCCTTCTCCTCTCCCCTCCCCTCCCCTCTCCTCCCGTCCTCTCCTCTCTTTCTTCCTGGTTTCACTCTGTCATCCAGGCTGGAGTGCAGTGGTGCAATCATAGCTCACTGCAATCTCCACTTTTCAGGCTCAAGGGATCCTCCTACCTCAGCCTCCCTAGTAGCTGGGACTCCAGTTGCATGCCACTATGCCTGGCTACTTTTTTAATTTTTTGTAGAGACAGGGTCTCTCTATGTTGCCCAGGCTGGTCTTAGACTCCTGGGCTCAAGCAATCCTCCCACCTCGGCCTCCTAAAGTGATGGGATTACAGTCATGGGCCACCATGCCTGGCCATGATTTCTTTTTAATTAATTTTACATACTGCTATTTTACTGAATTATCTTATATTTTGTTGTGCTATTTCAGTTACTTTATTGGGTTTATGAATACAAAATCGTATCATCTCAAACTAGACATAGCTTTGCCTCTTTCCAGTCTTATGCCTCTAGTTTTCTTCTCTGGTCTACTTGTATTGGTTTAATATGGTGTTAAATAGAGTAGTAATTGTGAGCATCTTTGCGTCTAACAGCAGCAGGAATGCTTCCAGTGTTTTTCCCCCATGTCAGAAGCTGGCCTCTGCACCAATTTTACACAGATGTGTGCACACACATGCACCTGCCCACCCAGATACCAGCAGCCACCCCAGAGGTTGCCTGCAGGTAGTTCCCATCCACACGGCAAACTTCCTGCCCCTTTCTGCTTGAGCACATTCTCCAGCAGTGGGAGGGCGTGGCCCTGTGTGGGCAGACAAGGTATCCTGTGAAACTACAGCCTCTAGAAGGGACTCCCAACCAATGAGGTCTGGGAGTCAATGGAAAAAAAGTTGTTCGCCCTTCTAGGGAACAACTCAGTTGTGTGTTCCACATGGGCTCTTAGAAGATCTCAAGGGAAACTGAACCTCAGCTGCCCGCAATGTTAACCCCTCATGCAACTCTCATTAGCTTTACTTGTCTCAATTCCCTACTCCCTCACGGTGCCTCCTGAAAATCACCTCCCAAATCAACTACTTGTACACACATCCTTGTCTCGGGGGACTCAAACTAACAGAGAAGTATACAACTGTTCCTATTGTTTTTGCTTTTTAATTTTTTTTCAACTTTTATTTTAAATTCAGGGTCCGTGTGCAGGATATGCAGGTTTGTTACATAGGTAAAAATGTGCCATGGTGGTTTACTGCACAGATCATCCTCTCACTCAGGAATTAAACCCAGCATCCATTAGCTGTTCTTCCCGATGCTCCTGCTTCCCCCACCCCCCAACAGGGCCCAGTGTGTGTTGTTCTCCGACCTGTGTCCATGTGTTCTCATCAATCAGGTTCCACTTATAAGTCAGAACATGCAGTGTTTGGTTTTCTGTTCCTTTGTTAGTTTGCTGAGGATAATGGGTTCTAGCTCTGTCCATGTCCCTGCAAAGGACATGATCTTTTTCCTTTGTATGGCTGTATAGTATTCCATGGTGTGTAAGTACCATATTTTCTTTATCCAGTATATCACTGATGGGCGTTTAGGTTGATTCCATGACTTTGCTATTGTAAATAGTGCTGCAATGAACATATGCATGCGTGTATCTTTATGACAGAATGATTTATATTCCTTTGGGTATACACCCAGTAATGGGATTGCTGGGTCAAATGGTATTTCTAACTCCAGGTATCTGAGAAATCGCCAGTTATTCCTATTGTATTGCATTTTTTTACCTGGACTTAGCATTGAATTTTGTCACAAGTTTTTCCATCTGTGGACTTGATTATAGGAACTTTCCTCTTAGATTGGTATAGTGAATTTTACTAATGGGCTTCCTAATATTGAATATTTCTTCCATTCCTCAAACTCTTGTTCCGGGTTATAACGTGCCATTGGGTTCTGCTTGCTAATGTTTTCTTTAGGATATTTGCACTGATATTTCTAAGGATGATTTGTCTGTCATTTTCTTTTTATTGCAATCTTTATCAGATTTTGTTATCAGTGTGCTTATACTGTCATAAAAAGAATTTGGAGTGTTTTCTTCTTTTCCTATATTTGGAACAGTTTAACACCGGAATTATCTGATCTTTAAGTCTGGTAGAACTTCCCTGTGAAATTGCTCTGTAGAACTAGCTAATCCTGGCCCTTTTTGAGGATCGTGTCACTGACGACATCCCATATTTCCTCTATGGAAATTTATTTATTAGGCTTTCTATCTCTTCAGTTAAAAAATTATACTTTTGTAGAAAGGACATGTTTTAATTTAGATTTTCAAATTTATTTACAGAGTTATGGAAAAATCTCATAATTTTTAAAGTTTTCTGTTGTTATGGTTACCCCCTCTTTTGTCATTTCTTATTTTGTGAATTTTTTCTTGCTTTTCTTTGTAGTAGTAGGTTAACTACTTATCTATTTTACTGTCTTTCCTCAAATTACCTGCTTGCTTGCTTGTTTCCTTATTTACTTATTTCTATGTTAGTTTTGACTATTTTTCTGTATTCTAACCTAGTGATTCAGCTTTAATCTTTATTAATTCTCTCTATTAGGTTGGTGCAAACGTAATTGCAGCTTAATACTTTTTTTTTAGTTAATTTTGTTGTTCTTTCTATGTTTGGTGGGTTGGAAGCTTAATTCATTTACTTTTAGTCTTTCCGTTTTGTTGACATAAGTATTTAAGACTGTGAAGTAGGCTGGGTGTGGTGGCTCATGCCTGTAATCCCAGCACTTTGGGAGGCTGAGGCAGGTGGATCACTTAAGGCCAGTTCGACACCAGCCTGGTCAACATGCTGAAACCCTGTCTGTACTAAAAATACAAAAATTAGCCAGGCATAGTGGCAGGAACCTGTAATCCCAGCTACTCGGGAGGCTGAGGCAGGAGAATCACTTGAACCTGGGAGGTGGAGGTTGCAGTGAGCCAAGATTGTGCCACTCTACTCTAGCCTGGGAGACAAAGCGAGACTCTGTCTCAAAAAAACAAAAGCAAAAACAAAAACAAAAACAAAAAAACCCAAAACTGAGTTCTTTAATGGAGAGAATGTTAATCAAGTCCTTTTTGCTTATTGATTTTGTTGTTAAAATAATTGGTTTTATTGCATTATGTTCAGAAACTTCTGTATCTTTTCTATTTTGTGGGGCATTGTTTTATTTTCTTTGTGCCAATTTGGTCTCTTTTTATGAATGTTTCATGGACATTTGAGAAGGTATATTCTCCATTGTCAGAATACCTGGTGTGACTGATGTGCATATAGTTATCTTACTGATTAAGTTGTCTATAGTCTTACTTTAACTTGACCATTTGATCTGTCTTGCGATGAGAATTGTCAGTTAAACATACTGCTGTTAATATTTTTCTATTTATATTTCCTAGTATCTCTTATAGTTTTTGCTTTATAAAAATTGCTACTGTGTTTGATGTGTAGATTCTCCCAACTCTAACACCGTCACTGTGAATTTTACTAAGTAATGCATAAGGTAGTACTCTAAAATATTTATAAAACTAAGTTCATTGACAGACTCTTCAAAATCTGGGCTCTGGTACACTGTCTGTGGCCATTGAATTTGACATCCGCACCATTTTGAAATTGGGCCGCTCTTGCAAATAGCCTCTAATACCCCTCCTTGGTAATGGCCCTCCCTTTGCCATCCTCTTGTGCATCTTAACAACCTCATTTAAATCCATTTTGAGCCATCTTTTTTCAGTGAGCATTACTTCCAATCTTCCCTCATAGCAGAAATCTCAGGATTTTATCATTTCAATCTTGTCACACAGTTTTTCCATTTTGCTTTCTGTGAGGTGGTTCCGAGATGGGTCCTGGAAAATCGGCTTGCAAGGAAACAATTTCCTGCTCAGGAGTCCTGCATTCCTATCATACTCTGAACTCCAGGTTAGACACAGTGGCCCACATTTGTTCCAAGGACACTTGATTGTATATCCTTATGCTAATTACATTTTCCCACTATGAGGTTTCCTGTGTATTTCCGTATGTTATACCCTTCCTTGCTGTATTAGTCAGGGTTCTCTAGAGGGACAGAACTAATGGAATATATATATATTAAGGGGAATTTATTAAGTATTAACTCACACGATCACAAGGTCCCACAATAGGCCATCTGCAGGCTGAGGAGCAAGAAGAACCAGTCCGAGTTTCAAAACTGAAGAACTTGGAGTCTGATGTTCGAGGGCAGGAAGCATCCAGCATGAGAGAAAGATGTAGGCTGAGAGGCTAGGCCACTCTCTCTTTTAACATTTTTCTGCCTGCTTATATTCTAGCCACTCTGGCAGCTGATTAGATGGTGCCCACCCAGATTAAGGGTGGGTCTGCCTTTCCCAGCCCGTTGACTCAAATGTGAATCTCCTTTGGCCTCACCCTCACAGACGTACCCAGGATTGATACTTTGTATCCTTCTATGCAATCAAGTTGACACTCAGTATTAACCATCACACCTGCCCAGAGTAAGTACTGCCGTTTAGGTCAGGACACCCCAATCTCATCGCAGGTTAATGTCTTAAGACCTCTAATGTGACTGTAAAAATAGCATTTCTTAAACTTTTGCAATTCCTTGTGGTCACTATAGTACATTTAAAAATTGTTTTAGATCATACCATAATAATTGTTGAACAAAATTGTTTCCTCTGTTTTGTGGATTAATATTTTCTTTTTTTTTTCCTTCATCACTTTTTATCCTGGTGGTTGTCTTTTAATGTCTCATCAGAGGTGTTCCACAATGCATGCCCCTGCAAGGCAGACCTCTCAGAATCTGAGTGCCTTGGGTCTGTAATACGGGAAAAATAGGAATCATGCCTTCCAGTATCTCTTATGACTGTCACTGTTTGATGTAAGAGTTTGGCAAAGTACTTTGAGATTCTTGGAGAACAAGCACTGCCTAATAAATGCATGGTGTCATCACTGTCATCGCTTGATCTATTTAATGTTACTGGGAGTATCAAGGCAGGCTATGTCTATTTCTTTCCTCATCTGTTCTCTGCATTATCTCCTTACGCTTTCCCTGAATGGGCTACGTGGGATTCGCCTTCATGGCACTGTGTTCTGGCTTTCATTTCTCTATCAGCCCATCTTTCTCCAGATGGCTTGTGATCTCACCGCTCACTAAGCGCTTTTCAAATTCAGATCGCTTTTACCGTTAGATTTGCTGATGACTACTGATCTGTAACATTCTTGTTCCCTAGAAGAATGGAAAAACAAATGTTGCCAAATTGTATAATAATTTAAAGACAAAGCATACGTGGTCTAGTAGGGAAGGCTTTTTTGGTTCAAGCATGGGACAATGTATAATATTGACACATAATTTGTATACTTTTTGGAAAACTGTATTTCATCACCTAGGTATTTATCTACATTATATTTATTCCCTGGTGGCATCCCAGATATGTTGTATCACAAAGATAACCTGCTGATGACCTATTCAAACTAAAAATGTAGCACGAGGCCACGCTCAGTGGCTCACGCCTGTAATGCCAGCACTTTGAGAAGCCGAGGTGGGCAGATCACTTGAGGTCAGGAGTTTGAGACCAGCCTGGCCGACATGGCGAAACCCTGTCTCTACTAAAAATACAAAAAAATTTGCTGGGCATGGTGGTGCTTGTCTGTAATCCCAGTTACTCAGGAGACTGAGGCAGGAGAATCACTTGAACCTGGTGGGGCACAGGTTGCAGTGAGCCAAGATCACGCCACTGCACTCCAGCCTGGGCAACAGAGCAAGACTCTGTCTCAAAAATAAATTAAAAAATCAATCAATCAATAAATCAATCAATAAAATAAAAATGTAGCATGAGGGCAGGGATAGAAGAAATTAAAATTTTAAAAAATTTTAAAAATCGATTTAAGGGGTACAAGTGCAGATTCCTTACCTGCATGTATTGTATAGTGATGAATCTGGGCTTTTAGTGTCCCCGTTACCTGAATAGTGAACAGTGTATCCAATAGATGATTTTTCAGCCCTCACCCCCTTCCCCCCTCCCACCCTCGCACCTTTTGCAGTCACCAATGTCTGTTACTCTATTCTGTATACCCATGTGGACCCATCGTTTAGTTCCCACTTGTAAGTGAGAACATGTGCCATTTGACTTTTTCTTTCCCTCCCTTTCTCTCTCTTTCTCTCTTTCTCTCTCTGTCTCTCTTTCCTTCTTTTTTTGAGTTTCGCTCTTGTTGCCCAGGCTGGAGTGCAGTGGTGTGATCTCGGCTCACTGTAACCTCTACCTCCCGGGTTCAGGTGATTCTCCTGCCTCAGCCTCCTGAGTAGCTGTGATTACAGGTATGCACCACGATGCCGAGCTAATTTTTTGTATTTTTAGTAGAGACAGGGTTTTGCCATGTTGGCCAGGCTTGTCTTAAACTTCTGACCTCAAGTGATCCACCTGCCTCGGCCTCCCAAAGTGCTGGGATTACAGGCTTGAGCCACGGTGCCTGGACTGACTTTCTGTTTCTGAGTTACTTCACTTAGGATAATGGCCTTCAGTTCCATTTATATTGCTGCAAAAGACATTATTTCATTTGTTTTTATGGCTGAGTAGTATTCCGGGGTGTGTATGTGCCATGTAGTCTTTATCCAATCCTCCACTGTTGTTGTTGGACACTTTGGTTGATTCCATAACGTTGTTTTGTGGATAGTGCTGTGATAAACATACAAGGGCAGGTATCTTTTTGATATGATTTCTTTCCCATTGGGTATATATACCCAGTAGTGGAGTTGCTGGATCAAATGCTAGTTCTATTTTTAGGGAGAGCTTATTTTTTAAAAAAGAGATTGCTGAAGTTTTCTTCTGCTGCTAGAAATAAGAATATAGATCCTCTTACATTGTTTCTCTTATAAATAATTCATAAGCCCATTTTCTTTTCTTTTCTTTTCTTTTCCCTTTTTCTGAGACAGGTCTTGCTCTGTTGCCCAGGCTGGTGTACAGTAATGTGATCATGGCTCACTGCAGCCTTGCCCTCCCAGGCTCAGGTGATCCTACCACCTCAGCCTCCGAAGTAGCAGAGACCACAAGTGCACACCATCATTATTTGTAGAGATAGGATATCCCTATGTTACCCAGGCTGGTCTTGAACTCCTAGGCTCCAGCAGTCCTCTAGCCTCAGCCTCCCAAAGTGCTGGGATTACAGGCATGAGTCATCATGCCTAACCAGCGATTTTTTTTCTTAGTGGAAAAAGATGTCCACTAATTCTCTAAGACTTTGTGTCTTTGTTCTATAGATGCACTTGGTAGATTTTCATAGGATTTTTGTGATCTTGCAACCCCAAAATGGGAAAAAAATATATTTTATATATATAATAAATATATAAAATATATATTTAAATATAATATAATATATAATATATTATATAATATATATTTTATATATTTATATAAAATTATAAATTAAAATTTATATATTATATATTATATATTTTATATAATATATAATATATAATATAATAATGTTATATATTATATAATATATAATATATAATATAATAATGTTATATATTATATAATATATAATTAATTTTGTTATATATTATATAATATATAATATAATTTATTATATATTATATAATATATAATATAATTTATTATATATTATATAATATATAATAAATTATATCAATATATAATAAATTATATCAATATATAATAAAATAAATATATTATAAATTTATATAATATATTTTATATATTATATTAAAATATATTTTTATATATTTATAATATATATATTTTATATAATATATAGTATATAAAAATGTATTTATATATTAAATACATATTTATATGTAAATATATATAATTAAGTATACATTTATATGTAAATATATATAATTAATTATATATTTATATGTAAATATATATTAAATATATATTTACATATATGTAAATATATATTTAATATATATTTACATATAAATATATATTAAATATATATTTATATAATATATAATTAAATATATATAAATATATAATTAAATATATATTTATATGTAAATGTATAATTAAATATATATTTATATAATATATAATGAAATATATATTATATAATATATAATTAATTATATATTATATAATATATAATTAAATATATATTATATAATATATAATTAAATATATATTATATAATATATAATTAAATATATTTATATAATAAATATCTATAATTAAATATATATTTATATAATATATAACTAAATATATATTTATATAGTAAATATCTATAACTAAATATATATTTATATAATATCTATAACTAAATATATATTATATAATATCTATAACTAAATATATATTTATATAATATCTATAACTAAATATATATTTATATAATATCTATAACTAAACATATATTTATATAATAAAGATATATAACTAAACATATATTTATATAATAAAGATATACAACTAAACATATATTTATATAATAAAGATATATAACTAAATATGTCTTTATATAATAAAGATATATAACTAAATATGTCTTTATGTAATAAAGATATATAATAAAGGTATATAATTATATGTCTTTATGTAATAAAGGTATATAATTATATGTCTTTATGTAATAAAGGTATGTAATTATATGTCTTTATGTAATAAAGGTATGTAATTATATGTCTTTATGTAAGAAAGATATAATTATATGTCTTTATGTAAGAAAGATATAATTATATGTCTTTATGTAATAATTATATGTCTTTATGTAATAAAGAAATAATTATATGTCTTTATGTAATAAAGATATAATTATATGTCTTTATGTAATAAAGGTATATAATTATATGTCTTTATGTAATAAAGGTATATAATTATATACATGATATATAATTATATATTTATATAATAAAGATATATAATTATATATGACATATAATTATATATTTATATAATAGATATATAATTATATATCTATTATATAAATATATAATTATACATATCTATTATATAAATATATAATTATGTATATTTATTATATAAATATATAATTTATATATTTATATAATAAATATGTAATTAAATATATATTTATATAATAAATATATAAAATTAAATATATGTTTATATAATAAATATATAATTATATGTTTATATAATAAATATATAATTATATGTTTATATAATTATATATATTTATACAATAAATATAATTATATATGTTTATAAAATAAATATAATTATATATGTTTATACAATAAATTTAATTATATATGTTTATATAATAAATATATATATGTTTATATAATAAATATAATTATATGTTTATATAATAAATATAATTATATGTTTATATAATAAATATAATTATATATATTTATATACCCAATGGGAATTTTTTGGCTGCAAGCAACAGAAAGTTCAACTTAAACCAACTTAATTTAAAAAAATGAACGAATTGGCTCATATACCTAAAATGTCCATGGAGGCTTCAGGCACATTTGGTTCCAGGAATTTTGGTGGTGTCATCGGACTCAACTTATTCTCTTGCATCTTTATTTCCTTTCCTTTGTTTTCGTTTATTCTCAAGCAGGCTGCTACCTGTGTTGGCAAAGTGGTTCCCAGAAGCTCCAGGTTGATATGCCTTTCCCAGGAGAAGGAGAACATTTTTATCTTGGACTCTCTAGCAATGAACTAGGGATTAGTTCTGATTAGACTTGTGGTATGGGCCATAACTGCTATTAGGGGGATGGGATAGCCTGATTGACAAGGCCTGGATCATGTGCCTGCCCCTGGATCTGGATGTGAATTTGACTACTCCTGAACCATAGATACACAGGATTGGGCTGGGGGTAATTTCCAAAGGAAAACCTAGATGCAGAATGTGGGATAGGCAAAAACAGCAACTGTCTACCACAAATGGCAACTCAGAAGAATCAGATGACTTTTTTGGGGCATGGAAGACCTGCTCTCTATATAAAGAAAAGCAGTGTATATAGGAAGGCTGGGTCTTTTTAGTCCTAGCATTGCCTTATGGAGTAGTCAGAATTGGCCCAAATTATGAGATATTTTAAGCTTGATAATTTAATATATTAAAAATAATGACTCTATATTCAAATATTTAATTTTTGCTCCAGAATATGAAAATAATTCTCATTTATTTACAATTCAAGAAGAAATGATTAGCCACACTCCAAATCTGGAAATGTGACTTACTGACATGTTATACGATGGTGACTCTCTCCTTTTCTTTTTCTTTTCTTTTCTTTCTTTCTTTTTTTTCAGGGTCTTGCTCTGTCCCCCAGGCTGGAGAACGGTGGCGTGATTATGGCTCACTGCAGCTTTGACCTCCTGGGCTCAAGAGATCCTCCTATCTCAGCCTCCTGAGTGGTTGAGATCACAGGTGTGCACCAGCACGCCTGGCTAATTTTAAGATTTTTTGTAGAGACAGGGTCTCCCTGTGTTGCCCAGGCTGCTCTTGAACACCTGAGCTCAAGCGAATCTCTCGCCTCGGCCTCCCAAATTGTTGAGATTGCTGTTAAGTAGAAAAGTCTTTAAGGCAGAGAACTTTACTCCCCCGAAATAATCTGTGCTTCTTAGAAGCAAAATTTCTGTTTGCTTCTATTTGACGTTGAACCGAAGAAGGTGAGCCCTTTATGGAGAGGGAAAATACTGGCATTTGCAAATTAAGCTGCTGAGAGCTGTCCTTAAAGTTCATTTGGGAATGCAATTTCCTCATAATAGTGTCTTGGCACATAAACGTGTCGAGACTGACTCACGGATTTGGAAGTTGATTTTTATTTGAGGAGGTGGAAGTGAAAGGAAAGACGAGCTAGTAATGACCCTGTTATCCCTCCCCCACCAGCAGGGGGAGGTAGGATTGCGCTTGCTGTTGTTAGCCATGCAGGCAAGAAATCTGGCTTCTGGACGTTAGGAAGCATTTCTGATCGTTAGGTAGCAACTGCTCTACTTACCGAGGAGGAAATTTCCAGGTGCAGAGGCCTGCAAGAATGAGGGAGGGAAGTTCTGCCAGTAGATTAGAACCATGTAATCCCAGCATGTTGGACGCACAGGGATTTTTGAGATCATCTGGTCTGACCTGTCATCTCATGCAAGAAGAGAGTGGACTTTTTAGAGGTGACATGACTTGTGCAGACTAGTTTTTGGTCTATATGAGTGGTAGATGGCAAAATGGGAAAGGCATGAATGACCCTTGGAGTGAGAGAGAACAGTGTGTAGTTTCCAGTTTTCTCACTCGCTAAGCATGCAGGCTTGAGCTGGTTGCTCAGCATCCAGGTGCTTTTTGTTTGTTTGTTTGTTTTGAGACAGAGTTTCGCACTGTTGCCCAGGCTGGTGTGCAGTGGCGTGATCTCGGCTTGCAGCAACCTCCGCCTCCCAGGTTCAAGCGAGTTTCCTGCCTCAGCCTCCCGAGTAGCTAGGATTACAGGTGCCCGCCACCACTCCCGGCTAATTTTTTTGTAGTTTTAGTAGACATGGGGTTTCACTATGTTGGCCAGGCTGTTCTCAAACTCCTGACCTTGTGATCCGCTCACTTCGGCCTCCCAAAGTGCTGGGATTACAGGCGTGAGTCACCGCGCCCGGCCCCAAGTGCTTCTTACATAACATTGTAGAGTGGGGCGTTAACTGGAATAATGGAGGGGAAGCAGCTACTGGATTGCCTGCACATAGTGTGTGCACTCAGTAACTTCTAATAGCTTCCCCCATGCTGGGAATATCTGACTTCCCTTTGTTGAAATTATTTCATTCCCATCTTAAAGTGCTCTTGTGAACCTTCACTTCATAAAACCCAGCACAATGCCATTGATCAGTGCCAACAATTCACTCATTTTGTTGATTTTGTGTTTTTGAAACCAACCCTTGGGCCAGGCGCAGTGGCTCACACCTGTAATCCCAGCACTTTGGGAGACTGAGGTGGGAGGATTGCTTGAAGCCAGGAGTTCGAGAACAGCCTGGACAACATGGTGAGACCTCATCTCTACAAAAAATAAAAAGATTAGACAGATGTTGTGTTGCACGCCTATAGTCCCAGCTACTTGGGAGGCCGAGATGGGAGGATCTCTGGAGCCCATGGATTTGAGGTTGTAGTGAGCCATGATTGTGCCACTGCACTCCAGCCTGGGCAACAGAGTGAGATCTTATCTCCAAAAAAATATTTCTTTAAAAAAAGAAACCAATCCTTCCCCATGAAGACAGGACAGGTCCGAGTTCATATTGACTTGGTAACATTAGGTGCTTTGTGTATTAAACAAATCCGTGCGCATGAGCATTTCACATTCCAAAATGGAGGTCAACACGCATATAAATACAGGTGTATACAGAGCTCGCCTGGGCTGTCGCCCACCTTTCACACTGCCCCTCTTACCCCGTCACCCTCCTGTGCCAGGTTCCTGCCACACGGGCCTTCGTGACCTTCCTCCAAAAGGTCAGACTAGCTTCTGTGCTATAGTCTGTGTCTGTGTTCCCTCTGCGGGGAAGGCACTGCTCCCATCCTGCTTGTCTCCTTCTTGTTATTCAGGTCCTTTTGGGGAGGTTTTTGCTGATCAGCCAATCTGAAAGCGACCCCTAGTCTTTTTCTATCACATCAACCTGTTCCATTTTCGATAGCACTTGTTACGTGTTTGTGTATTTATTGTGTAGTGTCTGTTTCCTCCCATTGGACTGTTCACTATGTAGTTAACATAGAGGACTGGACGCGGTGGTTCATGCGTGTAATCTCAGCACTTTGGGAGGCCGAGGCAGGCAGATCATTTGAGGCCAGGAGTTCGAGACAAGCCTGGCCAACATGGCAAAACCCCATCTCTACTAAAAAAAAAAAAAAAAAAAAAAAAAAAAAATTAGCTAGGCGTGGTGACAGGCACCTGTAATCCTGGCTACTTGGGAGGCTGAGGCAGAGAATCTCTTGAACCTGGGAGGCGGAGGCTGCAGTGAGCCGAGAGCACACCTCTGCACTCCAGCCTGGGTGACAGAGTGAGACTCCATCTCAAACAAAACAAAACAAACAAAAAAAATAGGGCCTTCATTTTTCTCATTTTCCACTGCATAACCAGTGTCTAAAGCAGTGCCCAGCACACAGGTAGGCCCTTAGTAAATTGCCATTGGATGAATGAAGGACTGAATTTGAACAAACCATGCGGACAGCAGCATACATTATGGGAAGAGACCTGGGCTGGCATTTCAAGCTACTTTCACTCCAGACTGCATGACCTTCAGAGAGAATTCCAGTTTTTGAATATCACTTTTCTGATAAAATAAAGAGGTTAAACTAGATCACATAAGGTTCCTTTCAGCTCTTTATTCTGCAGTTGTATGTTGGTTTTCTTCCGTGCTGAACAATCTAATAGGAATTTACTGTTACAAGTCAAGGTGGTTTTTAGGTGGCTTCTGTGTATCAAAGCACAAACTACATGCCAGGCAATGGCTGATGGCTCTGGAGAGTCAGACAATAGGTGAGAAGGCGGCATTATCTAAGAAAGAAGGAATCGCTTTAGGTAGGGTGAAGTATTCCACTGCCAGTGGAAGATGTGTCTATCCATAAACACTAAGGAATCTTTTTGATAAATGGTAGAAGGCTAATTGCAATTAAAACAAAATTGCCCTTCCAGGCAGGGCACGGTGGCTCACGCCTGTAATCCCAGCACTTTGGGAGGCTGACGGGGTTGGGTCACGAGGTCAGGAGTTCGAGATCAGCCTGACCAACATGGTGAAGCCCTGTCTCTACTAAAAATACAAAGATTAGCTGGGCGTGGTGGTGCACACCTGTAATCCCACCTACTCAGGAGGCTGAGGCAGGAGAATTGCTTGAATCTGGGAGGCGGAGTTTACAGTGAGCTGAGATTGTGCCACTGCACTCCAGCCTGGGCGACAGAGCAAGACTCTGTCTCAAAACAAAAAACAACTAAAAAAAAAAAAAACATAATTGCCAAACCAAATTATTCCTACTGGCCAAGTGCCGTGGCTCACACCTGTGATCCCAGCACTTTGGGAGGCCGATCCATGCAGATCACTTGAGGTTAGGAGTTTGAGAACAGCCTGGCCAACATGGTGAAACCCTGTCTCTACTAATAATACAAAAATTAGCCAGGCGAGGTGGCGTCCACCTGTAATTCCAGCTAGTTGGGAGGCTGAGGCATGACAATCTCTTGAACCTGGGAGGCGCAGGTTGTAGTGAGCCGAGATCCTGCCACTGCACTCCAGCCTGGGCAACAGGGTGAAACGTGTTTCAAAAAACAAACAAAAACTCACAAATATTCCTGCCTATGTAATTTTAGGGAGAGTTATGTAAAATTAACGTTTAAGCCTCTCCTTTTGTGATTTCCTTTATTAACAAACAATAACAATTTGCAGAATTGCTTTCCTTTCTCCATACCATTTTACCTTTCAGAATAGGATGTGTTAAATCAAGTATAGCCTACAGCTGCCTCCTTATATATTTTAAGTTCTTATATATTTTAAGTTTGGCTTAACTGAGTTATGGCCAAAGGGGGACAAGTGTTCAAACTGTGTTCAAATCAGGCAACGGCTGAGCTGAAACCAATCTGGCTGTGTTTGTCCCTCACTTCCATTTTCCGGACATCACTTTCCTTTTTCTGTCTATAAATATTCTCCCACCACATGGCTGTGCTAGAGTCTCTCTGAGCCTACTCTTGCTCAGGAGGCTGCCTGATTTGTGTCTGGTTCTCTGCTCAGTTAAACTCTCTTAATTTAATTTGCTAAGATTTTTAGCAGGTGTATTGTTTAAATACTCTGTATTAGTTTCCTATTACTGCTTTAATAAATTACCACAAACTTAGGAGTTTAAAAGAATGCAAATTTATCTGTTAGCTCTGATGATAGGTCAGAAGTACAAAGAGGGCTCTCTCTGCCTGAGAGTAAGATCTCATGGGGCTGTGTTTTTTCTCTAGGCTCACTCTCTCACCTAGGCTGGAGTGCAGTGGTGTGATCCTGGCCTACTGCAACCTTGTTCTCCTGGGCTCAGGAGTTACTCCCATCTCAAATGCCCAAGTAGCTGGGACCACAGGTGTGTGCCACCATGCCCAGCTAATTTTTGTATTTTTAGTAGAGATGGGGTTTCACCATGTTTTCCAGGCTAGCCTTGAACTCCTGAGCTCAAACAATCTGCCCGCCTCAGCCTCCCAAAGTACTGGGATTACAGGCATGAGCCACTGCCCTTTCTCCATCTTCAGAGCCAGCAGCAGCCAGTGTTGGGGCTTAGAAAACAATACCCCAAAATATGGCACATGGGCATACTGAGTACTTTGAACACTAGGACATTGGAAGCCCTCAGAAGCAGGCTCAGAAACAAAGTCTCCTCTCTGACCTTCTCTTGTCCTCCTGTCACCCAACCCCTGTTCCCCCTCCAAAGTCTTAGAAACCAGAATTCCTCTTCCCCAAGGTAGATCCTAGTAATTAGAAACCCTCTCATTAAACCTAGTAATGTCACTCTCTGCTTTCTCCTTTGAAGATGCTCATTCCAGAGGGGTCCTGCCCCATACCCAAGAGGAAGGAATGCTACCCAGAGAGGCCAAGAAGAATCTGCATAGACAAGCCTTGTGTGTTCCCCACTTAGTCTATCACAATTAGATTCTTCTCTTTGTCCAGTCATGTTTCTACCTGGTTGCCATTCCTCATTGAACCTAAACATAAAATCAGTTTCCCCTTGGTGTTTAGGTCTTCATTTCTGATGGCTCCTGTGTCCTGTATAACTTTGATTAAATAAATTTATTATGCATTGATATGGTTTGGTATGTCTTCACCCAAATCTCTTCTTGAATTGTAGTTCCCATGATCCCCATGTGTCCTGGGAGGGACCAAGTGGGAGGTAACTGAATCATGGGGGCGGTTACCTCCATGCTAGTCTTGTGATAGTGAGTGAGTTCTCACAAGATCTGATGGTTTTATAAGGAGCTTTCCCTCCTTCTGCTTGGCACTTCTCCTTGCTGCTGCCATGTGAAGAAGGACATGTTTGCTTCCCCTTCCACCATGATTGTAAGTTTCCTGAGGCTTCCCCAGCCATGCTGAACCGTGAGTCAATTAAACCTCTTTCCTTTTTAATTACCCAGTCTTGGGTATGTCTTCATTAGCAGCACGAGAACAGATGAATATAGCATTTCTCTTGTTAACCTGTTTATTGTTATAAGAATGTTGGCTCTGACCTTTATAATGGATATGAAAAAGTATTGCACCTTTCTGTCTCTATACTGGTTAAGTCTTTCTCACATCATGTCCCTTTGATACCCACTCTCCTGCCTCCCTTTTCCACATTTAGAGACCCTTGTAATTACACTGCACCCACCTGGATAATCCAGGATTATCTCCTTATTTTAAGGTCAGCTGATTAGCAACCTTAATTCCATCTGCTACCTTAATTCCTCTGTGCCGTGCATTGTAACATCTTCACAGGTTCTGGGAAATAGGGCATGGACATTTTCTATTGTTCTGCCTATCACACATGCCTATAAGAAAAAGAGCAACCACTAAAGAAAAGCAGATTCTAAGGCATTTGCTGAAATGTAACAGTGTATGTATTAATATGTGAGAACAGCCACATTGCTGTTTTAATTAAGAAAAAAGGTGATAGTATCTACTTTGTTTTATTGAAGACCTACCACCATGGAAGGAAAAAATGTTCCTAGTACCTGGCTGAAAATACCACCAGTTGGGGATTTGTGTGCCAGATTTCAGAAAACATCCTGTAACTCTTTTGTTTGCCCATCAGCACTGTCTTCTGTGTGTGAAGTTGGTAGAAAGCAGACAGTCCCATTTACAGAGCTAGTTTGTCTATAGACCATGTTCACAAATGTAGTTTTGTTGAAACCCTTTTGTCCTGCAACTTTGGCTTCAAATGATTTCTTCAAGAATCTACAGCTATGACCAACTACACAATAGAAACCAATTATATTCCCCTGTGGAGCATCAGATGTAAATTTCTGCTTTGCCTACTTTATAGCAAGAAACACAGAGGAGGGAAAAGTTAACTTCTGGCCCTGATTCATCACTTTTATTGAAGTTAAATTCTTTTGTTTTAATGCACACTTGATTGAGCAAGCATTTATTGAGGCAGTTATGGTTTGTAGGAGAAAGAGACAGTTGAAGAAAGAACAAACGAATCTAATGTAAATCAAATACTTAGCCCTTTTATAGGAACTACAAAGCCTTAAATGTGTGTTCTTAACAGTAATTTTTACAAAACTCCAATAGGAAGCTTTGACAGTGATTGTTTCTGCAGGGAGATGGGTTTTTCCTTTCACATGCTAATCACCTGCTCCTGGTGATATTTCTCTCCTTGACTGCAGTCTTGGAATTGAATAATTTATGGAATGAATTTTGTTGTAAATTTACTGTGTCACAAGCAGGTTGTAATTTCACTAACAGTTCACTTAAGTTATTAAGTTAAAAAAAATGTGGTTGATAGGATAGTGCATTTGGAGGTCCCCCCAGCCCCCCAGGAAGTTCACATCTTATATATTTTCAAAACAGAGTACTTGCCTAATTTTTATTCAGAATCTGATATGAGAAAAGGAGGTACACATTAACATAAGTAGAATTGCATTTGCACACTATTGTTGAATTTTGGAAGTCGTAAACAAATTATTGAAGATTTTATAGAGACAGAAATAGCATTAAACCCACGGTGCTGTGGCGCTGCTGCCATTGTCTTCTGAGTAATTGTCCCCAGCTTGCTGATGACAAATGAAGAGTCGGTGGTGTGAAGGTGAAAATGCCCCTGGGAGGGAGAAAAGCCACATTAATCCCTTTAAATGTTGCTTCAACTTTGAGGTTAAGATAATGGCAAATTATCAGTCTCCCAAATCTTATCCGATCCAAATGGACTACAAGGAGAATAAAAACAAAAAAATCTTTAAAAATCTCTCACAGGGGTATCTGATTGGCTCCATCTACATTCACTGTGTTCCCAGGGCTTCCCTTTTAATGGCTGTTCTGCTGTGATAAGAGGCAACATTTGGCCACTGCAGAAACCTCTGCATAGTTTCTGCCCCAGATCCTTCAGCATTCAGCAAACATGCATTTAAGGCCTCCTGTTATTTACATTGAAATTTTTCTATTGACCCTGCCAGTGTGAATGAATTTCAAACAAGTCGTTTCTTTCTCTGTATAGATTATTTCCCTAGGTTCCTGGTAGGGGTTACTTTTAATTCCTCTGGGAGTTCCCTCTATTCTTGTTAGCACCCTGAGGATTTGCTTTCTGTGTTCCACCCTGGTGCCTCATGTGTGGCCCCCTCTTCCTGCACCCAGCCCTGGGTATTCCAACTCCTGCGCAGGGGATGCTGGGTAATAGCCACTATTCTTGAACAGGAATACTTTTTAGGCCTTCAGAATAGACATTTTCACCATCTGTTACATAGAATCTAGAAATGTGATGAGAAAACAGGTTGTAATTAACCAAAAAATGCTTAAGACTCTGGGTGTCTTAATGCATTGAGTTGAGGAAATATCCTCTCAAATTACATGAAAAGAAAGACAGCTTTTACAATTTTTTTTTTAAATTAAATAGGCCTTATTTTTTGGAGCTGTTTTAGGCTTACAAAAAATTGAGGGGAAAGTACAGAGTTTCCATATGCCCCTCCTTTCCTTCCCCCCGTCTAGTTTCCCCTGTTAACATCTTGCGTTAGTATGGTACATTTATTGCAATTGATGAGGCAATGTTGATCCACCGTTAATTAACTCAAGTCCATAGTTTACAGTAAGGTTCACTCCCGGTATTGTATATTCTGTGGTTTTCAGCAAGTGCATGACATGTATCTACCGTTACAGCATCACACAGAATAGTTTCACTGCCCTGCGCTCCATCTATTCATTCCTTTCTCGCCGCTAACCACTGATCTTATACTGTCACCATAGTTTTGCCTTTTCCAGAATGTCATATAGTTGGAATCATACAGTATGTTGCCTTTTCAGATTGGCTTCTTTTGTAAACATGATAGATTCATTGTGTGATGTACGTGACAAGTCAAGTCGCCGAAACACCAGGTTGCTGCAGAGAAAGAGGTTTCATTGGAGGGCCGCCGAATGAGGAGACAGGAGGAAATCTCAGAATCGTCTCCCAGAGGAGTCTGGGGCTAAGGTTTTTAAGGTTTTTGGAGTGGGCTGGAATGTGGCGATCATTGATTGGAAAGAGTCCATTATCTCATGGGACAGGGAGATGAAGAAACTATTCTCATGCTGATTCAGTTTCTCTATAAGGGGGCCACTGGAATTCGGAATCTGGAAACATGTTAAGCAATTCTTAAACAAAAGCCTTGTAATTCTAACATCAGAGATCTTATCTATAAGAACAATGGGGATGTATGTGGTCCGTATGTGGTACTACGTGACTTTTGGTTACAAGGGAGTGGAGCAAAGTGCAGCCTAATTAATGCTTAATTATAACGTATTTCTGTTCAGAATTCTTGTTAACCCTCTGAGGATGGCTTCATTTTCACTTAGCAATATGCATTAAGGGTACTCCATGTTTTTTCACGGCTTGATAGCTAATATCTTTCCATCGTTGAATAATTGGCTTGTGCTTTTTATTGTAGCTAACATTGTGTAATGTAGCAGAGGAAAATTAATTTTCTCTTTACACTTTATAGTTCTTAATTGGGAATGGGAGGGCAAAAAGGTGTGATGCCTTTTCTCATCCATCGTAAGGGTTACGGCCAGCACTCCTATAACAAAAGACAGGTTAACAAGATAAACACATAACACACTTATTTAATCAAAGTCTTACAGGACACAGGAGCCTTGAGAAATGAAGATCCAAACACCCAGAGAAGACTGTTTTTATGCATAGGCACAGTGAAGAATTGACAGCCATGTAGAAATGTGATTGCGTCAAAAGAGAATGATCTAATATTGTGATAGATTCTGCTGGGGAAACCCAGCGAGGCCTGTCTATTCGGATTCTTCTTGACCTCTCTGGGTAGCGTTCCTTCCTTTCAGGTGTGGGGCAGGACCCTCTGGAATTGTTACCAGAAAGGGGTCCTGATCCAGACCCCAAGAGGGGGTTCTTGGATCTCGCACAAGAAACAATTAAGGGTGAGTCCATTGAGTAAAGTGAAAGCAAGTTTATTAAGAAAGTAAATAAATAAACCGAGTGCAGTGGCTCACGCTTGAATCCCAGCACTTTGGGAGGCCGAGGCAGGTGGATCACGAGGTCAGGAGATCGAGACCATCCTGACTAACACAGTGAAAACCCGTCTCTACTAAAACATACAAAAAATTAGCCAGGCGTGGTGGCGGGTACCTGTAGTTCCAGCTACTCGGGAGGCTGAGGCAGGAGAATGGCTTGAACACGGGAGGCGGAGCTTGCAGTGAGCCGAGATCATGCCATTGCACTCCAGCCTGGGTGAAAGAGCGAGACTCCATCTCAAAGAAAAAAATAATAATAATAAAAATAAAAAAAGAAAGTAAATAAATAAAAGAATGGCTACTCCATAGACAGAGCAGCCCCAAAGGCTGCTGGTTGCCCATTTTTATGGTTATTTCTTGATGATATGCTAAGCAAGGAGTGGATTATTCATGCCTTCCCTTTTTAGACCATATAGGGTAACTTCCTGACGTTGCCATGGCATTTGTAAACTGTCATGGCGCTGGTGGGAGTGTAGCAGTGAGGATGACCAGAGGTCACCCTCGTCGCCATCTTGGTTTTGGTGGGTTTTAGCTGGGCTCTTTACTGCAGCCTGTTTTATCATCAAGGTCTTTAGGACCTGTACCTTGTGCCGACCTCCTGTCTCATCCTGTGACTTAGAATACCTTAACCATCTGGGAATGCAGCCCAGTAGGTCTCAACCTCATTTTACCCAGCCCCCACTCAAGATGGAGTTGCTCTGGTTCAAATGCCTCTAACAAAATGAGGGTCTTCAAGGGAGAAGGAGGAAGTCAGAGAATGACCTTTCTAGGTTGTATGGCTTACTCTGGAGAAGGTTTCTAATTTCTAGGATCTGCTTTGGGGAAGAGGAATTCTGGTTTGTAAGATCCACTTTGGGGAAGGCAGCGGGTTGGGAGACAGGAGGGCAAGAGAAGGTCAGAGAGTGACTTTGTTTCTGAGTCTGCTTCTGATGCCATTCAATCTCCTTCCGTTCAAAGCACCCAGCACACTAAAGGGTCATGCTTTGGGGTGTCATTTTCTAAGCCTCCAAAGTACTGTTTCCCATAACAGGCAGATAAATGAGAACAAAAACCCCCAGAAGTTTCATAACATGTATGTCTCATGCGTACATGGCAGATACCCAGAGAAATCTCCAAGTGCTGGCTTTGAATTCAGGCTTAAATACCATTGTCTGCTGAAACAAAGAAAGAGCAAAGAAAGAATGAGGAATGCCAGTTATGGGGAGGTGTCAGGAAAAACAGTGAACAGGGTAAGGTTTGTTCTGTAGATTTAAGTCCAGGTCTTCTCCATTGATATGAGTCTCTAGTGATTTAAGGTCATCCCTTTCTTCCTGGTACTGAGAGGGAGACAGCCTTACAAATAAAAATTTTCTTTATGGATGTAAATTACCTTACAAACGCGTAACTTCTACATGGTCCTTTCCAATGCATGTTACCATTGTGGGTAATTAGTTTTGGTCTTAATCTTGTATGATGAAAATTACAGTAGCTAACACATAGTGCTTCTCCTGTGGCTGCTGTTTCTCAAAATAATCCTGTTCCGAAGAGGCATGTTTTAGGGTGACCTATTCTCGTCTCCTACAGTCAGGTTTTGGAGCAGCATATTCTGGTCTCCTGGAATGGGAACACAGACTTTTGGATATGGCAGCAAAAGTAAGAGGAGTTGCCTTTCACTGTCGTGGGTCCAGCTGGCATCTTGTATTTTCTTTTCTACCACTGATAACCTAATAGGGTTAAGTCCCCTGTGTAATGCATGACCACAAAATAATGAGGCTAATGTAACAATCCACATGGGAAAATCAGGTTCATTAATTTGATCACATTTCATATATTCCTCTTAGCATTTTTCCTTGTTAATTATAAATGGCATACAGTATCTAGTCTCTTGCTCTCTAAGAAAAAGAGACTTATGGTTAATGCTGCAGGCATATATGTATCCAAACCAGCTCAGGGAAATTATAATCCCATGTGTCATAACTGTTTAATATCAGGCACATATTCAGTCTACAAATATATATATAGAGAGGGTCTTGCTGTGTCATCCAGGCTGGAGTGCAGTGGTGCGATCTTGGCTCACTGCAACCTCTGCCCCAAGGGTTCAAGCAATTCTCCTGCCTCAGCCTCCCAAGTAGCTAGGATTACAGGCACCCACCACCATACCCAGATAATTTTTGCATTTTTAGTAGAGATGGGGTTTCACCTTGTTGGCCAGGCTGGTCTCGAACTCTTGACCTCAAGTGATCCACCCACCTCGGCCTCCCAAAGTGCTGAGATTACAGGTGTGAGCCACTGCACTCGGCCTTCACAATTTTTTTTTTTTTTTTTTTAACACATATTGAGTATTAGGTGCCAATCTGTTTACTGTTTACTGGTGAACAAGTTGGAACTTATAACATTCTATTATAAACTACAAAGAGGCAATAGAACAAATAATTAACGTGATTTAGGTCCTTGCTATGGTCTGAATGGTTGCGTCTCCCCAAAATTCATACGTTTAAACCAAATCCCACATATGATAGTATTATGAGGTGAGGCTTGGCTGGGCATGGTGGCTCCTGCCTATAATTCTAGCACTTTGAGAGGTTGAGGTGGGAGGATTGCTTGAGTTTGGGAATTTGAGATCAGCCTGGGCAGCATAGCGAGACCTTGTCTCTACAAAAATTTAAAAAATGAGCTGGGCATGGTGGCATGTGGCTGTAGTCCCAGCTATTAGGGAGGCTGAGCTGGGAGGATGGCTTAAGCCCAGGAGTTGGAGGCTGCAGCAAACCATGATGGCAGCATTGCACTCCATCCTGGGTTGATGGAGCAGCACCCCATCACTATTTAAAAAAAAAAGAGGGCCGGGTGCCGTGGCTCACGCCTGTAATCCTAGCACTTTGGGAGGCTGAGGCAGGTGGATCACCTGAGGTCGGGAGTTTGAGACCAGCCTGACCAACATGGAGAAACCACATTTCTACTAAAAATACAAAAATAGCTGGGCGTGGTGGCACATGCCTGTAATCCCAGCTACTCCGGAGGCTGAGGCAGGAGAATTGCTTGAATCCGGGAGGCAGAGGTTGTGGTGAGCCGAGATCACGCCATTGCACTCCAGCCTGGGCAACAAGAGTGAAACTCCATCTCAAAAAAAAAAGAGGTGGCACCTTTGGGGGTTAATTAGATCATCAAGGCAGAGCCCCTATGAATAGGATTAGTGCCCTTATAAAAGAGGCCCCAGAGAGCTGCTGTACCCCTTCTTCCATGTAAGACACACAGAAGGCACCATCTATGAGGAACAGACCCTCACCAGACATTGAATCTGCCAGGACTTTACTGTGAGGAACACATTTCTGTTGCTTATAAGCCACTCAGTTTATGGGATTATTGTTACAGCAGCCTGAATGAACTAAGACAGTCCTAAAAAGTGCTATAAAAAAAGATAAGGGTGTGTGTGTGTGTGTGTGTGTGTGTCTTTAAAAGATAAGGTTGTGTGTGTGTGTGTGTGTCTGTGTGTGTGTGTAGGCAGGTTGAAGCTGCTTTTGCTAGAGTGTTTAGGGAAGGTGTCTTTGAGGAAGTGGCATTTAATTTTTTTGGGTTTTTTTTTTTTTGAGACAGAGCCTCACTCTCTTGCCCAGGCTGAAGTGCAGTGGCATGATCTTGGCTTACTGCAGCCTCTGCCTTCTGGGTTCAAGTGATTCTCCTGCCTCAACCCCCTGACTAGCTGGGATTACATTCGCACACCACCACACCTGGCTAATTTTTGTATTTTTAGTAGAGATGGGGGGGCTTCTCCATGTTGGCCAGGCTGGTCTCGAACTCCTGACCTCAGGTGATCCGCCCACTTCGGCCTGCCAGTGTGCTGGGATTACAGGCCTGAGCCACTGTGCTATTTAATTTGATGAGAAATAGCAACTGTGTGAAGATCTGGGGAAGAACATCCAGGCAGAAGGAGCAGCAAGGGCAGTAGCCCTGAGTGGGAGGGCAGGGCAGGGCAGGGCATTGGGGAAGTGAAAAAAGGAAGGCAAGATAGTCAATACATGGTCCTTTCCAATGCATGTTACCATTGTGGGTAATTAGTTTCGGTCTTAATCTGTTTGATGAAACTTGCAATAGCTAACACTTCCATAGTGCTTATTATGTGCTAGGCACTGTCCTAAATCCTTTACAAATCTTAACTCATTTGTTACTTATAACAACTTCATAGTTTCTCGATTTTACAGATGAGGAAATTGAGGCCGAGAAAGATTGATGTCTGTGTCCAAGTTTACATAGCTAGTGAGTGGTAAATCCAGGAATCTACAAGACTTTCATGGACCATAGGACCAATTAATTATCCAGGAGAAAATATTTTTAATAGTGAAATGGTTCACTATCAAAATATAACTATTAAGTTATATCACCGGTGAAGATCAGTGCAAAGTACTGCTTTGCTTTTTAGTGATTAAATGTTTACAAAAACCCAAGCATGGCCTTTAGATATGCCATTCTAGTTTGAAACAGAATGGGCAATAATTTCCCATTTAAAAAAACTACTGGCTAAAGGAGTGTGTCCACTTGGATGATATCAAAATGGATTTGTTATAATGCTGTGTATGAAATAAGAATAGGGAAAAACATATAAAACCAGCATCTTTTGTTTTCGTTGACATTGGCTTATATATTCAGCTGCTTTCCCCCATCAGTGTGTATCAAAAATTAAAATAGAGAAAACATTTTTTTTTTGTTTTTGAGATGGAGTCTCACTCTGTCACCCAGGCTGGAGTACAGCGGCATGATCTCGGCTCACTGCAAGCTCCGCCTCCTGGGTTCACGCCATTCTGCACCACGCCCGGCTAATTTTTTGTATTTTTAGTAGAGATGGGGTTTCACCTGTTAGCCAGGATGGTCTCCATCTCCTGACCTTGTGATCCGCCCGCCTTGGCCTCCCAAAGTGCTGAGATTACAGACGTGAGCCACTGCGCGCGGCCGGAAAACATTTTTTTTAAATTATAAATGCTGTTAGGACTCAAATGTTGTCATAATAGGTTTAATTTTTAATGTGCATTTCCTTGCTCTGTCCCATTGATGTAATTGGCACACATTCACTCCAGGATACAGGTTAATAACCTCCTAACCTGAGAAAAAAAAGAATAACAAAGAGAACAGCCCATGGTTTAGGTGACCATTTAAGTCACTGTTGCTCTTTTTAAAAATAATCTATTCTATTTCTTCCCCTTTCTGCTCATACCATTTGGTGCTTTCCAAAGCTCTGTTGATCATGAAAAAAAATAATTATTACTTCAAGGCATTATTTTCAAAAGAACTGTAAATAAATTACCTTAAAAATTAGACCTTGGTTTGCACAATGGTAACAAAAAGATAAAGTATTTCTATTTCATGGACTTATATTTAAATTAGAGTTGTTTGTGATTTGAAATACACACGAGGGTATTTTTCTTATTCATAGCTTAACAGCAGTGTCAGCTGCTCCTAATGTGCTCCTTAAGCATATTAGCTAATTGATGTTGTGGAAAGCTATGTAAAGACAATAAGAGTTCTAAGAAATGTACAAAATTGTTGGTCAGAAAAGTATGCAAACCTGCATAGCACCTATCATTATGTGTTGTAAATAAAAACATGAGTATAGGGTGGGCATGGTGGCTTATGCCTGTAATCCCAGCACTTTGGGAGGCTGAGGCGGGTGGATCACCTGAGGTCAGAAGTTCCAGACCAGCCAGGGCAACACGGGGAAACTCTGTCTCTACCAAAAATACAAAAATTAGCTGGGTGTGTTGGCGCATGCCTGTAATCCCAGCTACTTGGGAGGCTGAGGCAGGAGAATCGCTTGAACCTGGGAGGGAGAGGTTACAGTGAGCTGAGATCACGCCACTGCACTTCAGCCTGGGTGACAGAGCAAGATTCCATCACATTCACACACACACCAACAAACATGAGTATAGCAGCTAACATTTGTGTGTCAGTGGCATGTGGCATGCTGCTTTGTGCATGGTAGCATCATATGAAAGCTGGTTGAATAAACAGAAGGATGAACGGATATAGGATGGTTAATTTTATGTGTCGACTCGGCTAGGCCATGGAACCCAGATATTTGACAAACCATTATTCTAGTTGTGTCTGTGAAGGTATTTTAAAGCTGAGATTAGCATTTAAATCAGCAGCCTCTGAGTAAAGCTGATTATCTCCTGTAGTGTGGGTGGGTCTCATCCAATTAGTTGAAGGCTTTAATAGAGAAAAGACTCAACTCCCCTGAGAAGAGGAAATTCTGCCTCCAGACTACATTCAGACTGGAGCTAAAATATCAGCCTCTTTGGGTCTTTAGCTTGTTGGCTTACCCTACAGACTTTAGATTTGTCAGCCTCCACAGTTACGTGTGTAATCCTTAACATCTCTCTCTCCCTTTCTCTCTGTTTCTAGAGATAGATATGTATATATCGAGAGAGAGAGACAGAGAAAGAGAGAAATATATCTTATGTATATGGATATATAGATAGAGACATCTGTGTCTATCAATATAGATATAAATAGAGATATCTATAGATATAAAACATATTCCTATTGGATCTATTTCTTTGGAAAACCCTGAGAAACACTGAATGATAGCCATTAACTAAGTATGTTATAATGTACACAATTATCTTAGAGTTGTGAAGGCAGAAAGTGCACTGTTCTAAATCTTGTGTTGAGACGAACATCAACTTCATTATTGCCATTGACATTTCTTACCATTGCGAGGCCGTGTTAAGGGTACAGGTGCAAGGAAGGGTGAAGATTTGCGGCCAATCTCTCAATCTGTACTCTGTGTGGTATGTATTATTCTGCACTTTTTAAACAATTAAAAAAAGCTTTACTAGTCCCGTGTAGTGGCTCACGCCTGTAATTCCAGCACTTTGGGTGGCTGAGGTGAGTGGATCACCTGGGGTCAGGAGTTCAAGACCGGCCTGGCCAACGTGGTGAAACCCTATCTCTACCAAAAAATACAAAAATTAGCTGGGCGTGGTGGCTTGTGCCTGTAGTCCCAGCTACTGGGGAGGCTGAGGCAGAATAATTGCTTGAACCTGGGAGACAGAGGTTGCAGTGAGCCGAGGTCATGCCACTGCATTCCAGCCTGGGAGACAGAGCAAGACTCCGTCTCAAAAACAACAACAACAACAAAAGACACTTTACAGTGTATCAGGCAAATCAATCGAAAGGAATCTTTGTTTTGGGGATTTCTTTTTAGTCCAGTAAAACTTGATCTGTGTAACTCAGAGTTCCATTGGATGGATAATTAATACGGATATTAGTTAAAGGGTTAGATGAAGAATTCCTTCTCCATGTAAGCCACTATGGTTTCTGATGCTTAATTTGATAAAACATTTCAGGGAGGCGAAACCTTCCTATTGGGAGTTATATATATTACCTTAATCCTCTGAGCCAGTTGTTTCTTTGGATGTAGACATCTTGACATTGTTGTTGCAGTTGATGGGGTATTGATCAGTTTTCCAGCGTTATAGATCTTCATTCAGCCGCAGTGCTCCTAAAACCAACGCAGAGTTGTCTTTGAGGGAAGCATCTGTCCCATAAAGATTTTAAGAACAGGAGCAATGACTATCTGTTTTCATTATTTTAAGTGCAGTCCTTTTTGGCAGTCTGGCTCAGAAGATGACCTCTTTGTGTCCTTTTCAGTAGTGTGGTTTTAAGATTCTTTGCTGGAAAAACTAACCAAATGTCTTGCAGAAATAGATCAACAAGGGACTCATAAGTGTCCATTGTCTCACGTTTGAGAGTCTTTTGCTGCTCTGAGGATACAGACTGGCTCATTCCTGAGGATTAAACAACTTCAAGGCAGGCCAAATGATAACCTGCTGGCCCAAAGTAAAGTTTATGTTCTCTTTCTTTTAAATCCTCCAAATATTTTATATTCACAGAAGAATTCAGAATGAATTTTCTATTAGAACATGTTAGTATCCTCTAAGTTCTGTCATACAGGAAACCAGATAGGAAGTTCTGGAAGACAAAAGGAAGGAGGCATAACACAGCAAATGTGAGTGCCAACTTAGGAAATTTTACAGGCCTGATAAACAATGGTGGACCTAATAATGTTTTTGGAAGCACTGAAGGGTAGACTGGTGCAAATTCCATGTTTTCATTAGCCCAAAGAAAAATACAAAACTAGGGAAATGAAGCTGCATAGCTTGACTCTCCTGTATATTCTTTTCTTTCTTCTGCAGTAATAATTCTTATTTCTTTGTTTTTTGAGATGGAGTCTTGCTCTGTCGCCCAGGCTGGAATACGGTGGCGTGATCTCAGCTCGCTGCAACCTCTGCCTCCCAGCTTCAAGTGATTCTCCTGCCTCAGCCTCCCAAGTGGCTGAAATTACAGGCCCGCACCACCATACCCGGCAAATTTTTGTATTTTTAGTAGAGACGGGGTTTCACCATGTCGACCAGGCTGGTCTCGAACTCCTGAACTCAAGTGATCCACCAGCCTTAGCCTCCCGTTACAGGCATGAGCCACCACACCTGGCCTGCAGTAGTAATTCTTTATTAAAGAAAAAAGGTGTGCTTCAGAGAGGGAATCATAAGTTGAACTAGGTGGCCTGTGCATTGTCCTTCTGACATGGCGTTTGGTAATATTTAGTTGAGAATCAACATCACAACAGTCAAGAGACCACGAATGACTTTCTGTTTCTAGGCAAAGGCAAGGGTTGCTGTTGTTTCTTTGTGGAAGAGATCCACTGAGATACAAGGCCAGTTTTCATTATCCTGAGGAAATTTCCCTTTGATCTTCAATTTTTTTGCCCCATCAGGATTCTGAACCTCATCACGCGGACTTCGTTTCATTGTGAACATCTTATTGTATCCTCTTGTGCATATATGAAATTGAGTGCTTTGAGGCAGGAGAAAATCCAGAATTTGTAGAGCCTAAAGTTTATGCAGGTTTTAGAGCCCTCTTTAACAGAATACAAAACGATGAATACAAAATTAAATATAGAAGTAAATCATTAGATTGAAAGAAGCAAACAAAATTACAAAGCCTAAAAGGCAGACAAATACAACAAATATCATATGATTCAGGAAAATAATATTCCATTTTTAGTGATTAACTGCCTGACACACCTCCGTGGTACTATTTCCCTTACAGTTTTTGGTTGCATAGTCTTGAGATGATTTTTTAGTATTCTTTCTATTGAGAGGACAGAAATATCATTCAGTTTTTTAAAGCATGCTTGATCAACATTTTAATTTATTATTGATGTTTAAGAAAATTTGTTTTAGCATTCTAATTTGTTATCGGAAATGCCATGTAAAGTTTTGAAATTGTTAAGGATTCAAATTTGGGGAAATTATCAAGTTTCTTTTTTTTTTTAAGATGGAGTGTCGCTCTGTGGCCTAGGCTGGAGTGCAGTGGCGCGATTCCGGCTCACTGCAACCTCCGCCTCCCAGGTTCAAGTGATTCTCCTGCCTCAGCCTCCCGAGCAGCTGGGACTGCAGGTGCCTACCACCATGCTGAGCTATTTTTTTGTATTTTTAGTAGAGATGGGGTTTCACCATGTTAGCCAGGATAGCCTCAATCTCCTGACCTCGTGATCCACCCGCCTTGGCCTCCCAAAGTGCTGGGATTACAGGCGTGAGCCACCACGCCCAGCCAAGTTTCTTTTTTATATAGGCTTCGAAATTTCAAGGCATTTCACATTTTCTCAGGCAGTGATTAGTGTTGGTCTTTGAATTGACAACATTCCTTGTTGTCAATGTCCTTGTACGTTTTTAGTTTTAGATTATCTTTATTGATGTCAGAACTTCCTGTCAAATCAGGAAGAAATTGAAGCTTTTCTCAGCATGTTTGAGTTCCTCCTCTTTATTAACTTAATGATCACACATATGAAGAGTGTATTTGTTATTACTAGTCAACATTGATCTCCTCCTTGAATGAATTATTGCTTTTGGCATGATTTGAACATTTTTGATACAATACTTTTCTTGATGTCAGAGTAGTATCTACTGGTTTCAACTCTCATTTTTATCTCTTTTGTTATATATTTCATTTTTTTATCTGAACTTTCAGTTCTTTAATAAATTTAAAGAGTCTAAAAGAGGAAACTCTTTATATACATCCAAATCAGAAGCCTACAATCTATCTTTTATTTTATTAAAACCTTAGAAGACATCTTTCAAAACTGTAGTAAAAATGGCATGTTTAAACATTCCTATTTAAAAAAGACAAAATAAATGTATGGTATGTTTCAAATTGTACACATTGTACCATTTCTGACAGGAGAGAGCTCTATTTTGACTACGCATTGATGAGCACTAAATCCGCTGCTTGCGATTATATATATCTGATGATGGGAAGACTTTTTTACAGACTGGTTTCTGGCTTGATACTTTTCAAACTTTGGCAGATCATTATATAGCTCCTGAGCCTACTCCTTTGTTTCAGGTAGCTGGATGAATGGGCAAAGTGGGAAGTAAGGAGTATTCCCAGGCATTCCTCTGGGAAGGTGAGCAGTATTTTAACAACACTTGGAAGGATGACAAAATCCATCAGTATCCCCCATAATCCCCAAATCAGTGTATTCCCAACTCAAGTTCCCCTTTACCCAACATCAGAAATGCCTGCAGTTGCTGCAATGCCATCTGACACAAAGGAAAGGATGTCAGAGAATTCAGAATGAAAAGAGACAGTGTCTTTAACTAATGATGGCTAAAAATATCTTGATTTGAAAATTTTACAAAAACAGATTTCTAGGACTCCTGTAGGGCTTTAGAAAGGGCTGTGCAATTGAGGGGCCTGGAAGCTTAAACTTCATTAGCTTCCTTGTAAAGATGCCTCAGTTGTAAAGATAAAACACAATTTTGTATGTTTTTATTGAGGTCTTCTCTTGGTCATCGATATAAATTTTTTTCTGGGCATAAACTTCTCGTATGTTACCTAAGTTGGTTTTTGGATCTAAATTTTTTTGGCATACTTTACTTGTTATCTCCTCTTTCTGGTTTTTCTTTTTGCGATTCCTCTTATCGTTGTTTATGTTGAAGGCACATCTCTTTGGGCATATGTATACCTCATAAAAGTACTTCGTGTACCTTCTTATGCAGTTTTAACTTGAGCATGAAGCCAAGTGTTTTCCATGCGTTCTATAGTTGCACTTGAAAATGGTTTGTTTGTATGCTTTGATTGAGTTTCAGATGCTCCCTAAAAGGACTTCTTTCAACGTTATATACATATATACAATGTATACATACATCACATACATACTGCTTTTGCTGATTTTCATATTTGCTTTAAAGCACTTCTTCAAGTTTAATTTTACATTGAATTTTTGATTATAGCTATTAACAATTTATAGAAATATACCTCAACAAAACAGAGTCCATGCATGACAAATCCATAGCTAACATCATATTCAGTGGAGAAAAGTTGAAAGCTTTTTCTCTTAAGATCAGGATATCCAGCCAAAGCAATTAGGCAAGAGAAGGAAATAAAAAGCATCCAAGGAGGTGAAAAATCTCTACAATAAAAAGTATAGAACACTGATGAAAGAAATAGAGGAAAACACAAATGGCAATATATCCCATGTTCATGAATTGGAAGAGTTAATATTGTTAAAATGTCCACACTACCCAAAGTAATCTACAGATTTAACACAATTCCTATCAAAATACCAATGACATTCTTCACAGAAATAGAAAAACAATCCTAAAATTGATATGGAACCACAAAAGACCCCAAATGGCCAAAGCAATTTTGAACAAAAAGAACACAGCTGGAAGTATCACATTACCTAATATATATATATATATCTCCTAATATATATATATATATATATATATATATATATATATATATATATTTTTTTTTTTTTTTTTTTTTTTTTTTTTTTTTTGAGATGGAGTTGTGCTCTGTCGCCCAGGCTGGAGTGCAATGGCGTGATCTCGGCTCACTGCAACCTCCACCTCCCGGGTTCAAGCAATTCTTCTGCCTTAGCCTCTTGAGTAGCTGGGATTACAAGCGCCCACCACCATGCCCAGCTGATTGTTGTACTATTAGTAGAGACAAGGTTTCACCAGGTTGGCCAGGCTGGCCTCAAACTCGTGACTTCAGGTGATCTACCCACCATGGCCTCCCAAAGTGCTGGGATTACAGGCATGAGCCACCGCACCCAGCCCCTCATTTTAAATATACTACAAAGTTACAGTAACTAAAGTGGTAATGGTACTGGCATAAAAACAGACACATAGACCAACGAAACAGAAGTGAGAACACAGGAGTAAATCCACATGTTTGCAACCAATTGATTTTTGACAAAGGAGCCGAGAACAAACAATGGGCAAGGGACAGTCTCTTCAATAAGCAGTGTTGGGAAAACTGCCTATCTACATGCAGAAAAATGAAATTAGACCCTTTGTCTCTTACCATATACAAAAATCAACAAAAATGGATTAAAGACTTAAATGTAAGACTCAAAACCGTAAAACTACTAGAAGAAAAGTCTGGGCAATGACTTTTTGAATATGGTCCCTAAAGCACAGGCACCAAAAGCAAAAATAGAAAGTGGGATTACATCAAACTACAAAGCTTCTGCCTAACAAAGAAAATAATATTCAAAATACATAAGGAACTCAAACAACTGAATAGCAACAAAATGAGTAACTCAATTAAAAATGGGCAGAGGGCTTGAATAGACATTTCTCAAAAGAAGATATCCAAATGGCCAACAGGTGTCTAAAAAGTGTTCAATATAACTAATCATCAGGAAAATGCCAATTAAAACCACAATGGGATATCACCTCACACCTCTTATAATGGCTATTATCAAAAAACCAGAAAATAGATGTTGGTGAAGATGTGGGGAAAAGGGAACCTTTGCACACTGTTGATGGGAATGTAGATTAGTACAGCCATTATAGAAAACAATATGGAAGTTCCTACAAAAATTAAAGATAGAACTATCATGTGATCCAGCAATCCCACCATTGGCTGTACATATCCAAATGAAATAAAATCAGTATATTGAAGAGATGTCTGCACTTCCATGTTTACTGTGGCATTATTCACAATAGCTAAGATATGGAATCAACCTGAGTGTCCATCAGTGGGTGAATGGATAAAGATGATGTGGTATGCATACAATAGAATACTATTCAGCCATAAGAAAGAAGGAACTCTTGTCATTTGCAACAACATGGTTGAACCTGGAGGACATTGTGTTATATAAAATAAGTGAAGCACAGAAAGAGAAAAATGCATGATCTCACTCCTATGTGCAATCTAAAAAAGTTGGTCTCATACAAGTAGAGAGTGGCAGTTACCAGGGGCTGAGGTGGTTGGGAGAGGAGCTGGTGAGATGTTGGTCAAATCATACAAAATTCTA
The DNA here is from genome assembly GCF_000001405.40 of Homo sapiens. Classification (NCBI taxonomy): domain Eukaryota; kingdom Metazoa; phylum Chordata; class Mammalia; order Primates; family Hominidae; genus Homo; species Homo sapiens. The sequence continues at coordinate 74,085,379 of NC_000016.10, read as the reverse complement.
GGTAGAAAAAATAGGTTTAAGAGATCTATTGCACAACATGGTGGCTATAGTTATTAATAACAATGCATTGAATTCTTGGAAAATGCTGAGAGTGTGGATGTTAAGTGTTCTCACCACAAAAACGCTAGCTATGTGAGATCATGCATATGTTAACTAGATTTAGTCATTCCACAATGTATGTATACTTGAAAACATCAAGTTGTACATGATAAAATATACAATTGTGTCTGTCAATGTAAAAAGAACAGCAAAAGCTCCCAAAATTTACATGTAGAAATGGCTTTTCTCCATTGTGTATGAAGATGCGGCAATTGGGATAATGGACCCTAATTAAAGCTTTGTCACTTTTGCATACACAGAAAGTCTTTTGGTGCCCTTTGCACCATGTGCTTGCACAGGTGTGCATGAGAAACCTTCCTGGAACAATACCAGGGAGGTGGAAGAGGGTCTTTCATTCCGTTATCAGAGTACAGTGAGAGAGACAGATGATAGTGTCAGATGCATTTGAACCAGAGCGACTCCATCTTGAGGGAGGGCTGGGACTACCTGGCTGTGTTCCCAGATTAGGTATTTCTACCCTCTAGGGGTTTACTGTTGGGGGAACAGATTGATAACATTTACTAAACAGACCCAGACTCAGGAATGTCCTGATATCCCGATATCTTGAGAAGAAGAGCATTTCTAATTTTGCTTTAAAGATAGTAATATTGATTCTTGCAAAATATAGTAATTAAGAAAATTAATCCTTTATCACAAACCCTTGTAGTAGAGCACATTTCCCCATGACATAAACAAGCATCGTACGTAGCGTGGGCACATTCCTTCTGTTACTTTTGGGAATGACCCACTCAGTCTATGGAGTAGCCATTAGTTATTCCTTGACTTTCTTAATAAATTTGCTTTCACTTTACTCTGTGGACTCGACCTGAATTCTTTCTTGTGCGAGATCCAAGAACCCTCTCTTGGGGTCTGGATCAGGACCCCTTTCTGGTAACAATAGTATCCAGTGAGCGAAAGTCACAAACTCCAGAGAGCCCTTGGCCATCTATTTCTTGGCCCTTTTGCCTGTCATTTTGTAAGATGAATTCACCAGTGTTAACACTAAGCTAACTTTGTAAGATGAATTCACCAGCGTTAACACGAAGCTAGCTGGTGGTGGGGTGTTATCATTTCCAAAGCATTTCCCCAAACGCTTTGGCCATTTGGGGTCTTTTGTGGTTTGGGGTCTTTTGTGGTAAGATGAATTCACCAGCGTTAACAGTAAGCTAGATGGTGGCTGAGTGTTATCATTTCCTAGTGAAGGAATTTTTTTCAATGTAGTGAAGTTATTCTTTATAGAGATGGTTTGCTTATGTTTATTTTTCCAGGAAAATTATGTCTGAAGATCTTTTAACAGATAATTCATAACTAAGGGAAGCAATATCTGATAATTATGATTTTTTTCAAGGTTACCCTGTTAATTAAAAAATGAAAATTCTCTTATTTCCAAGGAAATTCAATGCAGTTCAGATGTGAGAAGCCAAGTGAACACACAGTGTCTATTTTCCCACTGTATTACTCTAATCTTTTTCTTTAGGTCAAGGTTAAGCGGGTCTGGAAAAACAGACATCTGTGTTTGCAATGCAATAAAGTGTAATGAGTGTGGCGACTTTTTCTAATTTACCTCAGCTGGATATGCAAATGAAACGATTAAACTTATAACCCATAACTCTATGGGGAACTGATGGGTGACCAAAGTGCAGAGTATTTACTGTAGCTAATGGGAAAGTTGTTTGATGATAGGAATGTAATATGTTCTATTTGCAAATGTACTAAAGAGCCAGTTAGCAGTGTAAATGAGGATTTGGTTATTGAGGAATGACCTTCAAATTGGCAAAATTAGTCCCAACAGCGCAATTTAAATTAAAAAAAATCAATCATTTATTTTATGGTGTTTGAATTTACTAACTACAGCTTGTTAGGTGTATTTAGAGATCAGTTTCATAAGTGGGAAGTTAGTAATCTTAACATGGAGATAAGGCATTTAGGCGGGATACTGGTTCTCTATTTAATGTAGTATTTTTCTACAAGGAACTCAGAGTACTTCATCATGATCAATTAGCTAATCCCATAACACACTTGTTAGGAAGACAAGGGTCAGGGTTATAATAATAACCTTGTAAATATTAAAATTACAGAGGCAGATATTTACTCAAATCCTATCGCTGAATACATTCAGAGTAAAACACAAGCATTTGGTCTCAGCCAATATTTAGACAAAACAATGATTTGCTCCTGCAACCAGTTTGAAGTTTTCCATTCTGTAAGCTGCACATCTACACATTGCCTAGCTTTCAGGGTCACCATCTCCCTTTCTACCCAAATGACCTGCCCTCAAGTATTCTGCAGCCACAGAGAGGAATGAATACATTTGCAAAAGTGTGAAAGAGGTAAATACATCATGTCAAGGAAGCAATCCCTCTTCTGACTCACCCTGAAAGGGAAGTGTACATCAACCAAAAAAACACAAACCCTTAGGATGAGAAGGGGCATTAGAGGCGATTTGGTCCACTTTCCTCATAATGTTGCATGAATTCCTTTACTCTGTCATATCCTCCTTGGCCAGAGACCACCTGACTTGAACACTTGAGATTGCAGGAAGCCAGCAGATATATGATATTGCTAGCATGCATTCACTTTTGACCTATAAAATGGCAATTTCATATGGTTCCCCCTAATATGTTCTTCCTTACCATAGGCCAAAATCTGTCTCATTGCTACATAGGAATTTTCTAAAAACTGTTCAGGAGAGGAGATTTAAGCACTGTCTTTGGTATATTATTCTCATACTTCACTTTTTTTTTTTTTTTTTACCTTTTTGAGTATGAAATACGAGAAAAACAACTTCACATATTCTTTCACGATTATGTCTTTTTAAAATGACTTATAAATTCTGCTGGGTGCTTTGGCTCATGCCTGTAATCCCAGCACTTTGGGAGGCTGAGGTGGGAAGATCACTTGAGTCCAGGAATTTGAGACCAGCCTGGGCAACGTAGTGAGACCTCCTCCCTACAAAAAATACAAAAATTAGCCAGGCATGGTAGTATGGGCCTGTAGCTACTTGGAAGGATCACTTGAGCCCAGCAGGTCAAGGCTGCAGTGAGCCAAGATCTCACCACTGCACTCCAGCCTAGGTGACAGACCGAGACCCTGTCTCAAAAAAAAAAAAAAAAAAAAACCAAAATAAAATAAAAATGATGTATAAATTCAAAATAGAATTGATTATTGCTTCCATTTGCTTCAGTTCTGTTTTGCTTCAGGATTTCTTGGCCGGGTGTGGTGGCTCATGCCTGTAATCCCAGCACTTTGGGAGGCCGAGGTGGGCGGATCACCTGAGGCCAGGAGTTCAAGACCAGCCTGGCCAACATGGCAAAACCCAGTCTCTACTAAAAATACAAAAATTAGCCAGGTGTGGTGGTGCACACCTGTAACCCCAGCTACTAGGGAGGCTGAGGCACGAGAATTGCTTGAACCTGGGAGGCAGAGGTTACAGTGAGCTGAGAGCACACCACTGCACTCCAGCCTGGGTAATAGAGTAAGACCCTGTCTCAAAAAAAAAAAAAAAAAAAAAAAAAAAAAAAAAAGAAAGGATTTCTTACTGATTTTAGTTCTGGCTTGGTTTCAATTGATTGGCTTTATCTTCATTATGGGTCCTGTTTTCCTTCTTCCTTCCTTGCCTGGTAATTTTCTATTGGATGCAGACATTGTGGATTTTGCTTTGTTGGGTGCTGGATATTTATGTATTTTTATAAATATTCTTGGGGTTTGTTTTGGGACACAGTTAAGTTGCTTGAAAATTGCTCCATCATTTTGGGTCTTGCTTTTAAGATTCGTTAGGCAGGATCAGAGTTGTGTTTAGTCTAGGCCTAATTATCCCACACCACTGAGGCAAGACTCTTCTGAGTACTCTGCCCACATCCTCTTGAATTATGAAGTTTCCCAGTTCGGGTGGTGGGAACAAGCACTGTTCTTGGCCTTGTGTGAGCTGCGAGTTCTGTTCCGTCTAATCCTTCCAGGTGGTTCTTTCTCCAGCCTTGGGTAGTCTCCTCAGACCATGTACTGGTCCATTTTCTGCTGAAAGCGTGACAGAAAGAGCTCTGGAGATCTCTAGAATTTTCTCTCTGGGCAATTCTCTTTTTTCTAGTCTCTGCTCGGAGAATTCTAGATGCCTGGTCTCCCTGGACTCTCAGCACTGTGGCTTCAACTCAGGGAGTCACTGGGCCTGTCCTGGGTCCCCCTCTTCCTGTACGGTGGCCTGGAAATGCTCCCCAGGCACTAAGTTGGGGCAATCAGAGCACTCACTGTGTTTGTTTCCCATTTGTCAGGGCTCACTGTCCCTCATTGTCTTATGCCCAATGCCTTAAACACTGTTGTTTCATATATTGTGTTCCAGTGACTGGAGAGTAAATCCAGTCACTGCTACTCCATTTTGGGCAGAAGTAGAAATGCTGGAGTCATAGCAGTTAAAACTATGCATAATTTAAAAAAGGATGGTGTCTTCATTTAAAAATATCCAAGCCGATCGTGGTGGCTGCCTGTGATCCCAGCATTTTGGGAGGCTGAGGCAGGAGGATTCCTTGAGCCTAGGAGTTCGAGGCTGCAGTGAGATATGACCACACCACTGCACTCCAGCTTGGGTGACAGAGCGAGACCCTGTCTAAAAAAAAGATATATATATATATATTTATATAAAATTCTGGCTAAAGGTCAGCGGATAGAAGGCAGTTGAAACTGTAAATAAGCAGTGAAGTGAGCGTGTTTATATGCACATCACCAGATGAAAAGCTAAAGAGAAAAGCTAGAGGGGAAGTGTCTCACGTGGTCATGCGTTTCCTGCACACACACGTAAAAAATTCATCGCTCTGGTTAAGTGTTATTAGGCTGGTGCAAAAGTAATTGCAGTGTTTGCCATGACTTTCAATGGCAATTACTTTTGCACCAACCTAATATAAAAGTGAGGGCACAGGATTGCATATTTATTCTGTCAAAATCATCTGTGGAGCCATAGCTCTTTCCCGACTTTCCTCTTTAGTTTCCTCTTTCATTTAGTGAGTTTTACTCCAGGTGGTATTTGGACATACAGGTCTCTGAGGTTCCTAAATCCAAAGTCAGAGCAAAATGAGAACTGCAAATCTTTCATCATTTTCTTTTCTTTGGTTGTACCATCATTCTTTTATTTTATTTTATTTTTTTGAGACGGAGTTTTGTTCTTGTCTCCCAGGCTGGAGTGCAATGGCACGATCTCAGCTCACTGCAACCTCTGCCTCCCAGGTTCAAGCCTCAGCCTCTCGAGTAGCTGGGATCACAGGCATGCTCCACCATACCCAGCTAATTTTGTATTTTTAGTAGAGATGGGGGATTTGCTATGTTGGCCAGGCTGGTCTTGAACTCATGACCTCAGGTGATCCACCTGCCTTGGCCTCCCGAAGTGCTGGGATTACAGGCGTGAGCCACTGCACCTGGCCCATTCTTTTATAATCAATCTCCAAATAGTCAAATTTCCCAAATTCATTTATGGAAAGAGACCACATCCCAAAGTATTAGTGGGATGATGCTTCATTCTGAATAGAGGTCATGAAATGGACTGGAAAAGTCAGGTAGGGGTTTTAGAAAACACCCGAGACAGGTAAAAAGTGAGAAAGAGTAAAGAACAGGAAGAGGACTCAGCAAAGATTTAGTTCAGGTGGGCTGAACTCTTAACTAATGAGAATGTTCATTTTCTACTTATAAGCGGATTTCACTCTTCATCTTTGTTTTAATCTGGAATTATTTATAAGTGAAAATAGACATAGTTCAAAACATAGTTAGTTTAGGAAAATGGCTTGTTTTCATTGAAAAATGCCTGGTGAGTTGATGGGGTGTTTCATGTATTTCTGCTACTTTCAGTTATTCATATCTGAAGCACGACTACCCACCACATTATGGTAAATAGTCACAAAAATTTGCCTGGAGGCAGTTTTTTAAAGACAGACATGGTGTTGGAGAGAGTTAATTTACTTCTTTAAAGGCTTGCCTTGAATACTAATTCAGGATGTAAATGTCACAGTTTGCAAGCTGCAAGAGTTACAGTGATTATTCCACAAGTACAATATTTGAATAATCACAACAGTTTTTTTCATTATGGAAGAGAAAAGATGATCATTTAGTAAGCCATAAGTACCAGCAGCTATACTTCTAGTCTCAGACATAATCCAAATTCACTGTATTCATTATAATGAGTATGCCATTTATAATTAGATATTAGTTACTGAATGACATAGTTTTCCGGTTTTGATCTCTGATATTTGAATACATGTGTTTGCAGAAATATATAACTAAGTAATGACTCATTTTCTGAAAATGATTCACAAAAAATGACATTTGAAAATAAGGATTTTAAGCCATACTCATCCTTATGCTCATGAAAATTTGTCTGAATTGTCTTATAAAAGATTTTAAAGCAAATCATTCCTATGACTTAATTACTTTGAAAGCTCATTAGAGCTGGATTAAGATTATGTATCTAAAATAGATATTTATCTAAAGCTGTGTTTCTCAAAAGTGTTTTTCTCCGGATCAGTAACATCGCTATCACCTGGGATACCTCTTAGACATGCCAATTACCCAGCTGCCTTAGAACTAAGTAATCAGAAACTCTGGGGTGGGCCCCAGGCCCGTGTGTTTTAAAAAGCCCACAGTGATCCTGACACACACGAAAGTGGGAGCACCTCTTGTCTGAAAGAGTCGTTCTCTGATTGCACATAGGTGTCAGAAAAGCTGCCGTTCACAGTATTTTCCCTGGTGTTCACTTGCACCTCTGAAACTCCTGTCGTGGATCTGGTTTTCAACTGTTATTTAATAGTTGAAGAATTAGGATTTGCACCTATTTAGAGGGAATGGATACAGTACACCCTTCTCAAACCATTTTTTTTTCCAATTTAATGCTTAAGTGGTCATTGATGGCTTTCGATGAGAGTAATATGTCTTATGATTTCCAAACTGTAACTAACTCAAGTTAACGAGGAGAATTTCACTTAATGGCACCAATTCTTGATGGCTAAACTCGCTGGAGGTAATCTGAATGAAAAGACTGACTTTGTCGTTTCTCTTTCTGCACCCACAAAAGGGGGAAAAGAACTAACTGCTGATAGTTATTGCTTTCATCTGTACCATTTCCAGCTTGCATTTACTGTCACGAAACACACTTGTGTTTAATTCCACATATTTTAGTAATTGTTGCAAACTGGAGAAGAGGTATCAAGCACTTATCTCTAGGAGAACTTAAGTATGGTATTTCAAAGCCAGGAAGAGGAAGAAGAGCGTTACCTCCTTGTCTTCCAGGGGAAAAGAAAGACCTTTGAAGGGTGAGTTTAAGAATTTTTCCATCCTTCTAGGACAGAAGTTTCTTAAATTAAATACTGCATCACCCTAAAGAGTTGATAGTATTATGAAGGTTTATGGTTCTGCACACTGACAGAAATTCATTGTTTTTGATGAGAAATTTCTGTGAGTTGCAGTGAAGGATATTTGCTCTCTTTAAAACTTGCAATGAGTGTTGAGTATTAATATTGTGAAATTTAATCTTTTAGGCAGTTGTCAAGTTCTTTATTCTTATTGGAATAGCCTCCTGAGATTCATGCTCTGATAAGCAATGAAAGTTTGCAGTGGCGAAATCTTAGCACAAACTTCAGACGTATCCAGGATTCTTATTTAGACTCAGAGGTGTGCAGGTAGCCTCTGAAAAATGTGTTAACTTTGGTAGTCCTGTGATTTCTGGATTAAACATTCCAAAGTTGCCACTATAAGCAACAAAGTTGGAAAAGCAAATTCCTGAGAGATACGTGTGGGAAAACAGTTGGGTAATGTTTTTGCTCCCTGATGTTTTCATGTGTGACCATTACAGGATGCCTTGTAATTATTGTTTTGTAACTAAATGCTAATAAAGCCACCAGTTATGGCTCCTAGTTGGATTCCCAGAGTATAATGAATACAGTTTTTTAAGAGCCTAACTCTGTGTTTTTAGGATTATAAATTTGTTCAGCTGTAAGTAGTTCTGCGTTCCCCATTTAAACCTCTTGAAGGCAGCTGTTTCCAACTCTTTTAGCTATTTTGTTCAGGATTTTTCTCCTCAATCATTGTTATACATCGCTACTGCTCCCCACTTTCTCTGGCCAACTTTTAGACATTATCCTTGATTTTGCAACAGGAAGATGAGTTTTTAGCCTTATTAAACTATTCACCTCCCCATCTGATACCCACTCATTTCTTTCTTCTCCAAATATAGTGGTGCCATAATTTTGGTGACAATAAGACTTAATGCTTATATTAACTACATAAATATTGTTCTCAACTGAGCCATACAATGTTCAGCAATTGGATTTCCTTTCTGGGGCTACACTTTGTTTTTCCTAGAGATATTAACTGTTTTGTTGTTGTTTTGTGCTTGTTTCTGGGGAATGTGTCACTAAATCTTTCCACCAGCTTTCTTTCAGAGCTACTAAACTCCTCTGAACATGGCCAAACATGTCAATAGGTCTAGTGGCTTTGTGATGGTGATGGCTGGGGAAGGAGTGGGGGCTAGGAGGGAGGTGGTTCTCCTGGCCTTGGCCTTTCTCTTGGCCCTACCTGAGCCAGTTGTTTTCTAGGCCAGATGCTCAGCCTGGGAGCTCAGGGACTTGCGTTCACTACCTTTTTAGGAATTTCCTTAGACTCGGGGCCATGGGGAGGGGGTTTGGATTTTGGTGGTGTGCAGAGTAACATGTTTCAGGGAGACTGTGTTGAGATGCTTTTGCAAATGTTAGAGTAGCAGTGGGAGGGAGGGAAAGAAGGAAGGAGAGAGGGAGGGAGGGAGGGAGGGATGTGCCGTGTCAATTACATTCTCTCGTGTCCTGGTGTCACTCACCCCTGCTACTCTGTTTCTCTTGGCTTCCTTGTCTCCATCGTTCTCTCCCTGCCATCCTCCATTCCCTCCTCCTGCTTTATTATGACATAGTCACATACCATATAATTCACTCATTTTTAACTTCTTTTTATAATTTCAACTATTAGGGGTACATGTGAGTTTATTACATGGATATATCATATGATGCTGAGGCGTAGGGTATGACTGATCCCATCACCCAGGTAGTGAGCATAGTACACAATAGTTAGCTTTGCAAACCTTCTTCCTCCCCCTGCCTCCCCCACAGGCCCCCCGTTCCTATTGTTCTTATCTTTATGTCCCTGAGTACCCAATGTTTAGCTCCCACCTATAAGCGAGAAGATGGGGAATTGAGTTTTCTGTGCCTGCGTTAATTTGCTTGGGATAATGGCCCTCCAACTGCATCCATGTTGCTGTAAAGGACATGATTTCATTCTTTTTATAACTGCATAGTATTCCATGGTAATTCACCCATTTAAAGTGCACAATTAAGTAATTTTTAAAATTTGTTCACAGATACATTCAACCATTACCACAGTCAATTTGAGAACATTTTCATCACCTCAAAAAGAAACTGTGTACTCTTTAGTGATCACTCCTCTGCTCCGTTCCACTCCCTGTGATGTCCCCGCCACCTGACAATCACCTATTTTCTATCTGCATGGATTTGACTATTCTGGACATTGCATATAAATGGAATAATAATATGTGCTATTTTGCCTGGCTTCTTTCACTTAGTATCATGTTTTCGAGGTTCATCCATGTTGTAGCATGTATCAGCACTTCATTCCTTTTTATGGCTGAATAATATTCCATTGTGTAGATATACCACATTTTGTTTATCCGTTCATCAGTTGATGGACGTTGAGGTTGTTTCTACATTTTGGCTACTATGAATAATGCTGCTATGAACATCTGTGTACAAGTTTTTGTGTAGAGTTATATTTTCAGTTTTCTCGGGTATACACAAAGGAGTGGAATTGCTATGTCATATGGCAATCTGTTTAATCTTTTGAAGAACTGCAAGACTGCTTCCCATAGAGCATGCTCCATTTTGCATTCCCACCAGCTGTGTAGGAGGGTTCTGATTTCTCCACATCCTCACCAGCACTTGTTATTATCTGACTTTTTAATGTTAGCCATTCTAGATGGTATAAAGTGATATCTCACTGGGTCATCCCGTTTTCTAGATCCTGTGTCTCCCTCCATCTAGGTTTCCTTTCTTGTGTTGGAGCATAACTTCCAATAGCTTCCTGAGAACCAGTGAACAGGAGCTAAATCATTTTAGGTCTTGCATGTCTTTAAATGTTTTTATTCAAATTACATTGAGGGGCCTGGGGCAGTTTGTATTCATAATTTTGTATTCTTTTTTCTTAACAAATTCTGTAAGCTTTCGGCTTCACAAAACTTGAATCCACCCCTGGAGAAGACACCATATAAGTCTTTCATATGTTCTATGATCATCTGTGTACCCCTAAGCCTAAGGCAAACTGGAGACTTCCCCAGCTGGGTCCTCAGTCCTATTTACTGCTGATCTTAGGCATAACCCAAGGTAATTGGAGTGGATATAACAGGAAACCTACATGATCTATCACCTGAGCAAAACTGAATTCAAATAAATATTATGCAGTCTATGATAAAAGAATTAAAAACAAATTAACATGTTTTAGGTATATTTTGAAACAAGCATTTCTAGAAAAACTTTCTTCTGTTTGCACAGTTTTCCATCTCACATGTTGTATTTCCAGTAGCTTTATTCACGATACGTTTCCTGGAGAGGTCACGATAGAGGATTTTGCATAGACAGACCCTGAGCAAAGCTTTCTAAAGCTTGTTTTTTGTGATCTCTCTCCTTTCCCAAGTTCCATACACTGGGCAGATGCTAAAAGATGACTTCTCTTTAGGAACCTCTTCATCACCAATTCTTGCACCTCTCCAGGGAGCTGAGGGATGGCTCATCTCACTTCCCTCTCTTGGCTTCTGCAGACCCTTGTTTCAGCTCCTACAGTGCTATTCACTGTTCCATTTTCCTTCCACCTTCCACACTTGTATGACATCTTTCATTTTTGTGTGTGTTCTCCCTACTTGTTTTCTTTGCTCTCACCAGTATCTTAAAATATTTAAATATTTATTGGCTAGGCGCAGTGGCTCATGCCTGTAATCCCAGCACTTTGGGAGGCTGAGGCAGGCAGATCACGAGGTCAGGAGATAGGGACCATCCTGGCTAACACAGTGAAACCCCATCTCTACTAAAAATACAAAAAATTAGCTGGGCATGGTGGCATGTGCCTGTAGTCCCAGCTACTCAGGAGGCTGAGGCAGGAAAATTGCTTGAACCCGGGAGGTGGAGATTGCAGTGAGCCAAGATTGCACCACGGCACTCCAGTCTGGGCAACAGAGCAAGACTCCATCTCAAGAAAAAAAAAAATTAAATATTTCTTTAGTATCATTTCAATGGGCTTTCAGGAGCAGAGATAAGATGTCTTAATCAGAGATGCACTGTACAACTCCCTCTGGCCTACCTGCTTCTACACCCTGGGTTCTCCGCCTTCAGCGCATCGGAATCACCTGGAGAGCTTGTTAAATAGCATCTGGGTCCCACTCATGGTTTCTGACTCAGCAGGTCTGAGGTAGAGCCTGAGAATTGCTTCTAACAAGTTTCCCAGGTGATGCTGATGTCGCGGTCTGGGGATCCCATTTTGAGAACCACTGCTCTAGACTTTCTCAACCCACTGCTACACATGATAGTTTTTCAAAGCAAACATGCATGGGTTCATGCCCTGCATAAACATTGCAATCATCCCCAGTCATCCATGGGATGCCGTCCAAACTCCTTGGCTTGTCCTGGGCAGTAATAACATTTGAGAAATCAATTTGGATTTTGTTTTGTTTTGTTTTTTGTTTTAGTCAGCTAGAGCATCTGTAACAAATTATAGAGTGGGTGGCTTAAACAGTAAACACATATTTCTTACAGTTCTCAAGGCTGGGGAGTCCAATATCAAGGTGCTTACAGATCTGGTGTCCGGTGAGGGCTCACTTCCTGGTTTGCAGACAGATGTCTTTTCATTGTTCCTCACACGGTGGAGGGGGGATGGATGGAGGGGAAGAGAGGGGAAGGGAAGGAGGCATGCTGTCACGATTCCTTATAAGAGCACTAATCCCATTCATTAGGGCCCCACACTCATGACCTAATCACCTCCCAAAGACCCCTATCTGCAAATACCATCACATTGGGGATTAGAATTTCAATATATGAATTTTGGAGGGATCTAAGCACTCAGTTCATAGTTAGTTGAGACCTTTTCCCTATACTCTTGCAGGGATGGTAACCAGGCCTCTTTGTTCTCCTTTGCCTTGGGAGGTTGGAGGTACGGGCAGAAAACAGAGAGAGAGAGAGAGAAGTGTGTGCGCGCGCACATGTGCATGCGTGCGCTAATGATTTCCTTCCTAGCTTTTGCTTTCTTAAAATGGATGTATTAGAGGATTTTGCCACGGGAAGAGAGGAGGAAGGAAAGGGAAGAGAGATCCTTCCCTGCCTGGGAAGCTGCTGGATAGAAGTTGCTACCTAGGCTTAGGGACCTTGCCGGAGGGTTCTGTGTATGAACGTGGTGCACAAACAGCCTGGGAAGATATTGATGGCAGCTCACCCTTTAGTCTGACCATCAAGTTTCTTTTGGTATGTATTGAAGGATGTTTCAATTGGAGGCACTTAAATGTGAAACCATGTGCAGTTCAGAGTGAAGTGTAGTAGTTCCTGGTGTTTGTCAGCTACCTTGCTGTTTTCAGGGGCTGGGACAAATGCTTTCAGTGTATTACCTCCTATTACTGATCATCTCTACTTTTCAGGTGAGAAAACTGGAGCACAGAAAGGCGTCACTGGCCAAAGTCACACACTGGTGCGACTTGTTTCACCCGGGTCATGAAACCTGCCCGAGAGTCCTGTCCTCCCTTCCCCGGCACATTGAGCAGCTTTTCCACCTTGCTCTTAAAGCAGTCTGTGTACACATCCCTTCTCATTTCCCTTTGGAAAGTTCTAGTATAAGAGTTATACTTCTGTATCACTCCTAGCAACCGTGAGCATTTCCAGTATATGAACTGTGAGTCATTCTTGTTACTGGTATTTGAAAGAGTGGAAACTGGGGCTTGGGAGTAGGAAGTGTGAACAGTATAACTCAGAAGACATAAGGGAAGCTGAGGAGGGTGTACCCTGTGTCTTAACGCCGCATCCCTGGTGCTGTGGGAGGAGGGCACAGAATCAGCCGGGGAGGACAATTCCTGAGGGTTGTGGGGAGGTTCAGAAATACACACCATGCTGAGTAGGTTACATAAATGTTACCTGCAGTAGTAGCAGCAGCGGTAGCTCCTTCTCTGCTTCCTCATCTTCTTCCCCTTCTTCTTCCTATTTCTCTTCCTCATCACCTTCTTAGTGCAGTCATTCTGTAACTTGATTACTCTGTGGGACCTGGAAAGAATTTATTCTGAGTTATAAAATTGGGAAGGGATTGAATATTTGGATGAATGACTGACATGGAATAAAGTTCATGCGTCTGCTGCAAAGCAAAATGAATTGGCAAGTATTTCATAGAACTCAAAAGAGAATTATATGGTAGATTACTCCCAATTTGTTCTTGCCTCCCCAGCTCTATTTCTGTACTGACTCTAGTCTTGACTATGTGCCTTGCTTTTGGGATAATACAGATGATTCAGAGGCTGGAAAATTACTTGTGATTAGGATTAACACGTCTAGTTGCTGGGAACCCTTCTGTCCCCATGTGACCAAGCCCAGCCACCCTCTTGGAGAATGAGATGCCAACCATCTAGGCCATCCAGCTGAGGCTACAGACATGAGTGAAGCCATCTCATCTCATTTAGCTGTGGCCAGATCACAGCCCAGATCAGAGTCATGAGAAATAATAAATGTTTGTAGTAAGTCACTAAGTTCTGAGGTGGTTTGTTCTGTACCAGAAATTAACAATATGGTAACCTCTATTATATATTTTTGCTACATGAAATATAGTTCATACTCGGTTCATTTAATGTTCTATCTTTGTTGCATTTTAATCACGTTTCATTGATTTTGCATGAGGAGTGTAGGCTTTATGGTTGAACTATCTGAGTTTAAAGTTTGACCCATCTGTGATCTGCAAGTTAAACATTTTTGGGGGACTTAGTTATTAGTAAGTTAGAAGTGATAAGAAATATTTATAAGGGTGCTCATAGGTTAACTTGGTACTTTTGTTCTCTGACCTTATTTTTCCATATGTAAACTTCTATAAGGTGTTTTACATGTCAGTTCCACTATAAAATAGATTTTTAAGAATAGACTTCAGGCTTGGTGAAGGACTTCCTTCTTGAGCGTTTATCATACAATTTTGCTTCTCATTCCCCAGGGTTGGGATCGTGAATAGCTGTATGATGAATATTTAGCCTGGTTTGTGGTGTGTTGCTAGACACTCGGTGTCGGTTGAATGACTGGAATTGGCAGGAGTTAAGTGGCAGCTCCAGAACTGTGCGCCTTTGGCAAGACCCCCACCCACCCTCCCTCAACGCTCCCCACCTTGCCACTTTTGTGGCTCCTCTTACCCTGCCCTTGGAGCCATCAGGATCACTCTCACTGTGCCTTTATCCCTGTTTATGATACTCATAAAGCCAAAGCCATTGAAGGCATTTGCATTTGTGACCCCTGACCTGAGCCCCATCAAACATAAGAGCTCAGTCACATCTCTCTGCCTCCTTGCACCTTATGGTAAAAGTCAACATCATCTCCCATTTGAAGAACAGGTCTTTGAGATAGAAGGGTGTAAGTAACATCAATCCCAAGTCCATCAGGAGATGCTGATAGGACCCCTAGTAGAAACCAGATTTAAGGGCCTTTGGCCTGGCTGTGATGGTTCAGGAAGATGAATGAACGACGTGGCAAATGCAGCTGACACCGTGCCCTGTGTCCCCTTGACTGGCAGCTGAGTCATTTGTGGCTACCGTGGCTGGTTCCTGTGCACAGTGACAGTGTCCAGTTCTGTGTGTCTCTGCTTTTCTGCCTGTGAGCTTTCTCCAGCTCCATGCAGGGCTGCCCGGAAGCTGGTGATTTAACTTTCCCAGGAGTGACCTCAGCGACTGAGAGACGGAAGTCAGCGGATGAGTGCTCCCACCTTCCTTCCCATCCCTTGCAGGAGCACTTCTGATCGACACGGCAGCTCACAGGGTCCCCAGTGGAACTGAGTTGCAGTCGTCCACGGCAGTAGTTCTTGTGAACATAGCTTTTTGGGCTTTTCTGTCTTTCCTGTCTCATTTTCCCCCATTCCTGCAATTGTATCTCCTGGATCATCCCTTGAATAAACTACCTGTGCTCAAGTCTTTGGTGGCTCAGGGCTTGATTTCAGGGGAATGCAAGCTAGGACGGTGTCTACCTAGCCTCGTTCCAAAGAACTCTTAAGGCAGAAGCAAGAGTGCCACATTCCGTCACATTACAGCGTGCTAAAGACTGGTTTTGTTGGCAGGGCGCGGTGGCTCACGCCTGTAATCCCAGCACTTTGGGAGGCTGAGGTGAGTGGATCATGAGGTGAGGGGTTCGAGACCAGCCTAACCAGCATGGTGAAACCCTGTCTCTACTAAAAATACAAAAATTAGCCGGGCATGGTGGGGCACTCACCTGTAGTCCCAGCTACTCAGGAGGCTGAGGCAGGAGAATCGCGTGAACCTGGGAGGCGGAACTTGCAGTGAGCCGAGGTATACGTGCTCTAAAGAAAATGAAAGAAGGTGATGCAATAGTGGATGCCTAGGGAGGGGGTAAGGACCTTTGCTCTATATTGAAGAGTCAGGAAAAATCCTTCTAGGAGATAACATTTGAGCTGTAAGCCACCTTCCTCCCCTCTCCTTGCCCCTGCCCCATACTCCTATGCCTGAACACATGCCCGTTAGCATCCTCCACTGTAGCACAACGCATACCCCGAGTGTGCATTGATGTGTATTTATCTTATTTGTCCTTAAAACCTCAGCACCTAGCAGGGTACTTGGCACATCGTAGGCACCCAGGAAAGGTTTATTGAATGAATAAGTGAATGAATGATTCAGCTCACCCAAGAGAAAACGTCTAAAGAGACAAGGGCAGTGGGTGAAGCCTGGGGCTTTGGAAAACCCCCATAGGAGGAGATGGGGACAGAAAGGAGGGAGACATGAAGGGGATCTGGGCACTTGTCTTCTGCTGTTCCTGCCCAGTTAGCACATCATTCCGTGCCTGCTTCACTTCCTTCCCTTTACAGTCCCTTTTATATATCTAGAGCTCTGCTATTTAGTATGGTAGCCACTATGTCACATGTTGGCTATTTGAGCACTTGAAATGTTACTAGTTGTAACTGAGATAGGCTGTTAGTCTCAAATATATACCTAATCTCAAAGACTTAGTGCAAAATAGTGTATACAAATCTAATATGTTCATGTCAATTGTGTTAAGATATTTTAGAATATTGAGTTAAATTTCACTTTTCAAACTTTTTGAATGTGGCTACTAGAAAATTTAAAATTAATACTTGACTCACTGTATTAAGATTCTCCAAAGAAACAGAGTCAACAGGATATATTGTATCTATGAGAGGCGATTTATTTATGGAGGCTGAGAAGGCCCACCATTAGGCTGCGTGCAAGCTGGAAACCCTACGATGCCAGGAGCATGGCTCAGTCCAAGTCCAAATGCCTGAGAACCCAGGGGGCTGGGGTTTAAGTCCCAGACTCTAAAGGGTGGAGAGCTGGGAGTTCTGAGGTTCAATGGCAGGAGGAGAAGAGTGCATCCCAGGTCCAGGAGAGAGAAAGACCAGTTTGCCTTTCCTCTGTTTTTGTTCTATCTGGGCCCCTAGCAGATTGCATGGTGCCTGACCACATGGAGAGTGGGTCTTCTTCACTTAGCTCAGACTCACACACCAGTCTCCTCCGGAAACACTCTCGCAGGCACATTCCAAGGTACTTTCTTACTGGTTCTTTTTTTTTTTTTCTTTTTTGAGACAGGGTCTTGCTCTGTTGCCCAGGCTGGAGTGCAGTGGCATGATCATAGCTTGCTGCAGACTTGAACTCCTGGCCTCAAATAATCCACCCACCTCAGCCTCCTGAGTAGCTGGGACTACAGATGTGTACCACCACGTCTGGCTAATTTTTTAGCCAGTTGTTGTTGTCCATGCTGGTCATGACTTTCTGGCTTTGACTCCTGGCCTCAAGTGATCCTCCTACCTCGGGCCTCTCAAAGTGCTGGGTTTACAGGTGTGAGCCACTGTGCCTGGCCTAGGCTTTACTAATTCTGCAGGTATTCCTTAATCCAGTCAAGTTGACCCCTAAAATTACCATTACACTCGTGTTATATTCCTGTTGCCTATCACTGGTCTCTACCCTGTACTAGGTAGATTTGCTTGATGTTAGCTGGTCATTTCTGAAATAAGTGGTACAAAGAAGAGTGAAAGCTATCACCATTTCCTTCTCAACAATATAAAAATTCCAACACATTAAACAATCGAGGTCAGATGTGGGATGAGTAATATACATTTCATAGCCAGAGGGACACATCCAGTGCAAAACATATTTGGGAAATACTGATTTTTAAAAATTTGTAAGTAAATTTTATCACCTTTTTTGGGTGACAACTTTCAATATGAGGGTAAGATACCCTCATAATATTTACATTCAAATTCCTTTTCTCATTTCATTTCTGTGTTCTTCCTACTCTTAGATGTTTCTGCCAGATGATAATTCTAGGACTTCAAGTGTTTTTATTTTTTTATTTTTTTAATGATGCAAAGACACAGGGAATGGTATCCCAGGAGCCGTTCTTGTCCTGGCTTCATGTAAGCAGTAGCAATATGAAGATGCTTAAAGAAGAAAAGCAGACGTTACTTAGATGCTCGGCTTTCATCTACCAATAACATTTTTAAGATTGAGCTCACAGCACCCGAATGTTAAAATTCTTTCACAGATCCCAAATTACAAATGTGCCATGTTGCTTTAATCCATTTTGTTGCAATAGCTTTATTAGATTAAACATCCTGTTGAGCATCTAAAGAACAGTGGGGTTATCACATTTCCCTTTGAAAACCCAGTAAAGACAAAATAAATGGTTAGCAAAACAGAGCAAATTCAGTTTGCAGGTGTTCATAGGCGATGCAACCCCTGATAGAATCTGAGTGTCTCTGTTATTCCTTGCTTGCAAAATGCCTTTTAAGCAGGCTGAAGAAATTCCTTAGAAAAAAGAAATCATGGGGCAAAAGTCGCTTTTCCCTCCTTCTGATGTGTTGCTAATTGCATTGTGCTGACTGCAGACAGTGCGATGGAAATCTGAAAACTTTATTTTGTTAAGCTTTACTTTTGACTACACCCTGGGTGTACCAACAAGTTCTTTATCATCTGTATCTCCTAGAGTGTGGACTCTTAATGATTGATTTTTTTTTCTTGGCAAATCTAATTAACTATTTAAAGTATTTCATCAGTCAGTATTCAGTTACTACACACACTTGGTGGGTGGCTCTTTGAATTCTCTTAAAATCTCGGTTATGTCCCAGCACTCTAAAAATTCTCATCTGCAAGAGCAATTTGAATTTTGTTATTAGAGTTTGCTGGAAATCATAATTCAATAAAGACTGACTCATTTAAAAATGTTTCTTACTGTGCATGTATTAAGTAACTTGGGTAATTTAGGAGACACAGAAAAAACATGCAAATGTTTGGGTCTACACAGGAAATTGGAGTGGTCCTGAACAATTTGAAGGAAGCTTTTTGCTTTTTTTTTTTTTTTTTTAAAGAAACTGCAGCCAGATTAGGATTGTGAATGCATGTGCGTGTGTTTAAATCAATTTCTTTTCTTTTGCTCCTCGAAGATTCTAGCATCTTCCACCAATTCCAAAACACAAGCTGGTGGGTATAAACCCTCTACCAACATTTAAAATCATAATAAACAAGAGCCCCAGCACACGCCTTTGTGTAATCTGGTTGTACAGCCCTCGCTTTTCCCCTTGAATGAAATTGTATCTGTCTCCTGTGGTCTTCTCTTATTCTCTTGTTCCTTTTGTGGACAGAAGATTATTGCTATAGAAAATACGGTCATGCCATAAGGGAATGTACCTTCTGCTCAGAGTTTTTTTTTTTTTTTTAAATCACATCTACAGACTGCAGCTGCCATAGCCTTTGGAGACAAAAAAAAAAATCTGGGTCCTTATGAAACTGTAATTCCTGAACAATGAATTCTTCCTCACAGGCCACTGTACTCTTCCACTGCTGTTTAGCACCGTCTGTCATTAGTCTTCCCTGCGGTTTATTTGCTGCCTAAGTTCACCATTTGACATATGTAGGAATATTTAAACAAAAAAAATTTTTTTTCCCTCTAGAGAAGTTTGTTTCATCTTTGGAAGCACGGGGCTTCCTGCTGACTCCATGGGACCCCTGGCACTCTGCCCTCCTTTTTTCCTGTGAGCTGCTTGTCTGTGCTTACCCCCACCTGCCTCTTCACTTTGTGACTAGCTCCTCTACACTGATTTCCATTTGTCTCCCAAACTGGGTTCAGAAAACACCATCTCCTGCTCATTCCCCACTTCCCTCCTCTATTTCAAAGCTCTTCATCTTTTGCAAAATATCAGCATTAAACTTCCAATTTCTCCTTTCTTTTTTAGTTTCAGTAGCTTTTGTTCTCTCATGGGATGTAATTTGCCTTGCTGTTAAAATTAAACCCAGTAACCAGAGAGATTATAAAGTTTTTCCCCAAACTGGAGGAAAATAAAAACAGATAATTTGCCTTGCTCTTAAAATTAAACCCAGTGCCCAGAGAGATTAAAAGCTTTTCCTTAAATTTTCGGGGAAAATACAAATAGATGTGTTTTGTTTGGGTATGTTGACTTGTCCCCTAAACATTACCAGATACTTGAACTGTAAGAGGGACTCATCTTGATTTGATAGATGGAAGGCTGCAGCCTGCAGATACATTTTAAAAAGACTAGATTATGGTTGATAATTTATCATCTAGAGAGAGAGCTTCTTATCTTTTGAACTTTTTGGTACATATCAGACTAAATCAACCTTGATGTATGATTTTGTAGCTCAACTTAACAAAGATTTTAAAAAATGGATGTTTTTGGAGGCCTGTTGATCTTTCTCTTTTAAGCTTCAAATGCTTGTAAAACCAAACTAGTGATGGCCCTTTAAGGATTCCATGGTATTTCATGTAAGCCTTTTAGAAAGAAGAATTAAACTGAGAAAGATAAGGTTGCTACTTTCTGATTAGAACTGATGTCCACGCTAACATGCAAGCTTCTTGTCAGTTAATATTTTTGTGGGGAAATTTGGGTACCTTTTCTTTTTAGGATAATATAAGGAAAGCAGTTGGTATATTGACATTAAGCCGCACTGGGGAAAGTGGGTCCCTACTCCATACATCTGTTCAATGTTTCTCTTGCCTTTCATTTTCTAAAGTGTTACATATGGAATACATATGTCTTTCTGTTCCAGTACCACAGGAAAAAAAAAAAAAAAAAAAAGGGAAAGAAATAAAAAAGAGAAAAATCACAAAGAAATCAATAAACACCTGTTATTCCCAGATCTGCAGTTATTTGGGCTCAGAAGTGCCCGCAGGCAAAGTTAAAACAAAAATCCCAGTATGTCTGTATGCCTTCATAGATTTCTGTTAGCCTGCATGAGGTTTTTTAAAATTTTATTTTACTTTATATTCATTTCATTTGGTTCCATCGTGTTTTATCCCAGAGTGGACCCTTCACCTTCTGTTTTTTTAACTGCCTTGGATGTGTTCTCTCCAATGTATATTTCAGCTTTCCCTCTACACCATATTTTGTATTCAGCAAAGTGGAGATTTTTTCTTCCCCCCGAGCAGCTCTAGGATGCAGGCTTGCTTATTCCTCATCACTTTCACAGCAGGTTTCCTAAGTTAGATTGCCCCCTGCTGCTTCTGTAACATTAAAAATAGAGCTCAAAATAAGATATGTTTGGGGACCTACCATTTAAAAGTATATATTCAGTGAAATATATTGGAACCTAATCATTTGAAAGCAGGTTCAAATATAAGTAATAATTGGTAGATGGTTTGCCATGTCATATAGAGATTTGAAACGAGAGTGTGGGTGGTGTGTGTGTACACGTTTCTCCTTCCCCTTGAGTTAGTCATGAATTAGAAGGCATTATTTTAAATAATTGAGTCATCTGTGTGCCCTCTTTAGTCTAGTAGAGGCAATGTAGTTCTTATAAATACGTTTTTACCCCATTGTATGGTATACTTTTTCTTAAAATGCTGGGTGTATTACTGTGAACTCTCTAAGAGCAGGGACCATGACTTGTTTGCTTTTATACACTTAGTGTAGTGTCTGATGTATAAAGACACAAACTGTTGATTTCATTAGATCCATTCATTTAATAGAGATAGAAGATGATCACTCAAGTTTAATCCACCAAATGTTTGTTGGTATTAGGATCCGGAAGTGTACGTAATGTAGCTAACATTTCCACAGAATAAATCCTAGCAAAGGTACAGGAAATTTTTAGGGATCCCTAATGTCAGGGTATTCCACATTAGTGGCTTATATTTTTGACTTTTAGAATTTGCTTCTTTTTATTGCTGTTTTCTTCTTTCTCTACTCATATTTCATATACAGACCCGACGTGCTCTCCTTAGTACTCCTCCCCAGCCCCACGTGTATTTCTAGGGTACCGTATTCAATACTTTGGTCGCTGGTACTTGTCTGCCATTCTTTGCTAACCTAGTAAGTAACTTGAGGGCAGGAACCATGTCTGATTCATTTCTGCATCTCCAGCATCATCCCAGAAATGTCCATTTCTATTAAAGAGTTGACATTGAAGTGCAATTCAAGTATTTTCCAAAGAAAATAGGCATCAATGTGAAAGGAGCTAAAATCTATTTGACATGGTGTCTAGTTTGAGAGATGATTCAACTAAAAACAAAGGACAAGAATGGTATAAAATGACTCTGTGGCCAGAGACAAGGGTTGGATAGTAGAATGAAAACATAACATTTAATCATGGTTGGCTGTCCTAATCTCTCTCCCCTTTGCTCACTTGTAACCATCACAGCATCTCTATGTACGTATTCCGGTATTTCTCTCTCCCTCTCCAGCTCCTCCAACCATTGATGCCTGCTGCGTTTGACATTCTGAGTAGCCAGCAGTGACTGAAAGTTTGATTTCAATAGCGATAAGAATGATGAGACTCTTGGGTGGGAGTGAGGGACCCTAGCTCCCTCTCTTACCTGGACACCATTCCAGAGTGTAACCATATTCCAGAGCTTTGACTTCTCTCTCAGTCATGGACTGCAAAGGGTGCATCCCTGGGGCTCGTGCATGGATTTATCAGGATAGTGTGAAGACAGGCTAGACTTCTCATGCTGGTATCAGCTCAGCCAAGAAAAGTTCCCCTTGTGTGGCCCCAGGGCTGTCTTCCACCACCTCTGGTTTTATATATGTGCAATTAGGTTTATAAAAACCACGTTTGATTTTTTAAAAACCCTTTTCTATCTAAATGAAGTGAAGCTTATTAAAAATTCCCTTGGGACTCATCTTTTCTTCCTAGCCAGAAGTAACTAGCATCCTGAATTCTTTTTTCTTATGATATTGCCCCTTAACACACACAAGCACACACACATACACATTGTACGACCATGTTATATATAGGGATGATATATATGTGTTCCTGAAAGCCTCCTTTAATTTTGCTTATCTTGAAACTTTATATGGTATCCTATTTTAGGCACTGTCTTCCAACTTGCTTTTTTCATGGAAATTTATATTTCCAAGATTCATCCATACTGTTGCATATTGCTAACTTCATTATTTTCATTGTTAGAAAGTATTTCATTGAATGAATGTAGCCCAGTTTATTTATCCAGTCCCCTGCTGATGGATGGTGGTGTTGCTTCTACTTTTTGCTATTCCCAACATTGTCACAAGGAATATTCCTGCATATGTGTGAGTGTTTCTTCAGGGCATGTGTCTCACATGAGAAGTTCTGGGTTGTAGGGCATGCACATTTTCAACTTTGCTTGATAATACCAAATTATTTTCTAAAATGGTAGCACCAGTTTACATCCCTACTAGCGCTACATAACAGTTGTCATTGTTCCATGTCCTTGCCAGCCCTGGAAACATCAGAATCCTGAATTTTTGTCTGTCTGGTGATTTAAAATTTTATCTCACTGTGGTTATATTTCCTTGAATACTAGTGAGGTTGAAAATCTTTTCATATGAATATTAGCCATTTGTTTTCTCTTCTGAAAAGGGCCTGTTTATGTCTTCTACCCATTTTTCTACCAACTCATTTGTCTTTTTCTTACCATTTTGTAGAATGTTCTTATATATTCTGAATATTAACTCTGCTAGTTATGTGTGTGCAGATGTTTTTTTCCATTCTGTTGCTTGCCTTTTCATGCTCTTTATGATGTCTTTTGATCAAGAACAGTTATTAATTTTAATAAATTCTTATGTATCAGTCTTTCACTTTCTGGTTTGGATTTTTAGTATCTTGTTTAAAAAAAAAATCCTTCCCTACACTGAACTCATAAAAATAGTCTCCCATATTTTATGAAATGTTTTAAATTCTGAATATTTTAAAGTTGTGCCTTTCCTGGTATATTAGGCCATTCTTGCGTTGCTGTAAAGAAATACCTGAGATTGGACAATTTGTAAAGAAAAGAGGTTTAATTGCCTCATGGTTCTGGAGGCTGTATAGGAAGCATGGATGCTGGCACCTGCTACCCTTCTGGGGAGGCCTCAAGAAACTTATAATCATGGTGGAAGGTGAAGGGGGAACAGGCATGTTGCAAGGGAAAAGCAGGAGTGGGAGAGAGAGGGTGGGGAGATGCCATACACTTTTAAACAACCAGATCTCAAAAAATTGACTCAATCTCACAAGTACAGCACCAAGAGGATGGTGCTAAACCATTAATGAGCAATCCACATCCATGATCCAATCATCTCCCCCCAGGCCCACCTCCAGCGTCAGGGATTACAATTCAACATGAGATTTGGGCGGGGACACAGATCCAAACTATTTCACGTGGTAAAATCTTTAATCATCTTGGGGGTGGTGCCTGTGTATGGTACAAGGTAGGAATCCAAATTCATTTTCCCCCAACATGGACAATCAGTTAACCTAGCACCATTTATTAAATACTCCATCCTTTCTCTACTGGCCTGTAGAACCTGCCCTTTTATCAAGTTTTCATAAATGTGGGATCTGTTTCTAGGCATTCTTTTGGTGTTCACTGGTCTATTTAGTCATTCTTTTCCTTTATTGGGAAGCTGTTATTAGGCAATTTTTGTATGCTCTAGAGCAAGTATGTGTCATTCTTGTTAGCCAAATCCCTATGTCAACCATTCAGTCTCTTGGTATTTCACATCCTTGTTTGTAAGTGTTTTGTTTTGTTTTGTTTTTTGTTTTTTGAGACAGAGTCTCACTCTGTTGCCCAGGCTGGAGTGCAGTGGCACGATCTCAGCTCACTGCAACCTCTGCCTCCTGGGTTCAAGCGATTCTCCTGCCTCAGCCTCCTGAGTAGCTGGGATTACAGGCGCGTACCACCATACCTGGCTAATTTTTTAAAAAAAATTTTTAGTAGAGTCAGGGTTTCATTGTTTTGGCTGATCTCAAACTCTTGACCTCAGGTGATCTGCCTGCCTCAGCCTCCCAAAGTGCTTGGATTACAAGTGTGAGCCACTGTGCCCAGCCCCTTGTTTGTAAGTTTTAAGTGGTTTTGTCATTGTGACTCAGCCTCCTGAACGGGACTGCTAGAACAGTTGGGTTTTGTTCTTTGCTATCCCTATGCAGAAAATAGCATAGACATCATGAATGGTGTTCCCTTCCGTTAATAAGAATTCAGTAGAAACTCATTATAATGCTGGTGAATGAGTAGCACCTGTTCTATTACGGACTTGGTGGGTTATGGTGTGAGAGTTGCTGTGTGTAAATGGGAAGCTTGGTGGCACATGACTTGATTCATTCTAACTGAATCCTTGCAACAGTAAGATACATTGTAAATTTTGTTTGCTTTTACATATATGAACTACTCTAGGAAATAAACTTCAGACTTAATATTTTTGGCAAAGAGTTTCCCAAAAGTGAAATCTTCCATTAAAAGATTAATGTAGTCGGTTTCGGGTGTATTTCTCACTTGAGTTTTAATAGAAGGCATACATTTTATTTTCAATTCTGTAGGAACTTGTATATACACTTGTACTCATTGTAATCGTAGAAAATGGTGACTAAAAGGTGGACACATCTCAAGAGTCTAATGTAACCATAAACTACTCAGTCTTGTGTCTCTAGCTAAGATAATATGAACTGGAATTTTGCTGATACATACAGTACTGTACTGTTAAGTCATGCTGTGTGTGTAGAGGTATACCTATACAGATTTCAATAGATGATGGTGTCCATGAACTCACTGTATATTCTATAAGAATGTATGCACCATATTTTGTGACTTCATGTACCCCTTAACCTATGAATTGAATTATTTTCTCATGCTGAAGAGAGTAGTTTCTTTCAAAGTTAGTTTTGTTCCTGATTTTTAAATATAGTATTATTCTGTTTTATTGCTGTCACAACCAGCCTTATTTTAGACATGACGGTAATTTTTTTTTTTTTTTTTTTGAGAAGGAGTCTCACTCTGTTGCCCAGGCTGGAGTGCAGTGGCGCGATCTTGGCTCACTGCAAGCTCCAGTTCCTGGGTTCATGCCATTCTCCTGCCTCAGCCTCCTGAGTAGCTGGGACTACAGGCGCCCGCCACCACACCCAGCTAATTTTTTTGTATTTTTAGTAGAGACAGGGTTTCACCATGTTAGCCAGGATGGTCTCGATCTCCTGACCTCGTGATCTGCCTGTCTCGGCCTCCCAAAGTGCTGGGGTTACAGGCGTGAGCCACCGCGCCCAGCCGACATGATGGTAATTTTAAGAAAGGTATCATTAAGTGCATGATTTCTGACTTAGGAGCCATCAAAGTGGAAAATGACCAGTTGCTGGGTATCAAGGTATCTGATTTTAATTTCTGGTAGAGGTGCTGCTGTCCTGAACTCCCTTTAATCCTGGGAGAGGTGCTGCAATCCTTTCTCACTTAAATGCATCTCATTGCAATTAAATCTAGCTGAAGTCCTGTTTTGAGTTTCCTTTAAAAGTGAAGGATTGTACCTTATTTGAATAAAACCATCTCTGATTTACTTGAAACTGCAACTGCTAAGTATATATGCTGCTTTTAAAATTCCGAACTTTGCCAAAGGAAAAAATGTAGATGGAGGAAAGAGCCTAGTGAGATGCAAAGGGTCTTCCTCTGAGTTTGCATGGAGCCCAGTCTGAACTGACATTTCCAGTTTCATGTTTGTTGGTGTCCTCATCAAGAAAATACAGATCCAAACTAGTGATCTCAAGCTGTGGTCCCCGAACCAATGGGATCAGTATCACTTGAACTTACTAGAAATTCACATTCTTGGGTCTCAGCCCAATGCTGCTGAATCAGAATCTCTAGGGGTCAGGTTGAGCCATCTGTGCCTTAACAAGTCTTCCTGGTGATTCTGAGGCATGCAAAATTTGAGAACGGATCTCAACTATACCATTAAGTATTTGTATTAGTCCATCCTCACACTGCTGTAAAGATAGATCTGAGACTGGGTAATGTATGAAGGAAAGAGGTTTAATTGACTTGCAGTTCCATGTGGCTGGGGAGGCCTCAGGAAACTTAAAATCTTGGTGGTAGGCAAAGGGGAGGCAAGGCATGTCTTACATGGGTGGCAGGAGAGAGAGAGCAAAGGAGGAAGTGCCACTTTTAAACCATCAGATCTTGTAAGAACTCACTATCATGAGAACAGCATAGGGGAAACTGCCCCCATGATCCAGTCACCTCCCACCAGATCCTTCCCTGACATGTGGGGATTACCATTTGAAATGAGATTTGGGTGGGGACAAAGAGCTAAATGGTATCAGTACCGAACCAAATTTTCCTTTGTAAACACAAATTAGGCACTTCCATAGGCATAACCACTTATCAAGTACTTTTTGCTCTTTTATCATTGGTAAGCAGTGGAAAAAAAGTGTTCCTAGTTTTTATATCATTTTTTAACATTTGCCTTCCTCTAGGAATTTGTTTTTTCCTGGCCAATTTTGTCATTGTTCAGTCTCCTATTGTCTTTAGACATTATAACATTTTATTTTGACTTGATCACTTTGTGACATTTCAATTTTCTATGTGAAGAGGGCCACATTGAGTGCTTTGGAGAACAATGAAGGAGAAAACCTGATCTTTTTCCTTAGGGAGAAAGAGGAAAACCTATTCAGGCAGGCATCAATTCCTTGACCTCAAATTTCTTCTCTACAATTAAAATGAAACAGCATAAACAAAGAAGAGCCATCTGAATTAGGTAAACAAGCTTTTTGAATGAAATAAAGATTCTTTGTATTAACTTTAAAAAGTTGCAGTAAAATATGCATAACAAAATTTACCATCTTAACCATTTAAATGTACAGTTCAGTAGTGTTAAGTATACTCATTTTATTAGGCAACCAATCTTCAGAACTTATTCATCTCATAAAAATGAAACTCCAGGGCTGGCTGTGGTGGCTCACGCCTATAATCCCCGCACTTTGGGAGGCCAAGGTGGGCAGACCACCTGAGGTCAGGAGTTCGAGACTAGCCTTGCTAACATGGTGAAACCCCTTCTGTACTAAAAATACAAAAAATTAGCTGAGCATGGTGGCGTGCGTCTATAATCCCAGCTACTTGGGAGGCTGAGGCAGGAGAATCATTGGAACCCGGGAGGTGGAAGTTTCAGTGGGCTGAGATTGTGCCATTGCACTCCAGCTTGGGCAACAAGAGTGAAACTCCATCTCAAAAAACAAAAACAAAAACAAAAAACAAAAAAACTCATACCCATTAAATGGCAACTCCCCTCCCTCTAGCCCCTGATATCCACCGTTCTGCTTTGTCTCCAAGGATTTGACTCCTCGAGGTACCTCATATAAGTGGAATCATACACTGTTTGTCTTTTTGTGTGTATGTGTGTGATTGCCTGTTTTTTAACTTAGCATTATGTCCTCAAGTTTCTTCTATGTTGGAACATGTGCCAAAATTTCCTTCCTTTTTAAGACTGAACAATATTCCATTTTGTGTATACACCATAATTGGTTTATCTATTCTTCTGTTGATGGACATTTGGGTTGCTTCTACCTTTTGGCTATGGTGAATAATGCAGTTATAAACATGGGTGTATAAATATCTCTTTGAGACCCTGCTTTCATTATTTTGGATACCCAGAAGTGCAATTGCTGAATCATGTGGTAATTCTATTTTTTGAGGAACCTACATATTTTCTATATCAGCTATACCATTTTACATTCCCACCGACAGTGCCCAAGGGTTCCAATTTCTCCATTTCTTTACATCCTTACCAATGTTTCCTGCCCCCGCCTCCAAGACAGGATTTTTCTGTCACCCAGGCTGGAGTGCAGTGGTGCAATCACAGCTCATTGTAGCCTTGAACTCCTGGGTTTAAATGATCCTCCCACCTCGGCTTCTCAAGTAGCTGGGAATACAGGCACACACCACCATACCTGGCTAACATTTTAATTTTTATTTTTGTAGAGATGGGGTCTTGCTATGTTGACCATGCTGGTTTTAAACTTCTGACTTCAAGCAATCTTCCCGCCTTGGCCTCCCAAAGTGTTGGGATTACAGGTGTGAGCCACTGTGCCTGGCTTCTATTTTATTTTTGTTTTATTTTTTGTTTGTTTGTTTGTTTGTTTTTTTCATTGCTGCCATGTTGATGAGAGTGAAGTGATATCTTACTATGGTTTTCATTTGCATTTCCCTAATGATTAGTGATATTGAACATCTTTTCACATGAAGTAAGTTTTAAGCTAAGCTTATAGAAGATCATGGAATTGAACCGATGAAAAGGTATCCCAAAGTAAGCAAAGGGCCATGAGAAAAACAGGGAAAAAGACATATCAATGGGGAGAAAAACAGATCACATTGAAGGAAAGGGGATGGTAAGGTAGTAGAGAGGGGAGTATGTGGCGCCTGTTGATGAGGTCACTCATCACACTGGGTGTTTCCCACACTGAGGCATTTACTACACTATTCATCCTAGGATGCTCCTGAAGAGTTTTGAGCCCTGGTATTATATGATAAATGCTATCAAGGTGTTACTATGGCTGTTGCTAATTGACTCACAGTGGCTAAGGATGGAGCCAAGATAACATTTTCCTAAGACCTGTCACTATCATCCATGTTTGAGGTTTTCAAGGACAGATCAGTGATCTAAAGGAGAGGGTTGCATTATAGTACAGAGTCTTTAGAATGTTGACATAATTTGACAAACTATTAATATCACCCCAGCTTCATATTTGCCTTTTTATCTCCCATAATAGAGTCCTTAAATTCATTTATTGGCAATAACCATATGCATTTTTTAAAAAGTGTATACAAGCCATTAAAAACTATTACAGCAGAGTAGAATGGGTGTGGTAGGCTAAAAAGTGCCCTCCCTCTTAAAAAGATAGCACATCCTAATCCTGGACCCTGTGAATATTACCTTATTTGGAAAAAGGGTCTTCCCAGGTATGGTAATGTCAAGGATTTTAGGATGGGGAGATTATCCTGGATTATCTGGGTAGGCCCTTAATGCAATCACAAGTGTTTTTAGAAGAGACAGAGACAGAGGGAGATTTTACACACACATTGAGAGAAGAAGAGCATGTGAATTTGGAGTGGGGAGAGATTTGAAGATGCTGGCCTGAAAGATTGAAGCAATGCGACCACAAGCCAAGGAATGCTGGCAGCCACCAGGAGGAGCAAGGAATGGATTACCCCCTGGAGACTCTGGAGAGAGACTCTGGAGAGCACATCACTGCCAGCAGTTTGAATTGGGCACAGTGAGACTGATTTCAGACTTTTGGCCTCCAGAACTATGAGGGAATAGCTTTGTTGTTTTAAGCAACCAAGTTTGTGGAAATTTGTTACAGTGACTACAAGAAATCAATACAATGTGTGAGAGCATTGTATCAAGACTTCCTGGATGAATAGGTTGGCACTACCATTTGCTGGCTGTGTGACCATGTACATTTAACTTACCTTTCTGTTCCTCACCTGCAAAATGGGAATAACAATAATAAAACCTGCTTGATATGGGGGTAGTTGTGAGAACTGAAGGGGTTACCTGGCCATGGTAAGCTCATGGTTACCACCACCACCATCACTGTCATGATCATCTCCTTTACCCAGTCAGTCCTCTGCTTGGCAAGATTCAGTCTTTGGTTATCTTCTAATAACCACAGTTCATATTCTTAGAAGCTTTCTACTCTCTTCTTACTCTTTGAGCTCATGGTTTGGCCTCTTGTTAAGGTTTTATGATTTTGGCAAAGTAGATGCCAAGCCCATCTTCAGCACCAGATTGGAGGACATTGCAAAAAATGTAATTATGGCTGATGTCACCCTCTAAGCAACTGAGATTTCTTCTCCTTTTTCTCACCTTTCCTCTTTTCCTTCCACTGCTGCTGCCTCCTACTCCTGCCCCTTTTATTTCTTCTTCCCCTTTGTTATTCTTCTTCCTCCTCCTCCTATCTAAAATCTTTGTAGACCCTTTCCTAACTTAGCATATGTTACAGAGTCAGTTCTTGATTATAAATTCAAAAGGAAGAAGACATTGTGATAATAACCCCAAGTGATAAATGTGGCAACCCCACAGGCTATCTGGCCCTTCAGAACTATAAAATTAATCAGGCAACACATGCGGCCTCTAAATAATTTGAGAATTCAAATTTTGAATAATGGATCTATTCCCTTCTTACTTATCTCTCTCTACTCCTAGGCCTTGGTTTAGCCAAAAAACCAGCGTCTTGTATCTGCTAAGAAGACCATGACTACCAACAGGCCTGCGCTTGCCAAGAGTCACCACCAGCCTCTGACCCCTCAGAAAGCCAACCCCACTAATTTACTGATGCCCTAAGGGGAAGTCGGCCCCAGAAGATAAGAAAAGGACCCTGAGGTCCAGAGAGCTTGGGTTCTAGAATGCCTTTAAATCTTACCTGATGTTAATTTTTCTCCATCACCCCTATGGGAGGTATTCATTCACAGAACAAATGTTGATACTGAATGCCCACCGTATGCTAGGTACATTGTTCCCGATAGGGACCAAGACATAGTCAATACCCTCCAGCCCATGCCTTTCCATCTAGTAGACTATACAGGTGATTGAGGGGGCAGTTAACATACATAAAGCTGAGAATTCCCCTGAGATAGTTCAGGGTGAACATATAGGAGGCTCTTTTCAGTGGCTATGCTTTCACTGCAATTGAAAGTAGGGCTCGCCTCTTGTCTAAAAAAGCTTATCTACTGTGCTCAGTGCTGGATGTTTACCAGATGTCTTTGGAAAGGCTATAATAATATGCTTTCTTAGCTACAGAGTGAATTTCCAAGTATTTACTTGGCTAAAAGTAGCTCGAGAACAGATTTTTCTGCTGTCACTTAGGTGCACACAGGGGAGTTCTCAGAAACTCTGGCGAGGCATGGAAATGGCACATAATGAGGTCGGGATGAAATGTTTCATTGTGGTTGAATTTTAAAAGCATTTTTGCTTAATTTATTAACAAAGCATGAGTTTGTTCAGATCAACAAACATTAGTGAGTTGGAGGAAAACTGCCTTTGTGAAATAGAACATTTTCCTGGAACTCATTTTTTAAGAGAAAAAAGCTGAGTCTTACAAAAGCTGGTGCTGGTAGCTTATCCAGTGGTTATCCTGGGCTCAATGGGTGACTTTGC
Source organism: Homo sapiens (assembly GCF_000001405.40). Classification (NCBI taxonomy): domain Eukaryota; kingdom Metazoa; phylum Chordata; class Mammalia; order Primates; family Hominidae; genus Homo; species Homo sapiens. Next base: position 74,053,654 of record NC_000016.10, on the reverse strand, counting down.
CCTAACTTTTTCCTACAGTAAAACTCAGTTTATTGTAGGAAAAAGAAAATTCTGGACATAAAATTAATGCTGTTGTGGTAGTTGGCAAGGTTGTGAACAGTCAGGAAACCACAGGATGACAGTTAAGGAACTTTCTTTTTGTGGCTGACACATCTCAAATACGTTATACTTATTATCCATCCCCTGAATTCATGGCACCTGAGCAACCTGAAGATTTAATACCATTGTCAACCTGGTAAGATTTCAGAGTCACATGTTCAGTTTTCAACAGAAGGAAAAACACCTATCCTCTAAATAGAGAATGCTTTCAGTTTAGAGCATTAAATAAATTCTCTTACTGACTTCTAAATCTTTTTGATTAAAAGACCCTGATAGTAAATTAAAATAGATTTAAGGGGCCGGGCACGGTGGCTCATGCCTGTAATCCCAGCACTTTGGGAGGCCAAGGCAGGCGGATCATGAGGTCAGGAGATCAAGACCATCTTGGCCAACATAATGAAACCTTGTCTCTACTAAAGATACAAAAGTTAGCTGGGCGTGGTGGCACATACTTGTAGCCCAGCTACTTGGGAGGCAGAGGCAGGAGAATCACTTGAACCGGGGAGGTGGAAGTTGCAGTGAGCCGAGATGGCGCCACTACACTCTAGCCTGGTGACAGAGCGAGACTCCATCTAAAAAAAAAAAAAAAATAAATAAATAAAAAAAATAAAATGGATTTAAGGGATGCTTGAAAAGCTGGATCTTAGGACCAAGAGGCATATTTGGATGATTTTCTTTTCTTTTCTTTTCGAGACAGGTCCTACTGTCACCCAGGCTGGAGTGCAGTGGTGCAATCATGACTCACTGCAGCCTCAACCTCCCCGGCTCAAGTGATCCTCCCCACTCAGCCTCTCAAGTAGCTGGGACTGCAGGTGCACGTCACCATGCCCAGCTAATTCTTAAGTGTTTTGTAGAGATTGTGTCTTCCTGTGTTATCCAGGCTGGTCTCAAACTCCTTGGCCTCCCAAAGTGCTGGAATGATAGGCGTGAGCCACCTGGCCTGGCTGCATAATTTTCAAATAAGTGGAAACATTATTCTGGGCTTGTTTTGTTACTGGTGATTATGGCCTGCTTTGTCCAAATTTCCTACCTTACTCATTAGGGATTTCACTCTTTATTCCCACTCTGTGATGGTTTTTTTTTTTTTTTTTTTTTTTTTTTTTTTTTTTTTAAAACCCTGAACATTTTGGGCTATAGCCTCTTCATAAAGATGATGCCCTTCAAGGTAAACCTGTGTGTAGCCAGAGGCAGAAAAAATTCCTAGCTAGATTGTTGTAGGATCCAGAAAACCCATCTCCCCAAATAGCTCTATTTTGCCCATAACATTTGCTACTATTGCCTACATTTTTTAGTGAGTCATTCCTCTTAGCAAACCCCATTAGAAAAAATGCAAGTAGCTGTCACTCACTCACGCCCTGATGCAAATCATCTTGTGGTTCCTTCCCAGTTCAGAATTGAGCTTTGAAAGAATGGAATTTAAATCTGGAATAAGAGAGAGAAGTATGGTTTTGGAGTAGAAACTCTCTGTAAAGGAGATTAGGCTGTGCTTAGAGTATAATTTGGAATTTCAGAAAGGGAAGGTAGGAAGACATATTCCAGTGACTTCATGGTTCGGTAGTTTAACCTCATGGTGGTGACCTACCATGTTGAGATTCTCACAGTGTGATGGTAAAATCTCCCACTGGACCATAAACTCTGCAAAGACAAAGTCTGTTCATTCACTGGTGTTTGCCAAGCAACTAGTACCATGCTCAGCACATAGTATGTGCTCAATAAAGATGTTTTGCTCTGTACTACCACAGCCATTTTTTCAGTTAATTTCTAAAATGTTCTTTTTTTTTTCCTGTAACATTCAAATGTTTTTAACTATGGTTCACTATAACCAGATATAAGTAGTTGGCGTCCTCTCCCCCGTTACTTAAAATATCCTCAGATGTTCTAGCAACTAAACAAGCTTATTACAGTAATCAATCAATCATTTATTTATCGACCATGTATTCTGTGCCCAGGATTTTTTTTTTTCTGGAAGAAGAAAAAGGCCAATCTGTTAATCCATATTTTACTTTTATACGTATCAAAACCTAAGGCAAGCAATTAGGACTTTTACATTTGAGGATGCAAATATGCATGATGAATAATAACCATCATTTTAATCTTTCAGATTTCATTTTATGGTTACATTATGACCATTTGTCTGATGTATTTAATTTTGTAAATTTCTGTTAGATGAAAAATGGAAACTATTGATTTAACATCAGAAAAATGTATCGCAGTTCATATAAAAAAGCTGCATCTAATTTTGTTAATAAACTATAAATGGTAGACATATAGTTTAGATTTTCAAAGCACCAGGAATCCATGTTTCTGTAACATTAATTATGTAGTTTTTAGTTTGGGCAGCAACATAATTCTACAGTGTGATATTGCTACTTTGTTTTTCAAAATAGGCCTAAAATTAATATTATATGAAAAATGTACCCTGGTGAGGTGTGCCTTAAGGAAGGAGGATGTAATGTTTGCTTTGCAGAAGTAACTCTTACAGAGATTTGCAGCCTAGACATTCTGGTCATCATTACCTTCCTCAGCCAGGACACAATGATTTTATTTCTGTCAGCTGACACACATTTGTCATTACCTATCATGAATTCAAACACAGTTTGTACTCCTTCACTGTCTCTGGAGTAGTAGTCAAGTTTTGTAGTTAACTCTGGAAGCTTCTGGCCTTCATTGGAATCTTAGTTTCTGCACTTATTAGCTGTGTCATCTTTGCTCTGTCATTCTGTGTCTGTTTTCTCATCTATAAAATGGGAATAACTGCATCAACTCGTAGGGCTTGAAGGAATAAATAAGTTAATGTAAATAAATAACTGCTTAGAATCATGACAAGAACATAGTAGGTGCTCAATAAATTTTGATTAGAATTTCTATGCATAGATGATGAATATTCTTGTCTTGAGAACTTTTAGCTCCAATGACATGGTAATAGTAGAGTACTGTAATGAACAAGATTAGTGCATGACCAAAATGTAAATGAGCTGGATGGGCGGAGTCGCTCACGCCTGTAATCTCAGCACTTTGGGAGGCTGAGGTGGGCGGATCACCTGAGGTCAGGAGTTTGAGACCAGCCTGGCCAACATGGTGAAACACCATCTCTACTAAAAACACAAAAATTAGCTGAGTGTGGTGGCACACCACTGTAATCCCAGCCACTTGGGAGCCTGAGGTGGGAGAATTGCTTGAACTTGGGAGGCAGAGGTTGCAGTGAGCCGAGATTGTGTCATTGCACTCCAGCCTGGGCAACAGAGTGAGACTGTCTCAGACAAACAAACAAGCAAAACTTGAGCTATGTATGTGTCTGGCAATTCATGTCTTGGAAGAGTCTTACTTTAGCCTCATAAGGTGAGGTTAGACTAAGCACAAAAAAGCTTGAAGTTGAGAGGGGGCAGGGGCCTCTAAGTTGAGGAGTGCCGAGTTGAGGTAAGTAAGCTGGGGCTAATCTTCAATGCATGATAAAGAGTTTAGCCCTGTCCTGAGAGCAGAAGGGGAGGCCCCTGAAGGATTTTAAGTTGGAGAGTGATCTGCTGAGATTTTTTTTTTTTTTTTTGCAACACCACTGTGCGGTATAGAAAATGGATTGGAGGGGCCTTGACAGGTACAGGAAGTGACTTAAGAGGCTGTGAAGAGGCAAGGGTGATCAACCAGTAGATAAAGAAAATATGGAATGTATATACCGTAGAATACTACTCAGCCATAAAAAGAACGAAATGTGTGTTACAGAAACTTGAATGGAGCTGGAGGCCATTATTCTAGGTAAAGTAACGCAGGAATGGAAAACCAAACACTGTATGTTCTCACTTATAAGTGGGAGCTAAGCTATGAGGACGCAAAAACAGAGAGATATAATGGACTTTGGGGACTTGGCAGGGGCCAGAGGGGGCAAGCTGGGGGGTGGTAGGGGATAAAAGACTACATATTGGGTACAGTGTACCTGCTTGGGTGACGAGTGCACAAACATTTCAGAATTCACCACTAAATAACTCATCCATTTTACAAAAACCACCTGTATCCCAAAAACAATTGAAATAATAATAAAAGGGTCAAGGGTGATGGTGACCAGATTGCCCCAGGTTAGCATGCTGGTGGGGATAGGGAAGTGACAGATTTGAAACCCACTAAGCAGGTAGAATCAGTAGCAACTAGTGGTTGTTGAGATGTGGTGGGCGAGAGAGGTGAGTGCTGGACCTGACGGCCAGGTTGCTGGCAGTGGCTGACCAGGACACTGCCTCACTCCCTGACAGGTGCTTCGTATTGAGGGGGACCACAGGCTTACAGGAGTAATGTCAGATAAGCTGTTGTCTGGAACAAGACAGCATCCCAGGTAAGACTGAAGTACTTAGTCACAGGCTGCAGGACAGGAGGGTGTGTAGAAGCAACAGGTGTGTGCTGTTAAAAATAGAAGATGAAGGCAAATCTGGGGCCAGAGTCCAGGAGAGCATAGGACGTTGCCCCCACACTGATGGGGTTCTGTGCAGCACTAGGCAGCCTTCTAATTTAAAAAAACCCTAGTATGATACTTTTCTAGTAGTGTTGTCCCCAGAAAAGCTCCTCTAGGCTTTAAATGCCCTGGGCAATGCCAAATTTCTGTTGAGGCCAGGCGCAGTGGCTCACACCTATAATCCCAACACCTTGGGAGGCTGAAGTGGGAGGATCACTTGAGTCCAGGAATTTGAGATTAGCCTAGGCAACATGAGGAAACTCTATCTCTACAAAAAAAAAAAAATACAAAAATTAGCTGCCATGGTGGCGTGCATCTGTAGTCCCAGCTACTCGGGAGGCTGAAGCAGGAGGATCACTGGAGTCCAGGAAATTGAGGCTGCAGTGAGTCGTGTTGGTGCCACTGGACTCCAGTTTGAGCGACAGAGCAAGACCCTGTCTCAAAAAAATCTCTGACACTCCTTTTATCTGCCCTGGAATGTTGGTATTAGCAGTTAGGGTAGTGGCTCTATCCCCAAGGAAAATTGGACCTCACCCTTGAATGTGAGATTTTCTTGGGCTGATACTTCCAGGTTTCAAAGATGTTCATGAGCATCTCTTCCCTCTGCAGCAGTGGACCCTGAGGAGCTAAAGTGGAGAGTGCTTAATTCTTCCTGTTTGTCCACATCCCATTTTTGACACATCCAATCCTCAACACGTGAAGGTTTCTTTTAAATCATTCTGCTAGATTTAAAGGTGCATTTTTAGCTAGGCTTTTCTATGAGCTTGACTCTGGAGATGAGTTAGGTTGAATTCAGCTAATTGATACATTCATCTTCTAATTTCACAAAGTTCAAGTTTTATGAACCACTGCAAATCCTCTACGAGAAAGCAGAAATCTGAATGCAATGTGAGTTGCAGCACTGGTGGGTAGGAATTAAAAAATTAATGTTGTTCAGAAATTAGCGATCTAATATTTCATGAGCCAGCTAGGAATGGTAGAATTGTTCATTTGTGTGAATGAAGTGAGTTTTTTTTTTCAGTTTGCTTAATATTAGAAATTAAAGAAGAGGAAGATTCAAAGCATTTCAAAATATTGGAAACCTTCTTAAGGTGATCATTATAGCAAGCCTCCCTGAAAGTAAACAGCTCTCTCTTCTTCAGTAGACAAACTATGATGGTGAGAATGAAATTAGCACTCAAAGTATTAAAATATTGATGGCAATCATTCCATATCCAGGCGTTTCCAATTAATAATTAATTTTACCTTGAAGGTAACTGTAAGAGTCAGACTTTTTTTTTCATGCTTTTTCACTAGGCAAGGATGTTCGACTTTTTTTCACCTTCAATATTATCAGCTCTCCAGCAAATACCTCATATTTTTATGCAGTTAGTAGCTAGAATTTCCTTTGTGTGTCTTCATAAAATGAAAAAAAAATTGTCGTGAATGGTTTAGAAAAGGTGTGAGTTGGTCATGTCCTACTGATTTATGCGTGGCTTGAATGAATTCTTACTGTGTCATTGCCTGCTCAGTACTTCTCATGGGGTATACCTGTTGTTTTAAAAAGTTTTCCAGGGCCATGTCCAAAACTAGGGTAGTAATCTTTATCTTCTGCCCACCCACGATTACAAAAAGGTTGTACGTTGTTACAAAAATGGATGTTTTCTCACTGAAGTAGGAAATATCCTTCCTTTTTATGGCTTTTATTTAGGTAAGATAAATTTGTTCTGAACTTCTCACAATATCGTGATTGAACAGCTTTCTTCCTACAGGGGTATTTTGAAATTAAAAGATATTATGCTGTCTGGCTTGCCCTAAACATTGGTAGTAAAATTGTGTCCTAATTTGTTTTCTACATCCAATAGTTACCTATTCAGAAGTCCGTTGAAATGAACATTATGTCGCATTTTTACTTTGATAGATAAAAAGTTGCTAAGACATTTGCTCATTCACTCAACAACTATTTGCTAAATGCCTGGTTTGTGCCAAACCCTGTTCTTGAAAAAAAGTAGGCTTAAGGCAACCTTGTGCCATACTAAGATGGTTTTTATAGAATATTCCTATTTTTCACTTTGTAAAATGGGACAATATATTAATCAAAATGTTTCCACTTCTACAAATTTGTCATCTCTTCCAATTAAAAGCTTAGGCTTAATTGTTTTGAGTAAGTCATATTTCATCTTAGAGTCATCCTTGACTTCAGGTTTTGAAAATGTTTTGATTTAAAATCCTGGCTTATGTACAATTACAGGAATTCTAATTTTCCTAAATTACCCCATTCAAATGTTTGAAAACAGCACGTAGAACAGTGCCTGGCACACACATTTGTTGAATGCTGGGTGTGCCATAGTCCCAGACGCAAGAATCCAGCAGTTTCGTTCCTGCTGTCCTTGGCCATCTGTTTGCTCTGTGGGCCTTTGTTTCAGTCTTGGTGCTTTGGCTCCAATTTGACCCAGACCATTCAATCTGCTTGTTACTGTCTAGCCCACAATGAGCAGTTTTAAGAGTAGTAATTGCAAGATAAATATAAGACTTGAAAGCGTTGACTAGTTTGAATAGGAAGGAACAGAAGGCAGTATTTTTGGGTGACCGTATTTGTGAATAAAAGTGAGGCTATTGGTAAGGCTGCATGAGCAGCCTCATTTATTATAAATATGCTTTATGTGGCTTACGATGTTTTTAGCAAGTCCTACTTGACTGATGCAATGGCATATGTGGTGAGACCCCTGCTAGTGAGCTAGATGCTTATGGTTTTGGGTAGTTGCACGTGAGATTCCTATGGTCATGCCAGTAATTTAATTTCTACAATTTTAAGGTCAATAGATAGTGTCACTTGTGAAATATAAGTGAGCCAGAATTTAAAATGGTGTTCAGATAGATCTTATTTCACTCTTTATAGTTACTCACGGAGAGAGAGCATGTACCTGTGAAAATAAAGATGTACCAGTAAAGAATAATATTGATCATTTTTTCAGATTAGGTAGAAAGCTCACTTATAGGTTATTTGTATCGGTCACAGCAGAGTTCCTGATGTAAGCTGGCTAACGCTGTAATGTTTTATATTCAACCTTTCAAAACCTTGTTAATTATGCATAAGATAATACTCTCCAACAACATCAAGAGTAGACAAATGAAATCATTAGTTTTATATTCCAGGGCCTCATGCACATCTATTATAGCTATGCATTTGAATGCCTCCATCCCCATTTCTCAAAATCACTTTTTCATACATTATAATGTGATATCATAAATGAATATGAACCAGTATTATATAGTGAATGAAATTGTACAAAAGGCCCTTAGCTTTTGAAAATGATAAACGTAGCTCGTTGACATGGAAGGGACAATTTCCTGACAGCCTAAGACAACGGAAGGAGAGGTGTTGATCAACCATTTACCACTGTCTTTATTTCATTAAATAGGGCCTCTGACAGATGTCATCACTCTAACATGCTTAACATGCTACCATGGCAATGACAGTGTAGATAGAGGTGGGTCTTAGCTTAGTTAGTACCCTCTAGGAATATGAGGTTTAGCTGGAGAAAGGTACTGTTGCTTCCTATGGCTTCCTACAAAGCAGGCCTGGTTATGATGGGATATCCAGGGTGTATCTGCATATTCCTTTAAGTTGGAAGCATTCTAGAGAAGTATTTTGAGAGGTAAGAGAAGAAATGTACAGTGTCCATTTAAAATGACTTAGTAAAATGATATGATTTGCCAAAATGCACATTATTGTAATTTAGCCATGATAGGTGGCCAATTGAATGTTCCCAGAAATGTAATTGTCTACATGCTATTTGCAAGGCCTTTTTTGATAGAGCTTGCAAAATGTCCCTTTTTCTTTCAAAATCCATTTGGTTAGAAATGCATCCATTACTGATAAATGATGGTTCTTTTTTTGGCTACTGTAAATACAGGTAACAGGTAATTTCTAATAATGTAGGGTTTTTTTTTTCCTATTTTTGTAGCTGTGGAAATTATTTCAAAATATACTACGTATTATCTTAAAATTTACTCTAAACTGTATATTTGCTTAAAAGAAAAGGGAAGTATAATCTGAGAAAGACAACCATATCCAAATAGAATATAGTTCTAGGCATAAATTTTATAGGCACAATTTCCAAACATGATTGGAAATACTAAGTCTTCATTATTAAAAGCTGATTAGTATGTTTCAAACTTCACTTTGCTAATGCCACCTGGAAGCAATCAAGATACAAAAATAGGATCATATCTATTATAAAAATGATACATACTGGAAAAAGCCATGATGTATGCATTGGCAGATACATAATGGTATTTTTGTTATGAGGTCCTAGAATATAAATCATGAACCAAAATTATAGAAAGGAGTTTTCTCTATCTTGTCTGTGAAGTCTGCTATTTGTAGTAAGTGCTAAATATATTTTGTCATTGAAATATTTTTTATTGGAAAATAATTGCCTATACAAATAAAAGAATAATTTTTGTAAGTTCTGAGTTATAGGACTTGGGATAGTCCTATAACTAGGATCCCATGCTTTTCCTGTGTGTAGATATCTAATATCTCCAGGACATACAACGGGTGATATTTCTTACTTACTCTTGTCTCTGCTAGCTCTTTGACCTAGATATATTATTGAAAGCTCTCTTTGCCTTGATTATCTGATCTACAAAATAAAGCAAAAGTAGTATTTCCCTCATTTTTATAACAATTTCAACATTTTTATAACAATTTCAATCATTGTTATAAAGATTAAATGACTTAATACATGTTACCTAGTAAAGGGATTAAAATGATATATGGTCCTGCTTATTCTAAATTATGCCATATTAGTAAACTCCTTAATAATTAAAAATACATGCATTTTTTCAATTATAAAAATATTTTCATTCAAGAATTTTAAAAAATACAGAAAGATATAAAAAAAATAGAAATCATTCAGCACTACCCACAGAGATAATCACTATTAGCATTCTCTTGTAAGTCATTTCTCTGCTAGCATCTCTACTTTCTTGTTAGCATTTGCCTAACACACCTTTCCTTATCACCCTATTTTTTATCTTTCAGGCTATGCCATGGAATCTCTCGAGTAAACATCATATAACTGTACTTTAATTCTGATGCAGTTTGAGAGTCTCTGTCTTCTAAAAAGACAATTTAAGTCATTTGCATTTATTTTGATAATTGTACCTAAATTTTTTTTATCTTACTAAGTAGTAATGCTTCCAGGTGGCATTAGCAAAGTGAAGCTTGAAACGTATTATTCAGCTTTTAATAATGAAGACTTAGGGTATTTCTAATCATGTTTTGAAATTGTGCCTAGAAAATGCATGCCTAGAACTACAGTCTATTTGGATATGGTTGTCTTTCTCAGATCTTACTACTAGTGAAATATTAGAAAACAGAAAAGTGCTTTTTATTTACTATGTTTTACTCTTTATTTACTATTTTTTACTATTTAGTATTTATTTACTATTTTTTACTATTTATATTGTTTCTTTGCTTTTTTCCCCTCTCCTTCCCTGCCTTTAGTTGAATTGTTTCTCTCTTGCATATTTTCTCCCCTTTACTGAATTTTAAATTTGCATTCTATTTCAATTGTTTCAGTATTTACTCTAAAATATTTAAGATGCATACTTAAATTTTGATTTTCATAACAAAGTAGAGAGTTGAAAATTTTATCTGCTCTTAAATAGGACAAGAGTCCTAGAAGCTAACACTCACTCTCCACATCTCACATTATCAAGAATTCCATTGCGATTTGAAATTCTCCCAAATTAGTTAATGGCTTAGATTTACCAACACATTTTACCAGTTTCTTTTCTTCTGATCATTTCTTATACCCTGTTCCTTCCTGTGGTATTCATTTTCCTTTTGGTTGGTTACATCCTTTAGTAGTTCTTTCAGAGGGGGTCTGTACTTAGTGAGCTTTTAGTTTTTATACCTTCGAAAGTCTTTTGTTTTAACTCTTAGATGATTGTTTAGCTGGGTGTGCCATTCTAGGTTATGTTATTTTTACTTGGTACTTTGAGGTTACTATTGTCTTTGTGTTCCTATTGTTGCTGCTGGTAAGACTCCTGTTGGTCTGATTTTTGTTCCTTAGAAGATAATCTTTTTCCTATTATAGCTTTCACAATTATTTCTTCCTTTTTCTTGGTGTTGTGTAGTTTCACTACAGTGTTTGTTTTGGCTTTGTCTTATTTAGTATGAGAGTTGATGAATTCTTTCAATATGAGGATTTATATCTTTAGTTCTGGAGAATTTTAATATTTATCCCTTTCTTCATTCTCTTTAGACTCCTTTTCTCAGATGACTCATATGTTGGACTTTTCATTCTCTTCTCTCCATCTAAATTTCTCTTATGTTTTCCATATTTTAACTTCCTGTGATACATTATAGGTTATTTCCTTAGATGTATCTTCCAGTTTATTAAATTTTTTCCTCTACATATTGCATGCTTAATATATCATTGTTTTATCTTTTAGTGATAGGGTTTTAATTCCACAATTCTTTGTCAAATTTTCTATTTTTTATAACATTTTGTCTCCACTATATGTAATCTTTTATCTTTTTCATCTTCTTGATGGTTATAAACATTTATTTTAAAGTTATTTTTAGGCTGTTTTATTATCACAGGTTATTTGGGTATAACCTTTTGTTGCCTTTACAAACTCTCACGGTATTGGATTTCTTTGCAATGTTTTCATTTGGGTTCAGTAGTAGTTATATATTTATAGGTTATGTGCTGACTTGTGGGAGGAATCCTTGTGGGGCAGTTATGTTCTTTACTCTGCCATGGATGTATTGGTTTCCCAGCTTTGGGCCAATTTTTACGTTAATGGGTTTGGGGTTTCCTTGTGGCTCAAAATTTGCCCTGTACTTGCAAGCCTCGCAGGGTAGGGAGTTTCAAATTGTTGTAGTTGACTCTGCTTCCTTAAAATAACTCTCGTGTTTAGGATAATGGGAAGAGGCTTTCCAGTTACAGTGGCCACCTTGTCTTGCTTCAGGGAGGAAGCCCAGGATTTGCCATCTTTTTATTTTTTATTTTTATTTCTTTTCTTTTTTTGTTTTTTGAGACGGAGTCTCGCTCTGTCGCCCAGGCTGGAGTGCAGTGGCGCCATCTCGGCTCACTGCAAGCTCCGCCTCCCGGGTTCACACCATTCTCCTGCCTCAGCCTCCCTAGTAGCTGGGACTACAGCCGCCCGCCACCACGCCCGGCTAATTTTGTATTTTTAGTAGAGACGGGGTTTCACCGTGTTAGCCAGGATGGTCTCGATCTCCTGACCTCGTGATCTGCCCGCCTCGGCCTCCCAGAGTGCTGGGATTACAGGCGTGAGCTGCAGCGCCTGGCCAGGGTTTGTCATCTTGATTTTCCGTGTCTATGCTAAAATCTGCCTCCACTACTTCTTCTGAAGGACACAAAGGCTTATTTTTGTGGCCCCTATAAATGTATTTTTCTTATTTTCGAGTCCAGCTATGGGCTTTGAAAATCTTCCTTAAATTTTATTTAGGCTTTCTAGATGTGTTTAAAGGGGGAAGAGAGACTTTATACCTCACCTCAATCTGCTATCTTGGCTAGAAGAGCCTCCCATTTTTTTATCGTGTTATTTTCTTTTCGTTAGATTTGGATTCTACTATATATGTTATTTTTTCACTTTAAGAATTTACTATGAGCCTTTTATTATTAATCAAAACCATAACTTTTTAGTAGTTATTTTCCACAGAATGGATGTATCATTTATCTAGGCAATCTGATTGTTGTATATTGAGTTGTTTCCATTTTTTTGCTATTATAAATAATGCTTTTGTGAACATCTTTATATATCTTTGTGAGCATTTCTGCTAGGGCTATCTTCTTGGAAGTGAAAAAAAATACCATATAACAGGATAGGATCTCCATAACTTGAATGACTGAAACAGTAATAGTGTGAAATGGATATGTCATGTGAATTCCAAACATTAAGAAATGATAGGTAAAAAGAGGATGGAAGTGCAACGAATTAGAACTTTATACATTGCAAGCTTCATATCTCTTTTCATTTAGTTCATTCATACAAGTATTAGACATTATGTCAAGTATAATAATGAATGGATGAGGGGATCATTAATAAGTCATGCTTACTGTTCTTTGGAATAGTAAAGGTGAACTCTCAATGAAGATAAATAGAACTACAAATAAAAAGGCAGACATAAATAAATATCTACTAAAGGTAACAAGAAAGTGGTATGAGATCTGAAAGAAGGATCTACTCAAATTGGAGATGGGACGATATCTATCAAATGACGATTAACTCTTAAAATGACAAAAAAAAAAAAAAAGCTCAGGCAACACATGAACACATACATGGTTATAGGAGAAATAATTGCCTCTGTTAATAATTTTGTGAGTATGGTTATCTCAACAAGAATTTCCTTGTAGAAGTGGATGGCCTTTTACCAGGGCTCACTCCCAGTCCAAATGGTTTGTCACCACGTGAACAGCCAGAGCAACACTACTAAGGTTGTTCTCTAGCTTCCTGACAGCAGCCTCACCCCAACAGTCATCCCCTCCTTTCTTCTTCCCACCAGAAAATGCAGTTCTTCCGGTTTTCTAACATCTTCCTACGCATGGCTCTATGCTTCAGAGGATGCTAGGCCCATCCCCTGCTAGGGGGTCCCAGTGAATCCAAGTCAATCACAGAGCATTCCTCTTGCTCATGACTGTTCTAGACAGAGACACGTGATGTAATTGAGGCAGGAGGAAAATCTTGCTGAAAAAATTGTGCTGTGAATTGAATGCTGTACCCCCACCAAAAAGAGATACATTGAAGTTTCTTGAGGGGTTTCTTGAAAAGGTTTCTTCACTGTTAGAGGAGGGGAAAGATAGGAGGTCCTTTATTCACTGGCCATTGTTGGGTCTGGATGCTGTGTTTGAAACCATTGTAGTCATCTTGTGATCAGTCTTGGGCTAATGTCAACACATGGGAGAAGGCAACCTTAAGAGGAAGAGGAGGAACTTGAAGGCTGCCCTGCCTAAAACACTGTGATAATAAATGCCCATATGGTTTGAATTATGTTTTCTATTACCCAAAGCCAAAATTTTCCTAACTGATGCAGAAGGTAAGCTGGGGAGGCTTCAGAGTTGTACCCTAGGATTCCACTGTGGCCTCAGGACAATGGCTGAAGCCTACTAAGGTGTCTCATGCAGAGGTGCAAAAAAGATTCTAGCTGACTTGGGCTGCTTTTCTGTCTATTGCCTTTGGACAGCCAGTGGAATAAGTGGATATTTGCATTCTTGTATCACAATCTCTTTCCAGTCCTCCCTTCTCAGCCTAAACATAGAGTTCCCAGCTGATTTTCCACAGGGTTCCCAGCTGATTTTTGAATGACCTAAACCAAGAAGACTATTGCTAGCACACAATACTAATCCATATATTTCTTATTCAATTCCTTTGCCATGAAAATTAGGGGAAAAACACAATAAAAATCACTTGAGGCCAAATATAATGAAAAGCAAAAACTTTGTTTTCAAATGTGAAGTGATGGCTTTTATCCTTTGCTGTTTTTCTGTGAAATTTTCCCTTGTGTCTTTGCTGTGTCTTGCTCCTCACTTACTTTTAAACTTCAAAAAATTTATTTCCTCAGCTACTCGGGAGACTGAGGCACGAGAATCGCTTGAACCTGGGAGGCAGAGGTTGCAGTGAGCCAAGGTCATGCCAATGCGCTCCAGCCTGGGCGACAGAGCAAGACTCTGTCTCAAAAAAAAAAAAAAAAAAAAATCCAAATAACACCTATTTCTCCTGCCAAAAAGTCATAATATATTAGGTTAAGCTGATTTTAGAACTTTAAATTTATAATTGGAGATGCATGTCCGTTGCAGTTTGAGGTCATCTGTAGCAAGTGACTGATTTTTCTAGTTTTTTTTTTTTTAATTCCCATATTGAAAGAATTCCAATTCATAATAAGTAGTTGCAGATTGAAGGATCTTGTTTGCTTATGCAGCTTGCTTTGCAATCTTTCATTTCTTATCCTAAATAAGAATGAAAAAAACCTTCATTCAATGTCTGCAGAAAAGCAAGCTAATTGGGTTGTAAACTCTAATGTATTAAAAGTTTCAAAAATGTTAAGACTGACCTATAATCTTGAGTATGCATGTTTTAAAACATCCATCTCCGAAATAAGCACTATTTAAAGGAAGACATTAAAATAAGAGTTTTTGTAATTCCAGAGATACCCCTGCACAGCCTGAATTTGAAGACCATTGCTTTCTGAAAGTCATTTTTGCAACACTTCTCACACCACATAGCAATTATTTGATAACCTTTCAGTCTCTCTTGAATTGCCGGGATTGTGTCTCATTTATGTCTGTATCTCTGGTGCTGAAATTTAGATTTAGGCACTCGGTTTTATTTTTACATGGCTGCCCCATCTTTAGAACAACAGAGTTTCCCAAGGCAATCTTCCTCCACATTGCATCTACCAAATGAATTTGTATCAGATTCCAGGAAATATTTCTCGGCTCATTCTGATCATTTCAGTTTATAAAAGACTAAGCTAAGGGTGGGTCTTAAGATCTAATAGTATATATATTCATATCCATTTATGGTAATTTTGATTCTCTTAATGCAGGAGATTAATAGATACTCATTGTGGAAATTTAGAAAGTATAGAAAAGTACAAAGAAAATCATCACTGTGAAAAGTTTGCATTTCCTTTCAGTCTTTCTTCTCCGTGTATATTATATAAATGACTTGTAAATCCTGCTTTTTTCCCCTAACACATTGTGGGCAGTTTTTTTTTTTTTTTTTTGCCATGACAAAGTTTTATATCTAATTTATTTTTAGAGATGAGGTCTTTCTGTGTCATGCACGCTAAAGTGCAGTGGTGCTATCATAGCTCACTGTGCTTCCAACTCCTGGGCTCAATCTCTCCTCTTGCCTCAGTCTCCCAAGTCACAGGAATTAAAGGAGTGAACCACTGCACCTGGAGCAAAAAGTTTTAGTAAACCCAATTTTATTTGCTTTGTGAACGATTCCATCTTATGAAAGTACTATTGTTTATGTAACCCATTGTTAGCCATGTAGTTTCTAATTTGCTTTTATAGACTATGCATTACTAATACTATGATGCTTTTGCATATGATACGTCAACTGTGCAAAGATTTATTTAGGGTAAATTCCTTAAGAAATACTAGGTTAAAGGAACAAACATTTTCAAGGTCCTTGATATATTTTTGCTTTAGATAAATTTATAAATGTATCTATGATCGTGGAGAAGAAATATCTATTTGGTTGCAGTTGAATCATTGTTGATGGCTCAGAAAACGAATCCTTCTATTAAGAATTTTTGGCCGGATGCGGTGGCTCACACCTGTAATCCCAGTACTTTGGAAGGTCGAGGTGGGTGGATCACTTGAGGTCCAGAGTTTGAGACTGGCTTGGCTAACATGGCAAAACTCCATCTCTACTAAGAAATAAAAAAGAAAGTTAGCTGGGTGTGTGCTGGCGGGTACCTGTAATCCCAGCTGCTCAGGAGGCTGAGGCAGGAGGATCACTTGAATCCATGAGGCGGAGGCTTCAGTGAGCTGAGATTGCACCACTGCACTCCAGCCTGGGTGACAGACCAAGACTCTTTCTCAAAAAGAAAAAAAAAAGAATTTTGGATGACAGCAAAAACAAACAAAAAACCCACTAGGGTTAATCAAATCAGGTGGATAACAGGACCAGGCCACCATGCTATTTAAGAGAATTGGCTTTCAGACACTGTGTCTTGGGTCTCAGCTGCTTGGATATTCTATCATGCAGGGCCTTTTGTATCCCTGGTTCTTGCCAGATTTACATATCCTGAATTTCATTTGCATGTGACCTTTTCCTAAAGAGAAAGGGACAGAGAAGTTGGCCAGGGATACACTCAAGAACCAGCACCCATATCCTTTCTCACAGGCTAACCTTGCGTTCTGGTTGGAGGAAAACAGCCTTTAACATTGAACACAGCAGTAACAAACCTTTTTTCAGATCATGTGTGCAGAAAGGCTTCACAGAGTGAGATCATTGTTTGGTTTTGGGGAAAGGATAATTTGCATAAAAGGAAATGTTGAAATAGAATTTTTATATATTTAAAAAATTTAACCTATTTACCCAGAGGCAGAAATGATCTGAGGCATAGAAAAAGACAGGTAATTTGAAATCCATGCATTATTATTCTATTTAAAGTTAAATCTTTCTTCATCTAGATCATATCAGTTTAATTCTAAGAGAAACATCCAAGGAGTTTGAATGATTTTTTTTTTAATGTAAAGAAATGACACTTAAAAAGAAACAACAACAACAAATCGGCTTTTCACAGTGGTAGATTTGCAGCTGTTGACTAATCCCATAACGAGTGGTATTTACCCACACATTTTCCAAATTAAATATGGGTATATGCTGGCTTGGCTTAAGATCCTACAATACAGACACTTTTCCTGCTAAGGAAAAAAAATTAAAACCAAAACTGCCCTAAGGATTACAAGCACTGAGGGAGAGGTGAGAATAAAAAAGCCACAGAGAGAGAATGTGTGTGACCCTGTAGAATATCCACTTAGGGGAGAACAGGGAGGAGATCGCAGGGGTGTTCTTAGAATACTGTAAGTGCCTGAGGATTGCTTAGGACATCTGATCAATTATCCTGAACAAACCATGCTTATATTACCAGGACTTGGGTACTAAACATTGCCTGAATGGCGAGCACTGACGATTGTTCTTTGCTAGGAGGTATTGGGAATTCTTTTTTTTTTTTTCAGTGCTATTTTCTTTTTCTTTTTTTTTTTTCCAGAACTGCTGTGTAATTTTTATTTGCCCTTTTCTTTAAATTTCTTTTCCAGATAGTAAAAGAACATTTTTAGTCTTCAGTTTAATTTGGATTCAGTTTATTACAGTTTTTGAAGACAAGAAATTAGTCCTGCACTGGGCTAAAACTTAGATTGCTAGAATGGCCAGCCATAGCATGTCCCCCCAGCCTGCAATTTTTTTTTTTTTTTGAGAATCCCATTAAATTTTATTCAGGAGTCCTTTACCAGCCAAATGTATTGTTTCCATGGACACAATTAATGGGGAAAGCAATTTATAAGACTGATGTAAAAAATGAGCACTTCATCAGCCCCCCTGCTGGTCACATTTAGAGACTGGAAGAAGGAAGTGTGCTCTTGTGGGGACGGCACAGCTCTGTGGTGGAAAGGAGGTGGAACAATGAAGGCAGAAGTCACAATTTTCTTTTTCAGTGGAAGGAATTACCCCTTAAGACTTTATTGGGAATTGGGAAATGCCACTAAATGGTGATATCTTTTCACCCATTTTGTATTTACAGAATCTACTCCATGACAACCTTAAAAAAATTCCTTAAAAAAAAAAAAAAAAGATAACCCTTCTCATTTAATTGCTGGAAAAGGTTTTCAGGTATTTGGCAAAGACAGGTAGACCCAATCTGGAATGAAAGCCTCGATGAACTTAACTCAGTAGCTCCTAACTATTGCTAATTTCCACCACAACACTTAAGTTTTGAGTAGTTACGACTGGGTCGTCAAACTTTCTCTTGATTAGCATCTTAATTTATTGTTCAAAATACATACAATGAGGCTTTATCAATATCAGCTCATTTCATTTTCCCAAGTATTGAAGTGAAAATACAAGAACCACAAAGCAATTTCCTGGGGATTTAAGAATCCTGAAATTCTACCACCCACAGCCCAAACCCAGAGCAGAAATCTAGAGAGGTTCCTTGAAAAATTCAGGGCCCTATTGCACACCGTTCCCAAGGCACTTGAATGACTATTAAATTTTTTCGAGTCTACTGTAATTTGGAGAAGAAATGAAGCTGGAGCAATTCTGTGTTCCATTCAGTATTGTCGCTCAGCTTGTGATAAAGAACGTTGCCCTTTTCCTATTGTGTTTCTAGAAGTATAATGGGATAAGCCAACACGTAAGAAAAATAAGAGTGTGAGCAAGTATATTTTAAGGTGCATAAATACAGTTTAATTGCTTATAAGCAAACCCATTTAAGAAACTATTTGTTTATATTTTCAGCCCCAGAGCGATACTGTTTTTTTGAGGTTGCCCCAAAGAGTTGTCAAAAAGCTGTTTTTCCCTGCAGAGGGCAGTGTACCTCTATAAAATACACCCAGTCCCCAGCAGCATTTGAGCGTAGAGAACAAGTATGTATAATTATTTTTTAAGCTGTGAATGTAAATAATTCGTTTTCTTTTGGATGAGACTATGAGGAAAAAATCTTCTAATATTAGAAAATTATAGATTGTGTATAGCTCTATGTGTGTGTTTTCCTGTCAGCCTTTTATATATTGTCTTACCAGTTTTTTAAGATTGAAGGCATTTTTGAATAAGCATTGAGCAAGAGAGATAACAAACAAGGTCCCAAACACAGAGGGAAATGATAATCGGGAGAATAAGAGAAACCTCAGGCTGGGTTGTAGATTAAAAATGCATTTATAGTAAGAATTTGAGGGTTTGCCAATTGCACCAGAAATGCAATGAAAGTAAAACATACCACCTGATGTATTTTCTTAAATACAGAAATTAATTTCAGTTTAAGGAGGTTTCTATCTGTGGCTGGAGATATTTAATCTGAAAAGGGAGAGAAAATAGGTATTTATTCCAGTCATATTTCTCTCCTGTTTGATGTACGTCTCTGTCTGAGAGAGGAATGAATTAAATAGAGGCCAGTAGTCCAGAGGAGAATCGGACCTTTTCAAGAAGAGGCGCTGAAACGCCTATAACAGAGGCACAGATAAATACGCGACAACAGAATTCCCAAACAGTTCAATCGTGGTTTTCCAGGACTTTAAAGGAGACGTCCCACTTTCTGCAGACCCTGGAAAAAGTGCTTAGAGATATTGTTAAGGCTTCTTCTAAGGGTGCACGAGAAAAGTGATCAAGTTGCAAAAGCTCATTTCAATACATCAGCTTCAATGGGCAAAACAAATCACCTTCCTGATGCAGAAATTCATAACCCCCCCAAAAAAATTAAGAGTTTTTTGTTTATTGAAAATCAACAACAACAAAAAAGAAATGTGTAAAATAACTCTTTAAAAATACAGTAACTAATATAAGGGGATAATACTCAAAAACTTATGTCTTGGGAATATTCCAGGAATCTGGAGCTCACACCAATTTTCACGTTGTGAATGCAAGTTTGGAAATACCTTTGAGAATTTCTTTTGCTGCCTGCCTGCCTATTTACTTGCAAGCATTTTCTCCATTTCTTTTTCAAAGCAGTTAGAAAATGTGAGTGTGTGTGTGTGTGTGTGTGTGTGTTTGAGAGAGAGTGTGTGTGTGTAGATGATTTTGTGAAATGCCATTTATTTATTTGGCTCTCACTACCTAGTTTTTATTAACGGGCAATTATATAACAAGATAATGTGAGCACAAAATTTATTGTCTCAAAATGAAGAGGAGGAACTGTGAGTGGTTCAATTTTTGAAACTTGCGTTTTTGGCGCTGGCTCTCAAATCATGCAGCTTTGTAGTCTGCGATTTATGACGGCTGCGGTTGAGCCAGGTGGAGCAGGAGCCGCAAAACGGCAGGACAATTACTGTAAGGAAGGATCATAGAGAGGCCTCTGTCAGTTTCCAACGTGAAATTTAATCAGGTTACATAGAGTGATGTGATCTATGTTGTTAGCCCATTCTGAAACTATTTTGAAAATATAAATTATAAACCTTTCAAAATTTAAAACATAGGGAGAGTCAGAACTGCATATATTACTGTCCAGATGTTTATTTTTGCAGCCATGAATTTTCATATAAGCAAGTTTATTTTAACCAAATGACCCATTCTATGTTATGTGGATATTGCACATATAATCATGGCTGTTAGTGTCGACTATTAAGAAAGAATTTCATTTTATCAAGTTTATTATGATCAACTAGCCTATTCTTGATCTTGATGTTGACATGGTCCTATCATCATTGCCAAGCCCAACATATAACTCTTTTCCAGAACTATAGAATAATTATAAAATGTTTATATACACCAAGCTAGCTTATCTTTGAGGGGTATGTTTTCCTGTGCTGGCATTAACAGTTAAACATTGCCTTTGCCCTTTAATCTAAACGAATCTTAAAAAGTTATTTGTGCCATATCCTTTTGTTTGAAATGAACACTGCTTAAAACTCGTTGAATATGAAAAATTAAATATAACAAATGTGTAAAGTATTAAGTTTTCTAGATATTTAAAGAGTTATCAAGTTAAACTGGTTATTTTTCACTAAAAATGGATGACTTCCAACCTGAGAAATTCATGTGCATTTTGTTATGAATATTGATACAACTGATGAAAATGGTGTACTCTGTGTATCTATATGAAGGGATGTGTGCATGCACATATATAATGCATAACACCCTTTTCTACCAAAAAATATGCTTAGTTCCTTCCATGGCTAATGAAGTACACTTAATCAACTATTTATAAATTAATACCCTTGCCAAAATATGTTAACTTTTATGGCCTATCAAGTGTACCATGCATACTATGAAATAATACAGCAGGGTTCACCCAGTGCCTCCTGACACCTTGGGAACAATGGGTACAGAGGAGTGGGTGGGTGGCTTTTACATGGCTTGAAAATTTACAGAATCTTCCAGCTCGTATATGTGTGTGTTATTGAGTGATCTTACCACGTTAATTTTTAAAAAGAACTGTTGAGAATTTTAAGTATACCTTTACATTATGAAAAAGCATTTCATAAATATTTCTAAATTTTTTTTCCCTGCCATCTCATGAAAATTCAATTTAACTAACTTTCACATTTGATGGGAAAAGCAGAAGCATCCAGCACTGTGGTCACTGCTCTGTCTTGAGTCTGCGTTGTACTGGGTTTTCTTGCCACCTTCCACAGCTGAGTGCAAAAAAACACAGTGGGAGCTCTGATTTTTTCAGCCATTCTATATCTTTGTTGCTGCTAGACTTTAATTCTGCCCGAGTTTATAATATTTGTGTTTGCTCTTATTACACCGAAGAAATTCCTTGGAATGCCTACTCACTTTCTCCCTATTCCTTTCATTTGCAGATGAAAGGCAAATGCAGATTTTTAAAAAATAAATAAATACAATATGGTTAGGACCATTCATCACACTCTCTGTCTGCTGGGTCTTTGTTTCTGCTTCATGCTGTGTGCATTACATTACATTTCTGAACCTGTTGTGAGTTTTTTTTTCTTTTTTTAGCACTTTTCTTTTGTAGTTTATTAAAAATATTTTCAGTCAGCAGAAATCCCATTGGTTCTTCTGGAAATCTTGCCTCACAGGCCTTTGCAGGACAAGAACAGATTGTCTGGGGCCTAATTCTGAGCATTGTTTTTTTATGAGAAAATCAAAAGTATAATTGTTAAAACCCAGTGTGTCCTTTTATGTCTGCAAAGGAGAATTAAATTGCTGGTGGCAAGGCAACGGGAGGGAGGGAGAGAGAGAATGTGAGGCAGGCCCTCTGGAATTGAGAGTTTGTGGTTGAAAGTAAAGGTGAATAGCCTTCAGAGTGTATACAAGTGAGTATACATTTGGCAGGTAGATCATGGGACCCGGTGAGGACAGTGCAATGAGAATCGAGAAGGAATACATACAAAACCACGGTCTCTTTGGCTATTGCGTTTGTTGCCCTCAGATTCTTTCTTAAAAGTCCCATTTTGCAAATGGTGGGTACAACTTTCTGATTAAAACTTAGAAGATGGAATATCAACTACTTAGCAACTTTGGTCCCATCTGAGAAACAAGTCTTTATATGCTTGGGGACTTTTTACTTAGACATGTGCTTTTTTCTAATCTTGTTCATAACAGGACTACGCTAGCTCTTTGACCTGTGCTTTTATTTTTAATTCTGGGAGGAAGAGCTGGGAATTTCAGTTTCATTTGCGCTAATCCCACTTTATGGACGTGATAACTAAATGGGGTGTCTTGATTTAAGACTTGCAGCATGACTGTTCTAGGTTCCTGAATTCAGAGTAGTTCTAAGACCATCCCCAGTGGTCTGTCTTCCCCCAGAATATTCAGACAATCTTCATTTTTGCCAGATGACGTATAGTATCTCTGTATTTTAGGGTGCAAATGCAAGACCCAATAGTCCATGCACACACTTCATGTTCTGATTTTAACTGGGATGCAACAAAATAGACTTAAACAACAAAAGAGAGCATGTTGTGAATCCTGACAAAACCTCGTGGTGTGGTTTGGCGGACAAATGGTTAAAATATACACTCATTGGAGTATGAAGGCAGTTCTTCTCGGCTGTCAGATAGTTTGACCAGTGTCAGGCTATCCCGACGAGAGCAGCATACCTTCATTGCATCATAAATAAAACAGACAAATTACTTTTTTTTTTCCCTAGGATGGAATAAGCACCATAGAGGGGGGAGGGAAAAGGATTAAGGGGGGGGGATCGGTGATTTGGAGGGTGTGTGTGTGTTGGGGGAGTGAAGAATTAGAGGGGAAAGAAAAAAAAAAAGAGATCCTTTCAGCCCCTCTATGAATCTCGGCATGGCAGCCGAGAACAATGAGAAAACCAGGCAATTACCTAGAATCCTGTTCTCTTATCCAGACATAGAAAATATATTCTTGCACCAGCCAGCCTTCCCTCCCCCACCCTGGCCCACCCCCTCCCCTTCCTGTCTATCTCATTCAGTTCTTTCGAGGAAGGCCTAGCAAATGGAACAAAAGGAGAAGGGCTTCTGATGATGGCCCACTCAGGCAGGACTCGAGGGCCCAGCCTTCCACATCTGCAGCGGGAAACCTTTTTTTTTTTTTTTACATTCTGTGCCCTTACAGACTTTGGTAACCTCTGACGTTGTAGCAGAGAAAAATGAGCAGAAAGGCAGTTCACAGCCTGAACTCTTTTTCCCCAATTCCCTGAAAATCAAGGGGTGAGGACAGTAAATCACCTGGCCCAAGTGCACCAAGCCGGACACAGCCCTTTGGCCCCTGGGCACTCTGCCCTAGGGTGTGACTGGAATTCCGGGCTCTCAAACAGCTTTACCCAGGTGCCTTCCTGAATTCCACGGAGGATTTCTGCTTTGTTTCTTAATTGCTGGAGTCCTGCAAGGGGTTGCCCCCTGCGCAACCTTGTCCTTTGATGGGGGGGACTGGTGAATGAAGGTGCAGGTTGCATTGGTGATTTGGAAGGTTTTACCAGAGTGGCTGGGAGTCTACCCTTGTTTCTCTCCTTTGCTTTCTGGCCACAGCACTTAGGACATGTTTAGAAGGATGAAGGGTAAATAACTCATTCCCTCCTTACACTTGGAATGTGTGTGCCTCATTATTATTTGCTGAACAGGAGCATTTGATTAACCAGTCTGTTGAAGAATAACATTTAAGTAAGCATATGTGTATGAATCCCTGTCATTTATCTTCCTAGGTGGCAAGAGTAGACCTATATATAATTTCCTGAACCCTACATCTACCTCCGCCCACAATTGGGAAAACTTCTTTTGCGTTGTCTGAACGGTGATGGTTTATCCACCATTCACACTTCTTGTCATGACCAGTAGTTCATAAAGTGAGATAGCTGCCTGGGCTTAGGGTGTGGTTGGCAGCTGCTTACACGAATTCCTCTCTGCACACTTTACAGTAGCCATGCAACCGCTATAAAAAGTGGCATACCCAGGCTTTCCCATGGCAATACTTACCCAAGATGGTGCTAGAAAGAGACTTACGTTTCTTCTTGATAAAACAATTGGCAACATTTTAGAGGCTAGGCGATTGCTAAGACTACCTCCCTGCATTAGCCAAACAATGCTTGTTGGCATTTGTTTACTTATTCACCCTTTTCTTTTAAGTAAGATAGATTTACTGGAAGACTGTTGTTTCCAGTGAGTGGTGGTGTTTGGTTTCAAAGTGGATGCAAAGTGCTTTGACATGTATTGTGCCTTAAAGTGTGATTTACATCTCATGTTATGTAGTGTTTACCGTATTTCTTTTCACAGCCTGGTTGTTAGTCATCAAAGCCTGGAACCCTGGTTTGGACTGCTTTGTATCACCCCAGGAGATCTAAAGGTTTGGTGCTGGAGCCCGGCTCAAAGTCCAATCTTGCCTCTTGAGTTGGTGTGACATCAGGGAAATTGATAACTCTTCTACTTAAGCTGAGCCTCAACTTGTCTGTAATTGTGGGGACAAAAATCCACCTGCAGTCTGGTGAAATGTAATAAAATAAAAGCCTATCATAGCACTTGGTAAACTAGCAATGTTAGCTGTAGTTCCTCTAGTCTCTACTCATAAACATTGGTTGATGGAGGCCTCAGTTGAATGACAATAAGCCTAGCCTAAGCAGCTGTTTTCTCAAGGGAGTTGTATGGTTTAGGAAAAGCTCCTAAAAATAGAGATACTTCTGGATAACTACTCGAAGGTATGTTGGAAGATGACAGTACTTGACTTAGAAGTCACCTGAAACAGCTTTAAATGGCCAGATAGAGCTTTCTCCCTTTCTCTTTAGAAGTCACATCTGAATTTAACCTCAGCTCCAAAACTCAGTGCTAAGGCAAACTATAAAATAATTACATGAATGAGTCCCTAGTGCAGTCTGAATGTTTATATAGCAGATTCATCATTTAAAAAAACTGATACTCCTTAGTAGTGCTTCCTCAGATATCTTGACCAACTGAATTGGACCGCCTTGAACGCCTCTTGAGTGTTTTCCTTTCAGGGTTTATTTGCTGCTCTCCATCACAGATGAGCCTTCCTTAAGTGAAATCACCTAGCTTCCCCAAATTGAATTTCTATCAACTTTGTGTTTTAACAAAACCTCACCACAGTTGAAGTTTTTAATTGTCCAGATAATTGCTTTCAACCATGCTGATTTCTGAATTCCCACCCTTGGATTCACTCATCTTATTAAAATCACCATCCCGCCTTACTTTTAGAGTGGGAGAAGTTGTACACATGCTATGATGCAGCCTAATGCAGCCTATCAGATAAAACCCATGGAGCTGATCAGAATGGCTTTCACTCACAAGTCTCATCTATGAATGAAGATGTATAAAAATTCAGAGAAGTTCCACAAGTTGGGCAGAAAAAAGCAGAATGACCTTTTTGGGGTGATGGTTGTGCTGAAATGGCTGCCCCCAGTTTGTTTGGACTAGAGATTGAAGGTGGCCTGAAAGGATCCCAACCCTCGCCCCCGACTCCCAAAGACACTTCAAGTCCTTAATCGCATGAACTTAGGTG
Source organism: Homo sapiens (assembly GCF_000001405.40). Taxonomy (NCBI): domain Eukaryota; kingdom Metazoa; phylum Chordata; class Mammalia; order Primates; family Hominidae; genus Homo; species Homo sapiens. Next base: position 74,027,982 of record NC_000016.10, on the reverse strand, counting down.
ACTGTAAAATACTGGAGTGAACAATTAAAAAAATTAACTAGGCAGGGTGCGGTGGCTCAGGCCTGTAATCCCAGCACTTTGGGAGGCCGAGGCGGGCGGTTCACCTAGGATCAGGAACTCGAGACCAGCATGGCCAAGATGGAGAAACTCCGTTTCTACTAAAATTACAAAGATGAGCTGGGCATGGTGACACGCGCCTGTAGTCCCAGCTACTCGGGAGGCTGAGACAGGAGGATCGATTGAACCTGGGAGGTGAAGGATGCAGTAAGCCAAGATCATGCCGCTGCACTCCAGCCTGGGTGACAGAGGGCGACTCCGTCTCAAATAAATAAATAAATAAAAGAAAATAAGAATTATCTAAAGTAATAACCCCATTTTACACTGGCATTATTGTTTTAAAAATGTATTTGATAAAGTTGTATGCAAAAAAAACTTGCTTCGACTTTGGAAGAAGAGCAGAAACAGAAGGAAAGGGTTAAAGATCGTGCATTACTTAAATATACATTAACCCTTTCCTAAAATGCTTCTTGGATGTTGAGATTTGTTTTTTAAATATTGGAGAATTCATCGGAGGACAGGGGATGCTATATCATATTAAGATCACAGTTTTGTGGATCTGTGCAAGGCTTTTCCTTAATGTAAAGGTTTGCAAGAGCCTTTCTCGCTGCTGGTAGGCTGGATTTTACATGATAACCTTTAGCATTGTTGATACCAACCTCGGTGGCATTATTATTGCTGTTTACAGTCATGTGCTAGTAATGTTAAACCCGAATGGGATTAATAAAATAAATTAAGTGATAAAGATTTTAATGCTATTAACAATTGGTAACACTTGTTGACAGCACAAAAAAAGGAATAGCAGGCCATTTGCCAGCCTAGGTAAATTCTACAGTCTGTAAATAGAAAGATTTCCTGCTAATTCATTTTGATAAACTTTACTTTCTTCAAGTGTCTCGCCTGCTACTTTCATATTCTTTTTCTTCCTTCCCCCTTCCTTCCGTTCCTTCCTCTCTTCCCTTACTCATCTTCCCTTTTTCTTTCCCTCCTCCCCTTCCCTTTTTCTTATCTCTCCTTTCCTTCCTCCCTCTCTCTCCCTTTCTTCTTTTTCTTCTTCCTTCCTTCCACACCTTCCTCCCTGTTCCCTTTTCCTCTCTTTGTCATTTCTCTGTGTGAAGGTGCATTCTTCATGATCTCTCCTCTTTACTGCTTTGCTGTTACTCTGTGGTTATTGTCTGGAAATTGACCATTGCCTAGCAATCATGTGTGTGACTTCTGCCAATAAACCTGCTGGCTCAGCCTCCTTCCTTCCTCAGCCCTCTCTGCTTCCTTAGCTAGTGCTTTCCTCACTCCCACTGTCTTCTGGCTTCCACCTCAACACTCTTCATCCTCCCGCAGATGCTTCCTGGGGTTCTTTTTGAAATGGATGCTAGCCTTTTGTTCCAGTCCCACTCTGAACTGCTGGGGTCAGGCAGCTAGCAGCCTCCCTGGGGCAGTGCTATGATGAATTTTGGCATGGCCAGGCTGTTTAACAACTGCATCGCAGAGTGCCAGCTTCCTCAAAGATTAAAAAGAGCTGTGATGAGCTTTTTCCAAAGGTTCCACTCAAGTTTTGAAATGCCAAAGATTCCCGTGGATCTCTAAATTATGTGGTAATTTTTCAAAACCACGCCTACCCAATAAAAGCAAGTTTTCTTTTCCAAGAAACATACCTACTCTGTGATCTTATTATTGAAGCACTTAAATTTTCCTGGGATCTATGTCATTTGGATTCAATAATTTTTTATTTAAAAATTTCAAGTCCTGTCAACCTTTTTATTGCAAGAGTCAATTTTGTCTCATCTTTGCTGTCATTCACATGCTTTCATCTTTTTAAAGTCACAGTTGTCATAAAGGACTCTGTCAAATAATTTTTTGAAAAACCTTAGTCATTTCAGAAGCATTTAGAAAGTTGTCTGTATTGAGTGCAATTTTTTTTGAAGGTGGAGTCAGTTATTTCAGCCCAAATTAGTTAGCTCTGCAAATAAGTGGAAAATTATTTAAATTAGGAAATACCGTTTTCTTTTATGCAGTAAAAAATGATCTTTCAGAATCACTTTATCTTTTTATACCTGCCTCTTTGGAGCATAATGTGGCCAGCAAAGAGGTAGATAATGGTCTTTCATTGGACCTCCTTATGGAGTCAGGCAAGGTAATACTGCTGGGGACCTTCTGATGTTAGTTATGAATGAGAAAACATTTAGACTTATTTTGTGTGGCTGTGTGCAGAGAACAGAAGCATCTCACATCACACGGCCTTTTTGCAAATCAGGGCTGTGCCTTTCAGCTGTGCTTCAGGGACATCATCCCAGCTTCTCCAGAACTGGAAGAATGAGAGAAAAGTCTGTCTCTCTCTCTCTCTGTGTGTTTGTGTGTGTGTGTGTGTGTGCATGTGCACGCATGTGTGTGTGGGTGTTTCTACTGAATGTGATGAGTGCTCTCAGGAAGGATAACTTGGGCTGGAGTTAACAGCTCCATACCCTCCTTCTTATCCTTTCTGGTATTCATTAAGTTAATATACTGTTGCCTGCATGGAGCACCTTCTTTGATGGCGAATACAGTTAAATGCCTATTTAGACATGTCACAGACTAACCAATGCAAGAAGGTGCATGAAGTGTGGCAGGGGGCTGGGGGAGGTGAGGGCGGCAGGAGAAAAAAGTGTTGCTCTCTATTTTTTAACTTAAAAATGCTTCTTCTGAACAATCCTTTGCAGCTGGCAGAAGGCTAAAGTTTCTCACACTATGAAAGGAAGTCAGACCATAAATAAACCAGTCAAGCACACCTGGAAAGAATAAAATGCCTTTCTGGGCTTTACACTGTGCTTAGAATGGATGCCAGTCTAGTGAGTGCGTTTAAATGCTATGGAAGAATGTGTAAATGCCACATTAGTATAAAGCTGGCAAAATGTTTCCATTTTTAATCTCCAATTTTTAAACTGATCCTTTATGGGAGAAAATATGGAAAGGCATTTTTCAAAGTTTAATATCTTGCTGTCCTGGGTGACGGACATCTTTCAAAAAGTAATGACGGAACAAGACAGAAAGGGGCAGTACTTCCAGAACCAGGTAGAAACTAACTAACCTTCTAGAAGTTGTTAGGATTTTCACACTTACGGATCTAATTCAAAGAACAAAGATAAGCAATACATTTGTCATCTGAAGTGCGTAAAAAGACCTAATGTAATCCAGTGAGCATTAGCCCTTTCTGCCTCATCTCCTCTTAGGACATCATGCAAGATTTTTTTTTTAAAAAAATCACTGAACTGGTCAGACACAATCTAAATGCAGTTCTAATGTGGGGAATCATGGAAGCTTCTGTTTAATCACTGGCTGTCAGTACTATCTGTGAATTCCATCCCATCTGGCTTACGCCTTGTGCAAATTTTAAGTTAGGGTAACGCCACCTTCCCAGAAGTTAGGCACAGCTGAAACAGGTCAGCAAACTTTCAGCTGTGTTACTTTTGTCTGAAAAGCGTGCATTTGCCACCTCCTTTATCTGCGCAACAAGGTTCAAGTCTGAGCCACGGGTTGGAAGAGGGTAGTGCATTATATGGTGGGCCCAGGCACGACTGTGGACTATCCGCTTCCCAGGTGAAGAAATGAGGGCTGGTCTTGCATACCCCATTCCTTATTCTGCTAACTTTGCCCTAGGATTCCAAAGTCCAGGTGGAAAAGAAATTTTTCTTTTGGTTTGATCTATGTCAACTTTTATAGATTAATGCCAGCTGCAGGTTGATTGTTACATTTTTAACCATTTATGGGTGTAGCAGGAAAGTAAAAACAAGTATGTTTGGGTCTAGCTGTTCCATGGTCACATTCCTCCTTCCTTCCCAAGCTCATCTCCTTTTGCTGCCTCCTTCCAGTGGCAGGCAGAGATTCTCTGCGTTTCCTTGCCTGGTTCACTTTCTTAGCGCACCTGTGTACAGAGGGAGATTCTGAGCTAAGGAGGTCTCAAGAGAGTCACTGTGGGCTCCCTTACAGAATGAATTTACCTTCTTTACCCAGGTAGTCTGTCCCCAAAACATGGGCTCTGCCTCCCATCGTAAAGTCTGAAGACGATAGGAAGAAATGAATAATTATTAAGCACCTGTTAGTGGCCAGGCATTGCCAGGACCAAATGGTACTCATTTTCTTTTTTTTTTGAGCCATTGTGATCGTGTCTTTGTTTAAAGGGGTTTTTGTTGACTAAGAACTTTTCGGAGAATCAGTATCTCTTTATGAACTTTCATAGACTAACATTTCCAGATGATTGTTTTGTGCCAGACATGTTGTTAGAATTTTGCTTTACTTTATACAATTTCATGTACTTGAGGGGAGAAAAGTCTGAATATTTGATTTTTAAAATACCAACTTGATCCTTCTAAAAAGAACAGGAAGAAAATAAAAGAAGAAAGGCTTACTGTCAGCTAGTTCATTCTGTGAAAAAATGGTTGGATGTTTTGATCTTCTAGTCCTTTACTCATTTTTTCATTCAATAACTATAAAGTGGGTACCCCCTTTATGCAAGATGTTCATACTTAGTATCATAGGGGAATAAAAGAACTGCCAGTCAGGCCAGGTGCGGTGGCTCACGCCTGTCATCCCAGCACTTTGGGAGGCCGAGGCGGGTGGATCACAAGGTCAAGAGATCGAGACCATCCTGGCCAACATGGTGAAACCCCGTCTCTACTAAAAATACAAAAAATTAGCCGGGCGTGGTGGCGGGCGCCTGTAGTCCCAGCTACTCAGGAGGCTGAGGCAGAAGAATGGCGTGAACATGGGAGGCGGAGCTTGCAGTGAGCTGAGATCGCGCCACTGCACTCCAGCCTGGCGACAGGGTGAGACTCTGTCTCAAACAAATAAAGAAGAACTGTAAGTCACCGTCCTTATCCTCATAAAATGTATACCCTAATATGCATCATTTCCAGGGATGTGTTGTAATTTTCATTTATGTTAACAACTAAAATTTCTGGATCAAGATTTTTTTTGTTTTGACAGAGAGATGAAGAAACAAATGAAAACATTTGTCTTTTTTTTTTTCCCAGAGTAATGATAGTTCCCACTGATCTTTTTTTATTACGTGTCTTTTTCTTTTTACCTTTTTTTTTTTTTTTTTTTTTTTGGTGATAGGGTCTTCTTGTGTTGCCCAGGCTGAAATGCAATGGTGTGATCATGGCTCACTGCTACCTCCATCTCCTGGGCTCAAGTGATCTCCCACCACCCACAACCAGCTCCCAAATAGCTGGGACTACAGGTGCATACCACCACATCCAGCTCATTTTTTTTTTTTTTTTGAGATGGTGTTTCAGTCCTGTTGCCCAGGCTGGAGTGCAATGGCCCGATCTTGGCTCACTGCAACTTCCACCTCCTGGGTTCAAGCGATTCTCCTGCCTCAGCCTCCTGAGTAGCTGGGATTACAGGCACTGGCCACCACAGCCAGCTAATTTTTGTATTTTTAGTAGAGATGGGATTTCACCATGTTGGCCAGGCTGGTCTCAAACTCCTGACCTCAGGTGATCCACCCACCTCGGCCTCCCAAAGTGCTGGGATTACAGGCATCAACCACCACGACCAACCTAATTTTTTAAAACTTTACTTTTTGTAGGCACAGGGTCTCACCATGAGACCACTATCTTGTCCAAACTGGTCTAGAACTCCTGGGCTCAGACAGTTCTTCCACCTTGGCCTCCCAAAGTGCTAGGACTGTAGGTATGAGCCACTGTGCCCAACTGTTCCCACCAATCTTAAATTTTTTTTTTAATTTCTTAATTTTTTTTTGAGATGGAGTCTCACTCTGTTGCCTAGGCTGGAGTGCAGTGGTGCAATCTCGGCTCACTGCAAACTCCGCCTCCCAAGTTCACGCCATTCTCCTGCCTCAACCTCCCGAGTAGCTGGGACTACAGGCGCCCCCCCCACCATGCCCGGTTAATTTTATTTTTGTATTTTTAGTAGAGATGGAGTTTCACCGTGTTAGCCAGGATGGTCTCAATCTCCTGACCTCGTGATACACCCGCCTCGGCCTTCAAAAGTGCTGGGATTTACAGGCATGAGCCACTGAGCCCAGCCTGAAGTTGAATTTTTAAGAAATTTTGTTCCATTCATTAAATAAACTTATGTGTTGGACATGCTTAGAGTGATTCTAAAAAGTTTGTTGTCTTAGCTAAAAGACTAAACTTTTAAGTTGATATTTTGCTTCAATAATAATTGAAGCCCAGGCACCATTTCCATGCAAGTTTGTTTGTAGACTGAATACTGACAGTATTTGCCTTCTGATAAAGATAGAATTCACTGTTCAGAAAGTTACTCTGTATCCAAAAGAAGCATGGCGTTTTTACAGTAATGTGCTGCTAATGTTTAGTGTTTCTTTTCTGATATTATTGCTGAAATTTCCAATGGTGTAAATTAGACCTTCTAATCCTTGTCTCAGCAGTAAGCAATAATTGAGGATATTTGATGGTTTTTATCCACATGAGAGAATGTGCTGCATAATTCAAAAGCAGCTGATCTCTGCATTCAGTTTACTTATATTGCATTTTTTAGTTTCAATATTTTGAGGAGTGAAGGAATGGTTAAATAATATTCTCTTAAGTTACCAATAACAGAGAAATAAATGTAATAAGGAAATAAATGGTGATAATCTACATTAATATGCATTTCTTGTATTTGAATTTAGTTTTTCAGCAACTATATTTAACTTTCCTTCATAGCACTCTTGACTGATTTTGGAAGCATGTATCATCTTATTTCATGATCTATTTCTTCACTGTTTCTTTAATGTCGAAGCATTTTTGGTTCATCTTCTAGTTCTCCTTTGGTTCAGAGGCAGAGGAAGAAATCCAATATGGGGATTGGGGGTAATATTCTTAGTTTGTTAGGAATGTAATAGAACATGTGTGTATTATATGTCATGATGTTATATATAAATCTCTTTACTAGGTTTTTAACTACCATCAAAATTCACCTGAGGGTGACACTCTGTAGGTAAGAAATCTTAATGGAAGAGAGATTTACAAAACCAGACCTTAAGGAAAACACGGGAGTGTTTCTAATTTTCTTAAGCACAGTTTTAATATTTGTATTCCCTCTAATATGGCACTATGATTTTTAACACTAAATTTGACAGGCAATAAATCTAATGATTACTGAGCATATGAAAAAATATATAAGGTAAAAGAGTTTGTCATCTAAATATTTTGCTTTCACATGAGTGGAATATTTGTTAACAAAGTTTCATAAAGATTTAAAAATCATTGCATATCACAGTTATGCCTCTAATAAACTAATTATATATGTTGTTTCTACTCTGTAATTAGGGGTAATTAATCTAATTGCATAAACAGATGATAATCAACCTGAAATTACTTTATAAAACAAGAACATTTACACAACAATAATGTCATTAAAAAACATAAGCCCCCAAGAATGAGACAAAGCCAACACCACCAGGCAATTCAGTTAGGGATTAAGTGTCTAGTACTGTAGGTATAATAGGGCCGCTGTCACCTTCCCATTACCCTAATGCACTCCATTCCTCTTAGATATAGTATGTTTAAATCCTGAGCTGTGAATTTCTAGGCCTTTGTGCCTTTGTCTCATCACCTTAACATTTTTAATGTAGTTTTTGTTGTGTAAATCTATATAAGTGCCATCACCCGTCAGCGGTGACATCTGATGGCATGAGGCCGACCCAGTCTGCATGTATTAGGGCTTTTTGTGTTTGTGCAGTGGAACCTACTTAAACAAATTCCAGTTGGAGGAATAAACCTGTAAAAGGAATACATTTTCCCTGTTCTGAAACAATAGCTCTGTGCTGAATGGATGCCCATGAAAAGAATAAATCACATAGAAGGATAAAGTTCCTTTCTTCCAAAAGGCAAGGGGAAGGTAATGATGACTCTGACCTATGGAGGAAATAATCTCTTGATTTATCATTTTCATGTGCAGAGCCATCTAGAACACATGCCAGGAAGACTCCTTGAAATTATTACCAAATTTCGAATTCTCCAAAAAGAATTTCAAATAACAAAAACAATGATTGAGAACTCAACAATTTCACACAAAAAATATTAAAGCCCCAGACCAGGTAAGCACACTCTCAACATTCCTTACATAGCTCTTTAATGTTGAGCTATTCTATCAGCGCTAGGCACCAGTGAACCCAACACCTGGAGGGTGGTGGCTAGAGGTGAAATCAGTCTCTGTTAAAGTACAGTATTTACCTTGCAACCGACCTTTTGTGTTGTCTAAGGACAATAGCTCAGGAACTCTAGATCTGTAATCAGATATACCCTGAGTAGAGTTTGCTGTTGTAGGCAATAAATTTGAGGCTTAGAAATGTATAGATCTCTGGGGCTTCAGCTCCTAATACTTGGGAGGATCTACGCTATACAAATATCCAGTGCTCATTGTCACTTTAATTTGTAGCAGAGCAATTGGAGTATATTAAAAATGTTAAAAAGGACTTGAGATGCCAACTCAAGTTCAACCTGAGAATGTGAAGTTGTCAACTTTGCATCCTGGTTTCTCCACCAACTTAAAAAATGTAGCTGACAAAACAATATCAATATCTTCACAATCACCAAGTGCTGATACCAGGTAGATGGACAGGTGCTCAATAAGTACTTGCTTAATGCATACATGAATATAAGGAAAAGAAAGAAAAAAATAGTATTTGGTAGGTTTCTCCAAAAGAGAAGTTCCAAATGTGAACTTTGTTTTGCCTGAATGCTTGGTAATGTTTCTTAAATTTTGAAATAATAATACATTTTCTTCTCTGGGGTTAAATAATACTTGTTAGAAAATTTGTGGAGATGACAGATGGGCACAAAAGAAGAAATGGAAAGGCTTTGGGGTGAGCACTGTGCTGCTTTATTACTCCAGAAAGCTCTCACTTCTATAGGGTGTAAGAATGCCATTTCCCCACATCTTACCAGCATTGAGTGTTTTAACGTTTTAAATCTGTCAATTTTATGGACAAATTATTACTTCGATGCATCATCTTCAATTCTAGAAACCCCTTAACATTTTTTTGTCTTCATTTTATTCTGTGGGATATAATTGGTGTTTTGATAAATCTCTAGTATCAGAATCTCTTTTCTATTTGGGGGGAATTCTGCAATGCTATGAGTCTTAGTGGCGCTCACCTCCCACTAGAGAAATAACACTTCCAAAGCTGTGTGACAGTGAGAATACAGGTGTGTTCCCAGGTTTTGCTCATAGGACACCCTCATTTCAGAGTTGAGGTGAGCTGTAGAAAGACTGAGTTCCTGGGGAGCAAAAGTGATAGTGCTGGTCATGGCATCTAGTGTCTGTTGATGGGTATGTCTGCAGTGCAGACTGCACTGACCAGGACTCAGCAGTGGCAGCAGGGATGTCCTCAGTGGAAGAGTTCTCTGCTGTGACGCTAGCATTAAACCTAGCTTTGTATTGCTGAACCTGGATCTTCAGCTTCCACAACCATTCTGTGAGCTAGATAATATTTTTTAATGAGCATCGTCTTTGCTCCAGTAAGCCAATGTAGGTTTCTGTTACTTGCAACTTAAGACATTAATGGATAAATAAGTAGTACTAGGCCTGGTTGCTTCTAATGTGCTGGACAGTTCAAGGCAAAAGAATAAGCTCGGGCCGGGCACAGTGGCTCACGCCTGTAGTCCCAGCACTTTGGGAGACTGAGGCGGGTGGATCACAAGGTCAGGAGATTGAGACCATCCTGGCTAACGTGGTGAAACCCCGTCTCTACTAAAAATACCAAAAATTGTCTGCATGTGGTGGCGGGCACCTGCAGTCCTAGCTACTCGGGGGGCTGAGGCAGGAGAATGGCGTGAACCCGGGAGGTGGAGGTTGCAGTGAGCTGAGATTGCGCCACTGCACTCCAGCCTGCGTGACAGTGCAAGACTCCGTATCCAAAAAAAAGAATAAGCTCGAAGTCCTAAATTCTTGGCTTAGATAGAGACTTTCTATAATAGTATCAAAAGAATATCTTCTCTCTTGCAGGCACAAAGCTGAAGAAATTAAAAGTAAATTAAGACTTGAATCCCAAGGTTGCTGAGCTACCAAGTCAGTTGAATTTACAGCCAGGTGTGAAAGTGTATTGATTGAGAGAGGAGAACCTCGGAACTGGGGTAGAGATATGGGGAAGGGACAGAGTATGATGAGATCCCAGCCTCATGAGTCTCATTTGTTGGCTGGAGCAGCCTTCTTGCCTGTCTTACTCGAAAACCAGAATGACCCCCTTTGCAAAGGGAATTCCATCCTCCTTATGGCCCATTCTCAACATCATTCACCATCCCCAGATCCCTATCTTAAAGACAGATCTCAGCATGCCTTGGAATACCAACTGCAAAGTCAAAACTGCAAGATGTTGATAATTTTTATTTGCAAAAATCTGCTAAATGGATTCTCAAGGCAAATGAACAAGGAAAGAGTATAATTTTAAATTTGGCTGAATTTGTTGATATGGATTGACTTAGCACAGATTCTGGATTCAATATGGTAGCCCCAAGTGAGTGAGTGTGCTAGATGCCACACTAGGCATTCAACTCCTCAGGAAGTTAGAAACGTTGGAATGGATTTATCATCTTTGCCTAACTGTACCACGTTCTCTAAGAGGATTCAGAAGATAATCTCTTCAGTTATTTAGAAATACAGGAATGAGAGTGTTCCAGGTCTTGGAAGAGTGCCAAAGTGGCCATTCTCTGTAAGCTAATGATGCTGGTGAGAGATACAGCAAGGTTCCATGATTTCAGGGAGTTTACTGGATCCCAGGGTGGCAGAGGCTAAGTGGCAGCTCCAAACCATTAGAGACAAGGTGGTTATGGTTATTGTAATATGCATCATAGCTGGTGGGATAATGGTTTGATCAACTTTAATATTTGGAAGTAGCTAGATTTATAATACATTGTTAGCCCAATTAGGTTCTACTCAATAAGAGTAACAGAAATTGCATACTTGATAAATCAAGGCCTGACTTGAATTACCACAATGGTCACGACCTCTCAACAAAGTCCCAAATCTATAAAAGTTTATAGTTCCAGGCTTCTTTAAATAAAGGGGAAGTCAAATACCCTTGAGAGAAAGAGTAAGCTACAATAACGTCTCAATTAGTGGCTATACATCTTCTTATCCTTTTACAAAGTGACCTAAGCCATTTAAATGGGAACTTGAGTAAATGGGAACTTGGTGGGGAGAAGTGAAATGTTTAGACCTTTCAGAAAGTGTTAGACATTAGCTCTGGGCTAACACTAAGTCCTGGTGACTCAGAACACACTGTGCTTCTTCTGTGGTTCTGAGTATGGGTTTTATGGAATTCAGGTGATGGAGCTCTAACTCATATCTGTCTCATTGTAGGCCCAGTGGGACCTTGAATACATACTGTATTTCTTTAATTCATGAATGTACCATTGGAATATATATAATCAACAATGATGGAACCTCATACTGGCTTCTCACCTATTATACTAGAAAGGACTAAATGGAAAGAAACTTCTGGAATTCCTCTCAATACCAAGAGTAAATGAAAAGAAATACCACATCCCTGGGGGAACCATAGTGACAAATGTCATAAGAAGCCACTTGAAAGAGGTGGAGAAACTGATTCCTGTTGCTTCCTGACATAACTCTCTACTATACTTGGAGAATTCTGGTAGAGTATTATAAGCTTAACAGGTGATAACTTCCCTTAAATCAGGTGTTCCAAATGTGGTGTCTTTACTGAAGCAAATGAACATAGCCTTTACTGATCTTGCAAATCTTGTTTTCTCTATCACAATAAATTTAGAACATCAGTAGCATTTAGCTTATACTTGGCATGGATAGCAATATACTTTTACCACTTTGCCTCAGAGTTATGTAAATTCTCTGACCTCAAGCCATGATGTAATCTCTAGGGAACTAGATCATCTCATTATCCCAAAAGATATCAGACTAGTCCAGGACATCAATGACACTATGCTGATATGATCAAGAGAATAGAAGCAGTAGACACTCTAGATGCTCTGGTAACACACATGCATGCTAGAGAATGAGAGATGTATTCTTGAAAATACAAGGATATAGTTGCTATAGGGGTTTCTGAGGGTTCATTGGTTTGGAACATTTCACAATATATGCTGCAGTTTGAATCCTCTACCACTAACAAAGAAACAGCACCTGATGGGTCTATTTTCATTCTGAAGGCAGCATATCCCACATTGGGCTATGCTGCTTGAAGCCACTTACTAGATATAGCCAGTGCTGTCAGGGCCTCACCCATAACACCTCGCTACTTCAAAATTGCAACTTCCAGAACTGAAATTCTTTTTCCTGAGGGATTTCTCTGACTGCCAGAACATACCTTATTGCTTATTACTCTAAGTGTCTTGACATATTGTGATGCTGTATGAAGACTGTATTAAGTCTCATTAGGAGAAGCATAGTAAAAGCCCTGGGGTTTGAGATTGAAGCCATGGTCTCTTAGTTAAGCAATTAGTTTATTGAGAAACAGCTCTCCCCTTGCTTCAAGGGTCTTACAGAGACTAAATGCTTAACCATGACCTACTAGATAACTATTCAATCTGAGCTGCCCGTGATGCATGTCACAGGAGTCACTTAGCCACGTATTTGGGTATACTAAACTGCAATGGGTTTTCAAGTAGAGGTGGTTGTATTAGTCCGTTTTCACACTGCTGATAAAGACATATCTGAGACTGGGTGATTTGCAGAAGAGAGGTTTAATGGACTTACAGTTCCACATGGCTGGGGAGGCCTCGCCATCATGGCAGAAGGCAAGGAGGAGTAAGTCATGTCTTACACAGATGGCAGCAGGCAAAAGAGAACTTGTGCAGAGAAACTCTCCCTTATGAAACGATTAGATCTCGTGAGACTTACTCACTAAAATGAGAAGTGCATGGGGCCTGTCCCCATGATTCAATTACCCCTTACTGGGTCCCTCCTGCAACAGGTGGGAATTCAGGATGACATTTGGGTGGGGATACAGCCAAATCATATGAGTGCCATATATGGCATCTACTTCAAGGAGATTTTTCTCAACTCACACTTGTGTTTTCAAGGGGAGGTTCCTATGATTAAGGGGAAAAGTGGACACTTAATTACCCCTGATTTTGCATAAATTAGCACCAACTCAAAGAGGACTATTTTAGCATTATAAATACATTCAGTGGTAGCCTGGCCTCAACTTGTAAACTTTACCTTAACCACCATTGTCAACTGCCATTAATGAATGCTCAACTTGCTAGCTGTAGCCCCCAATATGGTACCATGCGAAATGGGGACCATCTAGAACCTAACTAATCATCAGTAGAGATCATCAAGGAGCAAAAGTAATTTTGAATTTGAATTTGCGTTTGTATTCCTTGCCTGCCATGCTTTAGCCAGCCTACCATTCTTAGATTGATTGAAGGCTTTACGTCCCATGATGGTGTCCCACAGCACATAGTTTCTAAACATAGTTTCTCTACATTGAAAGAAGTAAGGCAGCAGATACAACACAGAAGATTCATGCAGTCTCCCAGAAGCTGCAGTGGAGTCTGTGAAATAAAATTGTAGTTTTCTAACCTCTGTAGCTTAGGAAAACGTATATGAAATGGTAGGAATGGATACTAAGGACGGATCAACCATTTCCTACAATTTATGCAATCATCCAGAATGGTAGAAAGGCCTATTGATGACTCTGTTAGAGCTTCAGATTAGAGACTACCTTGTGAAGTTGGGGTGCTGTCCTGTGGGACGTGATGTGTGCTTTGAACTAGTGATCAGCATGTGATCCTGTGTCAGTCATACAACAAATGTATAAGTTTGGAAGCCAAGAGAGAGAAAAAGGCAATAGTATCTCTTACAAGTACAGCTAATGACCCACTCACAAAAGTTACTTTCTGTATTAGTTAGGGTTCAGTGCAGGAGACAAAAAATCACTTCAGGTATTTTAGGCAGAAAGGGCTTTCATGCAGGTAACTAGATGCTTATGAAATCATTGGAGACCAGGTGCAGTGGCTCATGCATGCAATCCCAGCACTTTGGGAGGCTGAGGTGGGAGGGTTGCTTGAGCCCAGAATGAGACCAGCCTGGACAACATAGAGAGACCCATCTCTACAAAAAAAAAACAAATTAGCTGGGTGTGATGGCATGTACTTGTGGTCCCAGCTACTCAGCAGGCTGAGGTGGGAGGATTGCTTGAGCCTGGGAGGTCAAGGCTGCAGTAAGCCATGATCATGCCACTACACTGCTGCCTGGGTTATAGAGCAAGACCCTGTCTCAAAAAAAAAAAAAAAAAGATACTGGAGAAGTAAGAATCAGTCATTTCGAGAATAGTTAAGTTCAAGAAAACCCCATGTAGATAAAATTCTGGAGTCAGGTAGTTGAAATAAAGAAATGGTTGGAATGGTGAATGCCTAGCAATTATATTTGGGACATTTCCCATCTCCGAAACCCTGTGATCTGCTACTTTAGAGGCTTAATACCCAAAGGAAGATGGTTTCCATCAGGGAACAGCAGTGATTGCATTGAATGAGAGGGTAAACCAACCCACCTAGCTATCGCAGACTTCTTGTGTCATTGGCCAAATCTGTGAAAAAGGATGTTCTGGGTTGGCATGGGAGATTGTTCTGGTCAATAAGGTTACTGCTATGTAATAGCAACAAGGTGTATGGAACCCAAGGGATGTTTTGGGATGCCACCTTGTACTGCTCCAGTGATTAAAATTTAATGGAAGAACACATCAATATCTCAAACCCCTCAGGAATGAAGGCAGGTCGTCATATTGGGTAGATAAACCTGGTCAGCTGAGTAGTAGAATGAAATTGAAGAGAACGTGGAAGGAAAAGAGTGGAGGGACAAAGCCCCCACTACAGCCTCACATCCATCTGCAGATGACTGTAGCATAGGCCCATGTTTTCCTACCTGCTATGTCTCATGTTTGTTTATGTATCTTAACACATTTTATTCTCTTTTCCTGTTTCTTTTCTCTACTGTCTGACACTGTGTATGTTAGGGATTAACTTTACAGCTGAGTCTGTAGATAATAGAATACTGAAGAGTGAGAGTACCAGAGAAGATCTTGGACTTATAGCTGGAGGCATCAACTGAAAGGCCTTTAGTTTTTTCATCATTGGAGGAAGGAAGGAAGGAATGCTTTTATTATTATTTATTTTTATTTTTATTTTTTTGAGACGAAGTCTCGCTCTGTTGCCCAGGCTGGAGTGCAATGGCACAGTCTTGGCTCACTGCAACCCGTCTCCTGGGTTCAAACAGTTCTCCTGCCTCAACCTCCTGAGTAGCTGGGATTACAGTTGTACACCACCATGCCCTGCTAATTTTTGTATTTTTAGTAGAGATGTGGTTTTGCCATGTTGGCCAGGCTGATTTCAAACTCCTGACCTCAGGTGATCCGCCTGCCTCGATATTCCAAAGTGCTGGGATTACAGGAGTGAGCCACCACGCCACCCGGCCAGGAATGCTTTTAGATTAGATAAGGATGGTTGTATTAGGTTAGGTAAGAGCTTTATTTTGGGAGGTGGGGAGAAAAAGTATGAGGAAGAAAAATGTTTGTTGATGTGAACCAGTCAAAGGGTGGTCTTTCAGTGAGCACTTGTCATCTTTTTTGACCACCCAGTATCTGGGTCTCCTTCCTATGTTTTGTGTTCTCTCTCATCTTACTGAGTCTCATTGCAGGCGGTGTCTACCTCTTGCTGAAAATGCCAGTTATTTGTTTTCCTACCAGATCACCTTTTGCCCTCTTGCAGCTGGAGTACAAGTGGGCATCATCTAGAGTCCAGGGGTTACCCCCACAGTCACAGGAAGGCACATTCTCAAGGTCATCTCCTTGGTAGGGGCAGTGGCTGCATGAAGACTGTGTTCTTGGAACAGCAGTGCTGGTGTATTAGTGAGAACATCCTGCGTTCCCTGCTTGTATTCTTTAGTGCTTAGCAGTGACAGTAGTGCCCTCTCTCCACTGGCTCTGTGGTGTGATTTGGGGTCTTTTTGTCTGTATTGCCCAAGTTCTCTGCATTACCTATTATCCTTGTTCATTTTTCATCAGCCATGGTTGGCTTCTGTTGTTTCCCACTAGGAAAACCAACCTATTCAATGATGTAATGGAAGGAACACTGGACTTGCGGGCAGGAGCCTGGGTTGGAAACAGGAGATGTCACTTAGTGGCCATGTGACATGGGGCATATGATTTAACCTCTCTGAGTTGTGGCTTTCTTATCTGTAAAATGGGAACAACGTTCCCCATCTCAACTGTTCAGCATAAAGATTAAATGAGCTAATATGTGTGAAGGTTCTTAGATCTGTGCTTGTTGCATCCTGTTTTTATTGTTTTTGTTTTAAATAAGCAGCACAATGGGAATATTCAGTGTTTGAGCACACAGTAACTGTGCTTTTATCATAGCATAGGACTGTTTCATATTATTTTTATTAAAATGTCCTGGAAAAGAATATGTTGTCTTGCTTGTTCTGGGAGTACATAAAGTTACAGAGTTGTAATTGGCAATTCTGAGTACAAGCGTTCTTTACTTATTGTTTAAGCACTTCCATAGCATATAGTTCAGATTTCTAAGGGTAATCCTGGGAATTGCAGAGTAGCAAGGTACACTTTTATATCTGATCACTGTTAGAAAGTTTAATAAACTCAGTGACTATATTAATAAGCATGCCATTTGTGGTGAAAGGCAGCTTGTTTATTTTTTCAATCAAATTATTCTTACAAAGGAATGTTAGATATAGAGGGTATAAGTAGTAATTAAATGAATACCTATATACTCATCATTCAAATGAAGCCTCTTGTGTAACTCTCCCCAAATTGTTTCCCTGCCTTCCTTCTAGCAGTATGCGTAAAAAATGTCTGGAATTACGTACAACAAAGTGATAGCAGAGGTAGGAATGATGGGGTGTTTTCGCTGTCTTTATTTCTTTGTAGTTTGGATTTTTTAGGAGTATACTTTTTTTTTTCCATTTAGGAAAAACAATACATTTAGGAATGAAAATGACCAACCATGTTAATTACATTGCAGCAATAGAAATTAACTAATGAATTGGAAAACACAAACACAGTAGACTTGCCATATACAGTCATGTGTTGCCTAACAATGGGAATATTCTCTGAGAAGTGCCTCACTAGGTGATGTTGGTGTACTGTGAACATCACACGGTGTTCTTACACAAAGCTAGATGGTACAGCCTACTACAATCCTAGGCCATGTGGTCTAGCCTATTGCTCCTGGGCTACAAACCTGTACCGCATGTTACTGTACTGAGTGCTGTAGATGATTGTAACACAAAGATAATATTAGTGTATCTAAATGTAGCTAAACATAGAAAAGGTTATATTCCAACCTAAGACATCATGAGGTGAGAGGAGTTCTTCAGCTCCATTATAATCTTTTTTTTTTGTTTGTATTTCAGACAGGGTCTCTGTTGCCAAGGCTGGAGTGCAGTGGCACAATCTTGGTTCACTGTAACCTCTGTCTCTTGGATTCAGGCGATCCTCCTGCCTCAGCCTCCCAAGTAGCTGGGATTACAGGCATGTGGCACCACTCTTGGCTCATTTTTGTATTTTTAGTAGAGATGGGGTTTCGCCATGTTGGCTGGGCTAGTCTTGAACTCCCGACCTCAAGTAATCCACCTGCCTTGGCCTTGCAAAGTAATGGGATTACAGGCATGAGCTAACATGCCCAAACTCCATTATAATCTTATGGAACCACCATAAGACATCTGTCCTTGACCAAAATGTCATAATGTGGCTCATGACTAAGTACATTAAATTTCAGGAGCACATTAGCAACAAGTATTTAGACAATGAATAGTTTTACTGGCTTAACTACTCTGTGATTTGTAGTAATTAAAAAGATGTACCCTTGAGTCAGTGGAGGTAGTATCAAACCCAGGTCCAACACTTACTAGCTGTGAGGCCTTGAGCAAACCATGTAAACTTTTGTGCCTCAGTTTCCTTACCTTTAAAATGTGGATAGTTATGGAATCAAGCTTGTAACATGGCTGTGAAGATTAGATGGATAATTACGTAGAACAGTGGTATATAATTAGGATGTATGTATATACAAGAAATGGAATTCTGGGAAATGTAGTTCAGTCTCACCAAACCAACACATTGCAAAGCCGTCCTATTCTTCTAATTGCTCTTTTAAGAACTCTTATGCATGGAGAATTCTTCCTGGCCTCTGATTCACTCATTTTGTTTTCGTAAGTTTTATTCTGCCCTTCACTGCCATTATTAAACACCCTCATTCTTTTTTTTATTTCAAAGAATTCATTTTTGTTCTTAGATGATGGTGGCTTGTCCTTCTCTTCCTCCTCCTTTTTCCTTTTTTTCTATTCTACTCTTTCTTCAGTGATGAAATAGCCTCTTTCATCTCAGTGAGACTTGAAGTTAAATGTTCTTTATTGTTTTCTGCATTAACACAAGGTACATTTTCCTTATTGCCTGATACTAACAAATTAAGATCCGCATCTAGTGGGTTGCCAAAAGTAACTATGATAGAGACCTTTATGTACTACTCATGGAGATTCTAATTTGAAAGTTCCAGGGAAAGACGTGCAAATGTTACTTTTTACAATAGGTACCCAATAATTTGATACTATTTGTATAGACCAGTGTTTGGGAACTTCTGATGCAGGTCGTTTAGTATTTATCGCTAGTGTAGGCTCATGTTGGTTTTAGTGGTATTTTTTTTTTTTCATTTTTTTTCTTGTTAGAGTGTTCTCCAAGCATATCAGTGGTGCATTATTGGCAGGTCTTCCTTTCTCCATCCACAGATAGTAGATAGCAGCTGACCACCAAGTATTAATATTTCCCCTGTAAGTATAGAGGTTGATTGTGATGGGCTAGCACATGGGGTTCTTTAAAATTATACTATATGCATTAAATACATGCACACACTTACATAATTTTCGGATTTGAATATTTCAGGCCATTTCTTTTGAGTCTTTAATGTTTAATAAGCTAACAATTTAGGCTATGAATTTGCCTCTGGGCATAGCTTTAGGTGCAGCTTAAGCATTGCTGCAGTGGTATGATCATTGTGATTAGTTCCTAAATAATCTGAGAATTTCTATTAGGAGGTCTAAAAAAGTGTTCAAATTGCTGAAGGTTTTTGTTTTGTTCTATTTGGTTTTGCTTATGCTTAAGTGTTCATTATACTGTGGACAGAAAATGAAAAATACTTCCTGTGTAATTTTTACTGTTTGGAATTTAGTCAGTATTTCTTTTTAGGTAATATAGCAAACTAATGTTAAATTCCATGGTTATTAAAATGTTTGATTTGTGTGAAGGTATTATTACATTTTGACTAATGTGTCAGATTTATACCCTGGTGTTTCTTATGTTTATTAATTTTTCCTTCTTTTAAATTTATTTTTCTATTTCAGGGCAATGTTTTTCCATGTATAAGTGTTAATGACTATTATAGCATTATATATATTGTACCTTTTGTGAACATAATACTTTCTTTATTCATTGAATACTTTTGGCCTTGTTTTTTTGCTTTTACTGACATAGGAACTATTACTCTCTTTTGGTCTATGTTGGTCTGCCATATCTTTTTCTATCCTTCTACTTTTCAACTTTTCTGTGTCACTTTTTTAAGTGCTTAGGTAAATTGTATTTTTTCTTTAAATGTAATCTAGGAATTTTTGTCTGAGTGTTTAACTTATTTATATGTATTATTATGATAGATAGCTTAATCTATATTACTTTGATTTCTTTTGGAGCTTTTTAGAATATATTTTCACTGTTTCCTACCTTTTGAATCATGACTTATATACTCATTTTAATTTTCATCAGCATTTTTTTGAGGTGGAGTTTCAGAATATATTCTATATATTTTCTATAAGTGGTGACCATGCTTTTTCCCAAAGCATTTATTACTGTATATATATTTTTAATTTTCAAAGCTGACCAAAATAATAGCTTAAACAAAACAGTAGTTGGCAGCATTCTCTGGGTTAATGAGTAAGGAAAGAAACCTTTTTCCATCTTGACTCTTGCCAGTTACTGTAGGAGCCAGCCAGAAAAAACTACACCTATTCCTGCAGCTGAGAATTGAGGCAGAAAACAATTTGAGATTTTGTGCAGACTTGTATATAGGACTTATTACGCCTTTTAACATATAACAATATACTATTTTAAGACCATAACGTATCTGCTCCCAGAATTGCCATCCTATGTTACTTTGTTTGCTGTAATTGAGTAAAAGTGTAATGTACCTAGAAAAGATTCAGGGAAGAAAAATGAAAATAATTAAAAGCAGTTGAGAAACTTCAATATAAAGGCAAACTTTAAAATAATAGGTTGGTAGTTCCACTCACAGAACAGAACTCTGGATCGAAGAAAGCTGCATTATATACATTTTTAATTGTTTATAACATAATGAATTCCCTTTTTAAAACACTGTTAATTTATATATATAGAAGAATCATTACATGCATCTCTTTGACTCCTATAAAAATTGGATATAGCTATTATTGCTCCTTCAACCAGAGAGATGAAGATGAGCTGAGATCATTTTCTTATTGTGTTTTTGCTTTGAATCAGGCCCTGGCTAAATACTTGACTTGGCTTTAGAAATAATAGAAATTATTCATATTTTCACCAAAACTATGCCCATCCCATCCTTTGAGTTGAATTCACTTCATACAGTTTTGAAATTGTTTTTCTTAAATGCTCAAAGCCCACATTTCTGTTTTGGAGATAGTATGAAATAGCACAAAATGAAGATACAGAAAAAGAGAAAATTGAAAAGAACTACTGAAAAGCAAGTAAGAAATGAAGAACTGATTAGTTAGTGGTAGGTCAGTTGAACAGTTCAGTGTGGCTTGTGGGAACCATATGGGGTGATTGTCACTTTACTAGGATCTTTCAATAAACCAAATAAGTGATATGGCTTACCTTCTGGTGTTGGTAAGCAAAAATGTCTGATACCAGAATGCACGTGCATTTCAGGACCATAATATATCATGATATTTTGCATATAGGTGATGACCCAGTGAAAGGTTCTGTACTTTATTGTTTTCAACTCTGAAAAGGATATTTTGTAAGAGGTCATCAAAAATAAAATGTTTAATATATTATGTCAAGAATTTTTGTTAATAGTCCAATATTTGTAGCTATAGGGCAATATTACTAAATAGATGTTTTGTGTTGTTAAGTGGTATAAATAAAGTTCTTATTCCCTAATACCAGTAGGTGAAGATCATCTGATAAATGGCTCTTCAAAGTATATCTTAAATCAGAAATGACCTAAGAAATTCCGATTGTTGGTAAATTAATTTAAAAAGAACTTAATGGAAAGGGGCTTCAAGATGGCTGAGTAGAGCCGCCTGGCATTTGCCTCCTCCACAAAAAAGGACCAAAACAGTGAGTAGATCATCACACATCAATTAGAACATCTAAGAGAGAACACTGGAATTTAGCAGGGAAGTGACAGTGAAGAAATGAGGCGCAGAAGGAAGTGAGGTAGCCAGCCTGGCTGGGATAGACTAGGAGCCAGGAGAAGCTCTGCAGTACAGCGAAAGGATAAGTGAGAGATCATCAGCTGTCCATATTCTCACTGCAGACTTCTGCAATCCTAGCTGTGGGAGAGCCCCTCGGCCCTTGAGGATCCCGAGGCTAGTAGAGGGAGCTGCCTGATGCCCATGTGAGAGCATCATTCCAGAGGGAGAGTTTGTTCCAAGTCCCACACCCACCCTGAGACCAAAGCAGCTATAGCATGTTGCCTTTTGAGAGTCCAGCCCATACTAGACCACATCCTGTTCTGTGGCCCAACAGCCCCTGTATCTCCATATCTCTGAATCCCTGCTGACATCCCCACTGTACCTACCCAGAGTGCTACAGCATCATGATACCAGGTAGACCCCATGGTGTGGCTGGGTCCCCAGCATTCTGGCCCATACAATGCCTTACAGCCGATAAAACAGGAGTGAAGCTCACAGGGGACACGGCCCCTTGGATAAAGGTGGCCAAAGGCAGCTACCTGCCTGGGGCTGCTCTACTGACAGAACCCATCCCACCCTCGGCCGCAGGGCAGCTGCACACCTGCACATGCCTTCAGTGGGCCTGGAGACTGGTCTGATGAATACTGTTCCAAGGCTGAGGAGAGGCCCACACTGCACACTATTACTGGTACCTGAGCATGCCAGCTGGGGGCCTTGGAATTGACTCACCCTGGCTGCTGCTCCTAATCCATGCATCCACTATCAGCAGGCCCAGCCCACGTGCTGCCAGTGCCTGAGCATGCTAGCCACAGGCCTGGAGATTCGGCCATCTTGCTTGCTGCTTCGGGCATACACACACCACATCAGGGGCATGGATAGCAGGCCTACCCTGCCTGCCACTGGTACCTGAGGATGCCATCTGCGGACATGGGTATTGACCTGCCTTGCTTTCCACTTCTGATATGTGATCTCACCACTGGGGAGCCTAATGAAGATCCAGCCTGCCTGCCACCAGCATCCAAGAATAGTGTCCAGGGGCCTGAGGATTGCCCTATCTTGCCCACCACAGCCTGTGCTAATGTACACCATCAGGGCGGGATGGGGTGGGGCTGAGGATAGGTCTTCCCTTATTGGTACCGCCCTTGCCAGTGACCAAGTGAGCCATTTAGGAACCTTGGGATTGACTTGCCCTGCCTGCTACTTCTGGTGTATGCATGTGTCATCATCACATGTCTGACAACAGGCCCAGTCTGCTTGCTTCTGGTACCCAAATGTACCATCCAGGGGTCTGGGGATCAACCTGCCACCATTGGTGCCTGCACATTCCTCCCAGGGGCCTGTGGATGGGCCCACCTAGCCTGCCACTACCACCACTCCCAGCATCCACCCACCCACCCACACCACTTCGGAGTTTGGGGACTGCCCTACCCAGCCTGCCCATGCCACTGCTAGAGCCCACATGTGCCCCTGGAAGCCTGAGGGTTGGCTTGACAACACTACTGCCATTACCCATGCCACATACACTGCTCAAGGGCCCAAGGACACACCCACCTGCCATGACCCACCACTGCTACTGTCAGCACCCAAGCAGGCCACTTGGAGGCCCAAGAATCAGCCCACCTAGACCTGCTGATCTTAATGCCTGTGTATGCCACCTGGGGCCAAAGGATGGGTATGGTCAGCCCACCACTGCCACCAATGGGGCCTGAAAACTGTCCTACCTGGCATCTCCATTCTCAGCAAAGCCTCACCACGGCCTCCACTAACAGCTACAAACCTGAGCAACTGAAAAACTCAGAGATATCAGTGCTGCTGATTGCAGCAGGAGAAATCATATGGATACTACACTACTACATGCACCCAGAATCAAAGTGGGAATTCCCTACCTAGCCAACACTGTCGATAAATTGATAGGAAAAAAGTCTTTTCCTATGTGAGCCAATCCAAAATACTGGAAGAAGCAACTATTACACTAGATGTACATGTATTAATGTAAAGACAGAAGAAATGTGAAGAAGAAAGGAAACATGACATCTCCAAAGGAAAGAAAAACTTCTCCAACAGATTCCAATGAAAAATCTATGAAATGCCTGAATAATTCAAAATAATGATTTAAGAAAACTCATATATAACACAGATTAACAATACAAAGAAATCAGAAAAAAATCATGATCTGAATGAAAAGTGCAACAAAGAGATAGATATCATAAAAAATCAAACAGAAATCCTAAAACTGAAGAATTCAATGAACTAAATAAAAATACAGTCAGACTTCAGCAGTAGACTACACCAAGCAGAAGAAAGAATGTACAGACTTGAAGACAGGTCTTTTGAAATAACCCAGTCAAACAAACAAAAGCCTATATGACATGGGATGCCATAAATCAACCAACTGTTTGAATTTTGAGTGTTCCAAAAGGAGAAAGGTGAAAGCATAGAAAATTGATTTAATTAAATACTAGCTGAAAATTTCTCAAGTCTTGCAAGAAATATAGACATCCAGATACAGGATGCTCAAAGATCCCTAAATAGATTCCACCCAAAAAAGTCTTCTCCAAGGCACACTATAGTCAAACTGTCAAAAGTCACGACAAAGAGAAAATTCTATAAATGGTAAGAGTAAAGCATCAAGTCACATGTAAGAGAGCCCTCATCAGACAATGGGTTTCTCAGTAGAAACCTTACAGCCCAGGAGAGAATGGGATGATATAGTATAAGTGCTGAAAGGAAAAAACCAAAAAAACAAAAAACAAACTCCGTCAATCAAGAATACTGTACCCAGCAAAGCTATCCTTCAAAAATGATGGAGAAATAAAATCATTTTCAAATAAGCAAAAACTGAGAAAATTCATCACCACCAGACCAGCCCTACCAGTAATGCTTAAGGGAGTCCTACATCTGTAAGTGAAAGGACAACACCTACCATCATGAAAACACATGGAAGTGTAAAACTTGTTGGGTGTGGTGGCTCACACCTGTAATCCCAGCACTTTGGGAGGCTGAAGCAAAAGGATCACTTGAGGCCAGGAGTTTGACACCAGAATGGCCAACATGGCAAAATCCCGTCTCTACTAAGAATACAAAAATTAGCCAGGCATGGTGGCAAACACCTGTAATCCCAGCTAGTTGGGTGGCTGAGGTACAAGAATCACTTTAACCTGGGAGGCGGAGGTTGCAGTGAGCTGAGATTGCACCACTGCACTCCAGCCTGGGCAACAGAGTGAGACTCCGTTTCAAAAAAAATTATAAACTCACTGGTAGAGCAGACACACAAATGACAGAAAGGACTCAAATGTTAATGCTGCAGAAAA
This sequence comes from Homo sapiens, assembly GCF_000001405.40. Lineage (NCBI taxonomy): Eukaryota > Metazoa > Chordata > Mammalia > Primates > Hominidae > Homo > Homo sapiens. The sequence continues at coordinate 74,003,215 of NC_000016.10, read as the reverse complement.
CCAACTAAACCAAAATGATAAGAAAAAGGATATATAAAGCAATTAAAAAAATAACAAAATGACAGAAATAAGTTCTCACCTACCAGTAATGGACTTGAATGTAAATGGATTAAATTCCCCACTTAAAAGATACAGATTGGCCATATGGGTTAAAAACCATAATCTATTTATATGTTGCCTACAAGAAACTTTCTTCACCCGTAAAGACACGTAAGACTGAATGTTGAAGGGATGGAAAAAGATGTACTACACAAACAGAAACCAAAAGAGAGCAGGAGTAGCTATACTTATATAAGATAAAGCAGACTTTACATCAAAACCAGTAAAGAAAGGCAAAGTCATTAAAATGAAGGGATCAATTCAGCAAGAAGATATAACAACTGTAAATAAATATTCATCCTGCCCTGGAGCTACAGATATATAAAGCAAATATCATTAGATCTACAGAAAGAGATTGACTTCTCTACATTTGTAGTTGGTTACTGCACCCTACTTTGAGCACTGGATAGATATTCTAGACAGAAAATCAACAAACATCAGACTTAAACTGCAGTGTAGACCAAATGGATCTAAGAGACATTTATAGAACATTTAATCCAACAGCTGCAGAATACATATTCTTATCAGCACATGGAACAGTCTCCAGGATAGAACATATGTTAGACCACTAAACAAGTCAAAAAATAAAAAAAAGAAATCAAATATGTTCTCAGACCACAATGGAATAAAACTATAAATCAATAACAAAAGGAACTTGGGAAACTGTAAAAATACATGAATAGTAAACAGTATGCTCCTGAATGTGACCATTGGATCAATGAAGAAATTAAGAAGGAAATAAAAATGCCTTGAAACAATTAAAAATGGAAACACAAAATAGCCAAACCTGTGAGATAAAGAAAAAAAAATACTAAGAATGCTCATAGCAATAAATGCCTGTATCAAAAAAGTAGGAAGATTGCAAATAAAAAACCTAATCATGTACCTTGAGAAACTAGAAAAGCAAGAATAAACCAAACCCAAAATTAGAAGGAAAGAAATAATAAAAATCAGAGCAGGCCTGAAATTTTCTTAGAAACTTAAAAAGAATTATTATAACAAAATGAACAGTTGGTTTTCTTAAAAAATAAAATTATAAATTACTAGCTAGATTAACCAGGAAAAAGAGAGAAGACCCAAATCAGAAATGAAATGAAAAAAGAGACATTACAACTGATACCTCAGAAATGCAAAAGATCATCAGACACTATTATAAGTTACAATATGCTAACAAACTGGAAAACCTAGAAGAAATAGATAAATTCCTGGACACATAACATCTACCAAGACTGAACCATAAAGAAATAGAAAACCTAATCAGAACAATAATGAATAATGAGATTAAATCAGTAATTTAAAAAAACCTCCCAATAAATAAAAGCCCAGGACCAGATGGCTTTACTGTCTAGTTCTACCAAAGTTATCAAGAACTAACACCAATTCTTCTCAAACTAGTCCAAAAAATTTAAAATGAGGGAATTCTTCCTAACTTGTTCTGCAAGGCCAGCATTACACTGATAACAAAACCAGAGAGGGACACAACCACAACAACTAAAAACTAGAGGACAATATCCCTTATGAATATAGATGCAAAATTCCTCAGCAAAATGCTGGCAAACTGAATCCAACAACATACTAAAAAGATAATATACCATGGTCAAGTGGGATTCATCCAGGGATGCAAGGATAGTTCAATATATGTAAATCAATAAATGTGATACATCAACAGAGTGAAGGACAAAAACCACAAGATGATCTCAACATATATGGAAAAAGCATTTCATAAAATTTAGCATCCCTTCATGGTAAAAACTGTCAACAAGTTAGGCGTGGAAGAAATATACCTCAACTTAATAAAGGCCATAAATGACAAACCCATGGCTAACATTCTGAATGGGTAAAAGCTGAAACCCTTTCCTCTATGAGTTCATAGAGGAAAAAGGCAAGGATGCCCACTTTCACCACTTCTATTCCACATAGTACTAGAAGTTCTAGCCAGAATAATCAGGCAAAAGAAAGAAAACATGCAAATTGAAAAAGAGGAGGTCAAATTGTCCCTCTTTACAGATGATATGATCCTACCTATAGAAAGACCTAGACACCATCAAAATATTGTTAGAACTAATACATTCAGTAAAGTTGCAGGATACAACATCAAAGTATGAAAGTTGGTAGCGTTTGTACCAATAATGAACAGCCAAAAAATGTAACCAATAATGAACAGCCAAAAAATCCAGAAGGCAATCCCATTTACAATAGCTACAAAAAAATAAAATATCTAAGAATAAATGTCACCATGAAGATGAAAGGCCATTACAAGGAAAACTACAAAACACTGATGAAAGAAATGGAAGAGAACATAGACAAATGAAAAAACATCCCATATTCATGGATCAGAAAACTTAACGTTATTAAAATGACCATAAAACAAAGCAATCTACTGATTAAATGCAATCCTTAGCAAAATACCAATGACTTTCTTCACAGATATAGAAAAGACAATTACAGAATTAATATGGAATCGCAAGAGCCCAAAAGAGCCCAAACAGCTAAAGCAGTACTGAACAAAAAGAACAAAGCTAGAGGTGTCACACTACCTGACTACAAAATAGACTACAAACTATAGCAACCAAAACAGACAGACACAAAGGCCAGTGGAACAGCACAGGGAACCCAGAAACAAATCCAATTGAATTTATAGCCAACTGAGTTTTGACAAAGGTACCAAGAACATACATTGGGGAAAGGAAACGCCCTTCCATAAATGATGCTGGGAAAACTGGAAATCAATATGCAGAAGAATGAACTAGATCCCTGTTTCTCACCATAGACAAAAGTTAACTCAAAATGAATTAAAGACTTAAATGTAAGACTCAAAACTATAAAACTACTAGAGGAAAATTTAGGGGAAATGCTCTAGGGCATTTGTCTAGGCAAAGATTTTATGGCTAAGATCCCAAAAGCATAGGCAATAAAAACTTAAATAGACAAATGGGACTATATTACACTAAAAAGCTTCTGCACAGCAAAGGAAATAATCAACAGAATGAAGAAATAACCTGTTGAATGGGAGAAAATATTTGCAAAAATATTCATCTGGCAAGAGACTAATATTTAGAATATACAATTAACTCAAAAGCAAAATCCCAAATAATCTCATTAAAAAGTGGGCAAAGGATTTAAATGGACATATCTCAAAAGAAGACATACAAATAGCCAAGTATATAGAAAAATACTCAACATCACTAATCATCAGGGAAATGCAAGTCAAAACCACAATGAGATAATCCTCTCACTCCAATTAGAATAGCTGTTATTAGAAAGACAAAAACTGGCAAGGATGTGGAGAAAAGGGAACTCTTATACACTGTTGGTGGGAATGTAAATTATTATGGAAAATAAAATAGCTCTAAAAATGGAGCTCCATACATTTCAGTAATCCTACTACTGGGTATTTATCCAAAGGAAAGAAAATCAGTGAACCAAAGGGATACTTGCACCCCATGTTCATTGCAGGACTATTCACAATAGCCAAGATATGAAATCAACCTAAATGTCTATCAGCAGATGAGTGAATAAAGAAAATGTGGTATATCTGCACAATGGAATACTATTCGGCCATAAAAAGTATGAAATCCTGTCATTTGCAGCAACATGGCTGTAATTGGAAGTCATTACGTTATGTAAAATAAGTGAGGCACAGAAAAATAAATAACATGTTCTCATTCGTGTCTGAGCTAAAGTTGATCTCATGAAGGTAGAGAGTAGAATGATAGCAGGGGCTGGGAAGGGTGTGTGTGGGGTCGGGGGTGGGAGATAAACAGAGGTTGTTTAATGGGTACAAGCATAAGATTACATAGAAGAAATAAGTCTAGTGTTTGATAGCCCAGTTGAGTCACTATAGTTAATATATATCTTAAAATTAACAATGTATATTTAAAATAGATCTACAAGAGGAGGTCTGAAATATTCACACCACACAGAAATGGTAAATGTTCACGATGATGAATATCCTAAATACTCTCATTTGATCATTATACATATTTTATGCATGTGTTGAAATATCACATGCATCCCATAAATATGTACAAATATGTATTAAAATTTTAAGGCATCATTTTAATTAAAACACAATTATATGCAATATTTTAATATTACTGTGATGAAAACCATTTATAAAGCCTGCTCAGCATTAATTTTTCATATTTTAGATACAAGCATAGAAGCCAAATTTGGAACTACTAGAGCCTCTTGGGAATGTAGCCCAATGGGAGGAAAGCAGACATATGGAAGAGAGTTTTAGGATATTTATGCTTCTTCACAAACAACACATGTTTCCAGATTTAAAAAGGTCTGAGTATGTCTGTGTATTTTTTTTGGCGTCCTCAACATTTCTCTAGCAATTGATGAGTTACATAATTTCCTTCTCTAGTTTTCTATTCGAAAGGGTATAGCATGAAGATGGGATGTTGGTTCTCAGATATTCATATTGTCAGTCTGTGAAGGAAACAATCACATAGCAGACAGCTTTGATACTCATTCTCACTTTCTGACTATCTGTATGTAAGGACCTATGTATGTTATATGGTGGCTGGCCATGGTGTTTGCAATAAATACACTGTGTTTATTGTTGTTAGTCATAAGTCAAGCCAATCATTTCCACAGAGCTCAAACAATAACTATTAAGTGGCCCATATGATTTTTTAAAATGAATTGTGATTTTTCTGAGAAGCAGAAAATACTCTGGGTAGCAAGGGATACCTGTTTCTGAAAAAAAGTTGGGAGACAAGGGAGGGTATTCAAGCATCAAAATGAATGTGGATTTGAAGTAAATGAAAAAAGGGAAAACCGAAATGACTGCAAGTGTTTTGAATGTCTGAGAGCATGCGCCCTTAATTTTTGTTCCATTGTTTGTGACATAGCACGTGATGTCACTCAGTACTGGTTTCTGGAGGAGCACCTCAGTGTATCCAATGCTAACTAGAGTGTGATGGACTGTGCCAAAAGCTTAAAGAGAAACACATGATCCCTGCATTGTTCCAGTATCTAATTAGATACTGAGTAGTGGAAGAATGTTGAATATTAAGAGCAAGAAAAAAAATCTGGCATGTCTTTGGTTGAAATTCAATCCCCTCGTTTCCCCCCTACATTTTCTGCAGCAGTCTGAAATTTTTTCAATCACTTTTTTTTAAGGATACAGTGAATTTTATCACAATTTTGTCAATCAAAACCACATGTGCTTGCTCCGTTGATGACAGAGAATAACAAAATCCTATTTGTTAAGACCAAAACTCAGGTAGTAAATAACTGGGATGCAATGTGAAATCTCATGTTCTTTAAAAAGAAACAATGTTGCCTAAAAATTTGGAGAGTAAAATGAACTTTTTGAAGGGGAAATCATACGAAGTTACACTGGTGGCTCAGTAACTTCTCCCCCTATCAGACCAAATCTATTTTTGTCCCAAAACCATCACACTCAGCAAGCATCCTCCTTCAAACTACCCAGCACAAGAAGAAGAATGCTCTTGAAGTCCATGCAAACTTAGTGATGTAGACTAAACTTTCCAAGTGTGGATTACAGTCATGACCATGTTACAGAGCAGGGACCAGCAAACTACTGACTACGGGCCAAATTTGGACCAGTGCCTATTTTTGTGAATAAAGTTTTATTGGAACACAGCCATGCCCCTTCATTGACATGTCATCTATAGTTGTTTTCATGAAACGATTGCAGAATGCGGTGGTTGCAAAAGAGACTGAGGGGCCCACAGTTTCTTTGTTATCTTAACTTTTACAGACATAGTTTACTAACTCCTCTTTTAGATGATCAAGATTATTCAGACAAAATGCAATCATAATAACTGGCCCTTGGGAAACAAGGATTAAGAAGAATTGTGGTAACTTAAGAAACATTTCCTTCTGATTCTTGGGCCACGGCATTGTTTTGATTTTAGTGGTATAAGGAAGACTAATCCTGTGTACGTGACAAAGGTCATCGGCAGTCACTCAAAGACCTCTATTCTATATTACTGAAATTATTTGCTCTTGGAGTTGGCTTTGGCCAGCAGCCAGGACTTCTCTGTCTAGCCTCTTAGCCACATCCTAGTTCTGAAAGGGCCTGGCTACAACGTAAATGCATAGTAGCTGCTTTAAAGAGGGTGGAAGCTTCAAGTTCCTCCTTTGACATCATCATTGTGGAATGGTTTGTCCTAGCAGTCATATTCCAGGATAGTTAAGGACTAATCATAGCCTTGCTTTTGGAAAGTGATGAATGTTTGGATGTCATTTTGTCTGTTTTTATTTTTAGCTTTGGAACCCGGTTGATTTTCAGAATGCTATCAATTTTAGTACGATTGCGCAAACAGAACCAAAGAAATGTAATCGTATCTTGAACAAGATCTTTGATCACTTAATTGATGAATTAAAGACTCTCAAAGGCTGTGCACCAGGTGGAATGCTTCAGATGTACCGGTAATTTTAGAAGTGCTTTGTTATTAGTTCCTTATTTCCAGCCGTCCTGCAAAAGGTATTTCGAAATGTATATTAAAGTCAAAACCAAGCTGCCTCTCTTCCCCAACAGCTACAGAGCTCCAGGGAACTTTTCTAGGAAGTCAATGTCAGGATTTGGAAAGGTTAATACATCTCTAGGTGATAGGAACCAGGTTGTGTCCATTTGAACTGAAAGAATGAAAGGAGGAGGAGGACAAAAATGAGACACTAGAAAAAGTACAGCCTCCATAACCAGAGAAAATAACCATGAAATGTATAAGGCCTGTGGACCTTTGCCTAAAAGAAATCAGGCTGGGGGCAGTTAAGAATTTTAATGATAATATGAAAGGTCTCTACTGTGATTAGATATTTTCAGGTGATGAATACTCCCCTGCCATCTACCACATCATTGTTGGTGAGTGTGGAGATGGTAATAATTTCAGCAGACTGGTTTGATTTTGTGTTTTGCTTATCTCACAAAGCTGAGATGGCAAGTCGATTTCTCAGCAGCCTCTTCCAGCTCTAGCTTGTTTCCATATCTGAATCAGAGAACCCCTGTCACTCAGAAAATAAGCTGAATCTGTGTTTCCAGCCTGGATACTGGGGACTCTTGGTGCCTTTGTGCTTTGCAGCACGGAGAAAGAAGGGGAAACATGGATGGGATGAGCCATCCATGTGTTTTGGAGGCAGATCATAGAAACAGAGTTCTTCATTGTACACATACCCATGGCTAAGATATTGAAATACTTTATTCATATCTTAAAGTTTAATTGAGGACATTTCACCTGACTTCAGCGAGGCAGCATAAAGAGTGCTGATTTTTGAGCCAGAGACTTGTGTTGGTGCTGGTATTTTATTCAGAATCCTTCTTTAATTTGTGATTTGCTGTTATCTTAGTCCATTGGGGCTGCTATAACAAAATGCCATAAACTGGGTAGCTTCTAAACCATGGAGGCTTATTTCTTAGGGTTCTGGAAGCTGAGGATCCAAGATCAAGGCAGATTTGGTGTCTAGTGAGGGTCTGCTTCCTCATAGGTGGTGCCATCCTGCTCTGTCCTCACCTGGTAGAAAGGGTGAGGGGTTTCTATCAGGCCTCTTTTATGAGGGCACTAATTCCATTCATGAGGGCTCCCCCTTATGACCTAATCACCTCCCAGAGACCCCACCTCCTGACTTCATCCTCTTGGAGGTTAGGATTTCAACATATGAGTTTGACAGGGACACAGACATTGAGACTATAGTAGCTGTATACGTGAATGGTCACATCTATCAATGGCAGAGACAGACAGCTACAGACCTTATTAGATCATTTGTTTAGGTTCATGAAGTGGACTATTCTGATCCTGGAGAAGAGAAAAGAATTAGGTAAATGTGGCATGCCTAGACCTCTCTGAAATAGAATACACCTGCAAATTTGAGTTTAGTATGGGAGACCACATTTTAAGTTGTATATTTCAAATTAGCGTATGTCCAGGATGGTGAGAGGACTTGAAACCAACTCTTCCTCCAGTGACGTTCTGAATATTTATCATCCACCAAACACTACCAACCACTGAAAATACAGTGGTAAAAGACAAATATGAAAACTACCCTCATGGAGCTTACAGTCTAAAGGAGAAAATGAAATCGTTAAACAAGCACACACACAAGCTATCTATCTAGCTAATGAAAACTCATGACGGAGCTGTGATATACAGGTGGGGTGAATGGGTCCTAATTTAGACTGTGTCAGAGGCAATATCTAGAAGGAAATAATATTTAAACTGAGGGCGGAAGGATGGGAAAAATAGGTTGAAGAGCATTCTGGAAGAGTGTAACAGTCCTAAGATGGGAAGAAATTTGGCATGCCCTAGTGGCAGGCTGCTGTCACTCTAATGCAATAAAGGAGGGGAGAAGGGAGACTGAGGTAGCATCACAGAGGAAGGCTTGGGTCATACCACTCAAGGTTTGAAGTGGAGGTTGAAATTTACTCAGTGTCATGGGAAGCCACTGAGGGTTTTCAAGCAAGGCAGTGACATGATCTGCTAGACATTTTAGAAAGACTGTTCTTGGCTCTCACATGAAGAATGGCTGAAGAAAGGTGAGCCAGGAATGGGGGTGATTAAGAGACTACATGAGCCCAGGCTGGAAATGGTCATGGTAGCTGAGATGAAGAAATACATGTGAATTCATATATACTGAAAAGAAAAATTGGCAGCTTCTGTGTTAAAATGCAGGTAGGGTGTGGGATGGCAAGGAATCAAGCATGACTTTCAGGTGACTGTCCCTTGATACAATGGGGAAGGACACATCTGAGTGGGGTAGGGTAGGGGAAATCATGAGGTATAACTGGAGGAAGTGGAGATGTTTCATCTGGGGAAGTAAAAACTCCAGGAAGACGTGCTTTATCATCATCTTTCAGTCAATTGTTAACTCTTTGGTCAGTCACAGATTCTTTTAGACCTTCTCTATAAAAACAGGCTCACATATGTAATATTGAATAGCATTTTCAGAGCTTCATGGACCATCTGAAACTGATCCATGGGTTGTTTGTGAACCCCAACTTAAGAACCCCTGTTTAAAATATGTGAAGTGCTGTCTCATAGTAAGAAATTGGCCTAGAGTCAGTATTGCACAATCTGGATTAAAGTCTCTGAAATTTGCTGAGGCTCAGGTTCCCACTTGGGTAGATGAGAAGAATGATGCCTGCTTATCAGTTTAAATAGCTGGTCCAAGGTTTAAATGAGATAGTACTATATCTTAATTACTCTGGCCCTGTAACTACTAATATTATTGATAAATGAACCCACGTGGATATAGCCTGGATACAGCTTAAAGAGGGACTTTTGGCCAGGCGCACTGGCTCAAGCCTGTAATCCCAGCACTTTGGGAGGCCAAGGTGGGTAGATCACGAGGTCAGGAGATCGAGACCATCCTGGCTAACATGGTGAAACCTCGTCTCTGATAAAAATACAAAAAATTAGCTGGGCATGGTGGCACATGCCTATAGTCCCAGCTATTTGGGAGGGTGAGGCAGGAGAATCCACTTGAATCCGGGAGGTGGAGGTTGCAATGAGCCGAGATTGTGCCACTGCACTCCAGCCTGGGCAACAGAGTGAGACTCCATCTCAAAAAAAAAAGGGACTTTTGTAATGGTAGCTGTCTATGGCCAGGATGGACTACCCAATGAAATGGTGATTTATAAAGTTATTCGAGTGAAATGTGAATGACGCCTTGCCCATAATGAGGTGGGGCATATTAGACCAGATGATATCTAAAACCCTACCCCACACATGGTTGTCATCAAAGCCTAACTCTATATAAATTTGTAAGGTCCAGTGGAGAAGTAATCTGTATAAGACAGTGCTAAATAAAGCGATGCATACATGAGTTACGGTGGCAGACAGTGCTGGATGTTTTGCCCCAATCTGAACCCACACCCTCTTTTCCGTAGTCATCTTTATCCAAGCATGGCCACATGACAGACATTCTACTCACTGAACACACTGAAGTTGCTGGTAAACCTCTTGCTTTTCTGGAAAAGAAAAGTGGCCTACCTAACTAGTAAGCACCTTTTGAAGTTTGTTCTTTTACGTTTACCTTCTTCTATCCTGGAATATGGAAGTGATGTCAAGAAATGAGGTGGCCATTTTGTGACCATGAACTAACAAGTTCTGAGGCACAGTTTGAGAGAATAATAGAAATGTTTCATTTCTCTTGAATACATACCTAGGAGTAGAATTTCAGGATCATTTGGTAACTCTGTGTGATAACCTTTGAGGAACTGCAAAACTGTTCTCCAATGTAGGGGCACCATTTCATAGTCTCCCTAGCAAGGTGTGAGGGCACCAATTTTTCCACATGGTCACCAACACTTACTATTGTCATTTTGATTATAGCCATCCTAGAGGGGGTAAAATGGTCTCTAATTTTGGTTTTGATTAGCATTTCCCTTAATGATGGTGAGCATTATTTAATGTGTTTATTGACCATTTGTATACCTTCATTAGAGAAATGTCTATTCAGATCCCCTGCCCATTTTAAAAATTGGGCTGCCTTTCAATTATTGAGTTGCAACAGTTCTTTATATAGGCTGGATAAAAAATTTATTACTTGTGCTTTTCTTCTTGTATCCAAGAAAATTTTGCCCAATCCAAGATCATGAAACTTTACTCTTTGTGTTTTCTTCTAAGAGGTTTTTTTTTTTTCCTTCAATACTTTTAGTTCTTACATTTAGGTCTATGATCCTTTCTGATTTTTTTTTTTGAGATGGAGTTTCGCTCTTGTTGCCCAGGCTGGAGTGCAATGGTGTGATCTCGGCTCACCACAACCTCCACTTCCCAGGTTCAAGCCATTCTCTTGCCTCAGCCTCCCAAGTATCTGAGATTACAGGCATGCACCACCACACCCGGCTAATCTTGTGTCTTTAGTAGAGATGGGGTTTCTCCATGTTGGTCAGGCTAGTCTTAAACTCCCGACCTCAGGTGATCTACCTGCCTTGGCCTCCCAAAGTGCTGGGATTACAGGTGTGAGCCACCACACTCAGCCCCTTTCTGAATGTTTTTGTGTGGCTAATTGTCCCAGCGGCATTTATTGAAAGGATCATTCTTTCCTCACTGAATTGTTTTGACACTTGTCAAAAGTCAATTGACCATAAATGTCAGGGTTTATCTCTAAATGCTCAGTTTTATTCCACTAATCTACATATCTACCTTTCTATCAGTATCACAATATCTTGATTACTAGAACATTGTAAGTTTTGAAATTAGGAAGTGGGTAGGCAAAAAATTAGGAAGTGGATAGGTAACAAAAAGTAGGAACTTTTTCTTTTCCAAAATTGTTTTCACAATTTTGGATCCCTTGCTTTTGCATAGGAATTTTAGGATCAACTCATCAATTTCTATGAAAAGCCAGCTGAGATTTTGATATGGATCGTGTTGAATCTGTACATTAATTTGGTTAACATTGCCATCTTAACAGTATTGTTCAATGCATGAACATGGAATATCATTTCATTAGGTTTTAAAACATTTCTGGGAGCTGGGCACAGTGGCTCATGCCTGTAATTCTAGCACTTTGTGAGGCTGTGGTGGGGGGGACTGCCTGAGGCCAGGAGTTCAAGACCAGCCTGGGCAACGTAGCTCTAGAAAAGAAAAATCGATAGGGACAGGCGGTAGGGAAATTCTAGGCAGAAAAGTCAGGGTCTGTGGCAAAGCCCCATCCTCCAGTCTAGAACTGCAGCCCAAGGTGAGAACTTTACATCCCCATTTTCCTACCCGAATGTTCCCTTTTCCAAAACCACCCTGGCCCACCCTGCTCCCCTTCCCATACCCATAAAACCCCCGGGCTTCACTGCCAGAGAGCAGAGAAGGGGAGAAGAGAAGTAGCAGCTGAACGTTGAAGATAAGCAGTTTGATTTCAGAGGAATGGCTTGATGGTGAGACTTCAGGGAAAGAATAGCTTCCGGCTCCCTCCCCTTTCCAACTCCCCTTCTTGCTGAGAGCCACTTCCATTGGCAATGAAATCCTCCACATTCACTACACTTCAATTTGTTTGTGTATCCTGATTTTTTCCTGGATGTTGGACAAGAGCTTGGGATACAGAAAGCTCAGGATACAGAAATCTGTCACACTGACCTTCTGCCCTCACAAAAAGGCAGAAGGTCCGTCCACTGAGCTATTAAACACTTAAGCCATCTGTGGACAGCAAAACTAAATGAGCACTGTAACACATGCCCTCTGGGACTTCCAGGGTCATGGGTACTCCCCCTTAGATGCTGCCGTGGGACCTGCACGAAGTTTTTCTCCCATCAGTGCCCGAAAGTGCTCACTCTGACTCCTGCACCTGCTCACCTGCCTGCTCCCCCTCCTGTGAGGGGTTGAGAGCTGCAGGCTGAGTAAGTAAGGCACCCCTGTCACGAGGCCCACAAAGGGGTCAAGGGAAATTTTCTGTTTCAGAATTAGCTGGGCATGGGTACATGTGCCTGTCATCCCAGCCACTTGAGAGGCTGAAGTGGGAGGATCTCTTGATCCTGGGAGGTCAAGGCTGCAGTGAGCCATGATCATGCCACTGCACTCTAGCCTGGGTGTCAGAGTGAGACCATGTCTCTTAAAGATGAAGAAAAATATATTTCTTTTAGCAGTGTTTTCTAGTTTGCAGTCTATGAGTTTTACATTTTTTTTCTTTTTCTTTTTTTTTTGAGACGGAGTCTTGCTCTGTCGCCGAGGCTGGAGTGCAGTGGCGTGATCTCAGCTCACTGCAAACTCTGCCTCCTGGGTTCAAGCCATTCTCCTGCTTCAGCCTCCCGAGTAGCTGGGACTACAGGCGCCTCCCACCACGCCTGGCTAATTTGTTTTGTATTTTTAGTAGAGACGGGGTTTCACCGTGTTAGCCAGGATGGTATCGATCTCCTGACTTCATGATCTGCCTGCCTCAGCCTCCCAAAGTGCTGGGATTACAGGCGTGAGCCACCACGCCCAGCGAGTTTTACATTTCTTCTGTTAAATTGATTCCTAAGTATTTTATTCTTTTGATACTATTGTAAATGGAATTATTTTCTTAATTTAATTTTTGCAACATTCATTTCAAATGTACGGAAATACAATTGGTTTTTTAATATTGGCCTTGTACCCTGCAACCTTGTTGAACTTGTTTATTAATGCTAATAATTTTTAGTGTATTTCATAGGATTTTCTATATATAAGATTATGTCATCTGCACATTGTTTTATCTCTTCCTTTTCAATCTACAATGCCCTTTATTTCTTTTCTTGCCTAATTGCTCTGGCTAGAGCACCCAGTACAATGTTGAATAGAAGTGGAGAGAGCAGATATCCTTGTCTTGTTTCCAATTTTATAGGAAAAACATTTGGCCTTTTACCGTTAAGTACAATATCAGCTGTGGATTTTTTGTAGATGACCTTTATCAGGTTGAATAAACTCCCTCTAATCCTAGTTTGTTCTTATCATGAAACGGTGTTGGACTTTGTCAAATGCTTTTCTGCATCTGTTATTGAGATGATTATGTTTGCCCTTTATTCTGATAATGTAGTATATTACGTTAATTGATTTTTTAGATGTTAAAACAACCTTGTATTCCTAGGGTAAATTCCACTTGGTTATAGTATATATTTCTTTTCTTTTTGTTTTTTTTTTTTTGAGACGGAGTCTCACTCTGTCGCCCTGGCTGGAGTGGAGTGCAGTGGCGCAATCTCGGCTCGCTGCAAGCTCTGCCTCCCGGGTTCACGCCATTCTCCTGCCTCAGCCACCTGAGTGCTGGGACTACAGGCTCCCGCCACCACGCCCGGCTAATATTTTGTATTTTTAGTAGAGACACGGTTTCACTGTGTTAGCCAGGATGGTCTTGATCTCCTGACCTTGTGATCCACCCGCCTCGGCCTCCTAAAGTGCTGGGATTACAGGAGTGAGCCACCGTGCCTGGCAGTGTATATTTCTTTTTATATGTTGCTGAATTATTATGGAAAAAACCTCAGTTTCTTTTGCACCAACCTAATAGATTTGCCAGTACAGTTGTCTGTCAGCATCTGTGGAGGATTTATTTTAGGACTCCCCATGGATACCAACATCTGCAGATGCTCAAGATCCTTATATAAAATGGTATATTATTTGCATATAGCCTACATGCCTCCTTCTGTATACTTTATTTAATTTTTTAACAATTTCAACTTTTAGATTCAGGGAGTACATATGCATGTTTGTTACATGGGTATATTGCACGATGCTGAGGTTTGGGTATGAATGATTCTGTCATTCAGGTAGTGAGCAGGTAGTTTTATAACCCTTGATTCTCTCACCATATCCCCCGCCAGTAGTCCCAGTGTCTGTTTTTCCCATCTTCATCTCCATGTGTACCCAATGTTTAGTTCCCACTTGTAAGTGAGAACATACAATATTTTGTTTTCTGTTCCTGCATTAATTCACTTAGGCTGATGGCCTCCAGCTGCATTCATGTTGCTGCAAAGGACATAATTTCATTCTTTTTTTACGGCTGTGGTATTTATATACCACGTTTTTTTTTTTTTTTTTTTTTTTTTTTTTTACCTAATCTACCACTGATGGGTATTTAGGTTGATTCCATGTCTTTGCTATTGTCAATAGTGCTGTGATGAACATAGGAGTGCATGTGTATTTTTTGTAGAAGGATTTATTTTCCTTTGGGTATATACCCAGTGATGGGATTGCTGGGCTGAATGGTAATTCAGTTTTAAATTCTTTGAGAAATCTTCAGATTGCTTTCCACAATGGCTGAACTCCTACCAGCAGTGTATAAGTGTTCCCTTTTCTCTGCAACCTTACCAGCACCTGTAATTTTTTGACTTTTTAATAATAGCCATTCTGACTGGTGTGAGGTGCTATCTCATTGTGGTTTTGATTTGCTTTTCTCTAATGATTGGTGATGTGAGCATTTTTTTATATGTTTGTTGGCCACTTACATGTCTTCTTTTAAGAAGTGTCTATTCATGTCTTTTGCCTACTTTTTTAATAGGGTTATTTGTTTTTTGCTTGTTGAGTTATTTAAGTTTCTTATAGATTCTGGATATTGGTCCTTCGTCAGATGCTGACATGGTTTGGATTTGTGTCCCCAACCAAATCTCATGTTGAACTGTAATCCCCAGTATTGAGAAGAGGCCTGGTGGGAGGTGATTGGATCATGGAGGCAGATTTCCCCCTTGCTGTTCTTGTGATAGTGAGTTATCATGAGATCTGTTTGTTTCAAAGTGTGTAGCACCTCCCTCTTTGCTCTCTTCCTCTTGCTCTGGCATCTAAGATGTTGCCTGCTTCCCCTTTGCCTTCTGCCATGATTGTGACTTTCCTGAGCCCTCCCCACAGAACCTGTAAGGTCTGCTGAACTATGAGCCAATTAAACCTCTTTTCTTTTAAATTACCCAGCCTGAGGTAGTTCACCATCACCCAGGCTGACTCACTGCATCTTTGACCTCCCCAGAGGGCTCAGGTGACCTTCCTACCTTAACCTTCCAAGTAGCTGGGGCTACAGGCATATGCCACCATGCCTGGCTAATTTTTGTGAGGTTTTTTTTTTTTTTTTTTTTTTTTTTTTTTTTGTAGATATGGGGTTTTGCCATGTTGCCCAGGCTGGTCTCAAACTCCTGGGCTTAAGCAATCTGCCCACCTTGATCTCCCAAAGTGTTGGGATTATAGGCATGAGCCATTGCACCTGGCCTAATTTATATATTTTTTATTGTTGTGTTATTAGTTTAAATTTTTTGGGATATTTTTGATCTGCAATTGGTTGAATCCATGGATGCTGAACCCATGGATATGGAGGGCCACCTGTATTTTGTTGAGGATTTTTGTGTCTGTAGTCATAGGGGATGTTGGTCTGTGGTTTGTTTTCTTGTTATGTCTTTTGTTTTGGTGTCAGGGTAACACTGGCCTCATACAATTGGTGAAAATGTGTTCCCTCCTCTTTTTTGAAGAGTTTGTGAAAGAATAAGTACTAAATCTTTCTTGAGTGTTTGGTAGAATTCATCAGTAAAACCATGTGGGCCTGGGCCTTACTTGTGGGAAGTTGTAAGATTGCTAATTTGATCTCTACTTTCTATAGGTCTATTCAGATTTTCTATCTTTTTTTCAATCAGTTTAGGTAATTGGTGTCCTTCTATGACTTTTCCCCTCTTCTCTAAATTACCTAACTTTTGGCATACAGCTGTTCATAGTATTCCCCTAAAACAAAGAAAAAATTATTTAAGATGGGTAGCAACATCCCTTCTGTCATTCTGATCTTAATAATTTGTGTCTTCTTTTTTTTCTTGACAAGTCTAGCTAAATGTTAATTTTTTAAATCTTTTCAAATAAACAATTTTTGGCTGTCTTGATTTTCTCTATTATTTTATTCTTTGTCTCTAGTCTAGTCTTCATTATTTTATCCACTTATTTACTAGGTTTTAGTTTAGTTTGCTCTTTTTTTTTTTTTTTTTTGGAAACGGAGTTTCTTTCTGTTGCCCAGGCTGGAGTGCAATGGCATGGTCTCGGCTCACTGCAAGCTCTGCCTCCCGGGTTCAAGCCATTCTCCTGCCTCAGCCTCCTGAGTAGCTGGGATTACAGGTGCCCACCACCACATCCGGCTAATTTTTGTATTTTTATTAGAGATGGAGTTTCTTCGTGTTGGGCAGTCTGGTCTCAAACTTCCGACCTCAGATGATCCACCTGCCTCGGCCTCCCAAAGTAGTTTGCTCTTCTTTTTTGGTTTCTTAAATTGAAGCCTAGGTTATTGATTTGAGATCTATCTTATTTTATAATATGAGTAGTTACATCTATAAATTTCTTTCTGAGTACTGCTTTAACAGCATCCTATAAATTTTGGTATGTTGTGCCTTTGTTTTCATTTCTTTCAAAGTAGTTTCTAATTTTCTTTGTGATTTCTTCTTTAGCCTATTGGCTATTTAGGAACATGCTGTTTAATGTCCATATATTTTGAATTTTCCAAATTTCTTTGTTATTGATTTAATCTAATTCCATTATGGTCAGAGAACATACTTTGTATAATTGCAATATTTTAAAATGTATTGAGATTCATTTTATGGCCTAGCATATGGTTTATCTTGGAGAATGTTTCATGTGTACTTGAGAAGAATATGAATTTGGCTGCTATTGGGTAGAGTGTTCATAGGAGTCTGTTAGGTGGTTTATAGTGTTGTTCAAATATTTATCTCCTTGTAGATCTTCTATGCATAAATGAAAATGAGATTTTAAAGATTCCCTTTATTGTTATTGAACTGTCCATTTTTCCCTTTATTTTGTAAAACTGAAGACTGCTTCGTGTATTTTGGGGCTTTGTTGTTAAGCACACATGTTTATTATTGCTACATATTCCTGATGGCTGGGCCCTTTTATCTCCATAAAATATCCCTATTTATCTGCAGTAGCTTTTTTGTTTTTAAAGTCAGTTTGATCTGATATTAAGGTAGCTATTCCATATTGCATCTCTTTTATTGTTGTTGTTTGTATGATGTGTCTTTTTCTGTTATCTTGCTTCAGTCTGTTTGGATCATTGAAATTACATCTACCATTTTGCTTTTTTGTTTTTCTATATGTTTCATGTGTTTTTTTCTGTACTCCTCCACGTGTTCTTTTTAACTATTAGATATTTTCTAGTGTAACATCTTAATTCCATTAAAGACTCAAATTCTGTTTTTTGGGTTATTTTGTATATACTATATGGTTTATAATTATACATCTTATCAGAATCTACTTCAGATTTATTCTGACTTTGTTTCAATGAACTCTAAAAACTTTTCCTAATTTGGAACATGTTCTCCTCCTTTTTGTGCTATTATTATACATATTAAATCTATACATTTTATTAACCCAACACTACATTGTATCTCCTTTAAAGAAACTGAGAGAAGGAGGGATGGCAAGATTATGTTTATAGAGCTTGTTATGTTAATTTTTTTGATTTACTCCTTCTGCTTCTCTTTACTTTGTAATGTAGACTTCATTTACCATCTGATACTATTTTCTTACTCCAATATAAAGTCTTCCTACCTGCCTCCTTTGTGCTGTTATTTTTATGTTACAGGACCAACAATACAATTATATATTTACTACTTGCAGTTGCTTTTAAAATCAGTTAAGACAAGAAAGATGGAATTATATTGTCTTTTGCAATTACCTACATAGTTACCTCTACTGGCATTCAATTTTTTTGTAATTTTGAATTTCTGTCTGACGTCAGTCATTGGCTTTCAGCCTGAAGAACTTCTTTCAGTATTCCTTGTATGGCAGGTCTACTGGCAGCAAATTATTTCAGTTTTTGTTCATCTGGGAATATCTCTTATCTTCATTTTTAAAGTATAGTTTTGCTGGTTATAAGATTCTTGGTTGACAGTTTATACTTTTAGTAACTTGAATGTCATCTTATTGCCTTCTGCCTCCACTGTTTCTCATGAGAAGTCAGGCGTTATCATTTTAAGATTCCCTTGTTCATGAGGAGTTGTTTTTCTCTTGTGCTTTCAATATTTTTTTTTAATCTTTGGGTTTCAATATTTTGATTATATGTCTGGCTTGGACCTCTTTAAGTTGTTCCTACTTAGAGTTGGTTGAGATTCTTTGTGTGTAGGTTAATGTGTTTTTTTGTCAAATTTGAGAAGTTTTCTAAATAATTTGATTTAAAATGTGCAAAGGATCTAAATAGACATTTCTCAAAAGAAGACATGCAACACCCAAAATGCTCAACTCTACTCATCAGCAGGGAAATGCAAATGAAAACCTCAACGAGATAATCATCTCACCCCAGTTACAATGGCTATTACCTGAAAGACCAAAAAATAACAAATGCTGGCAAGGATGTGGAGAAAAGGAAAGTCTTACATACTGTTGGTCAGAATGTAAATTAGTACAGCCATTGTGGAAAACAGCATACAGGTATCTCAAAAAACTAAAAATAGAACTACCATAAAATTTAGCAATCTCACTACTGGGTGTTTATCCAAAAGAAAGGAAATCAGTGTAGCAAAGGGACAGTTGCACCCCTGTGTTTATTGTAGCACTATTCATAATAGTCAAGATATGGAATCAACCTAAATTTCTATCAACAGATTAATGGATAAAGAAAATGTGGCATATATATATACAACAGAATACTCTTCAGCCATAAAAAACAATGAAATCTTGTCATTTGTGGCAACATAGATGAAAGTGGAGGACATTATGTTTAGTGAAATAAGTCATAAAGATAAATACTGCATGCTCTCATAAGTGGGAGCTAAAAGAAAATTGAGCTCATAGAGGTATAGCATAGAATTGTGGTTATTTGAGGTTGGGAAGGGTTGGGGGAGGAGAGAATAGAGAAAGGTTGGATAATGGATACAAGTTACAGGTAGAAAGAAGGAATAAGTTCAAGGGTTCTGTGGCACTGTAAGGTGAGTATGACTAACAATAATTTAACATATATTTCCAGAAAGCTAGAAGAGAGACTTGAATGTTCATAACGGAAATGATAAATGTTTGATGTGATATGCTAATTACCCTGATTCGTTCATTATACATTGTATACATGTATTGGTACATCATTCTGAATCTCATAAATATATACAAGTTTTATATGTCACCTAAAAATGAAAAAAATCAGAACAAAATGTGAGAAATTTTCAGCTATTATTTCTTCAAATATTTTTTCTGTTCTCCTCTCTCACAACTCTCCTTCTGGTAGTCCATGACGTGTATATTGGTGCACTTAGTGGTATCCTACATTTCTCTGAAGTTCTTATTTTTATTCGTTTTTTTCCTCTGCGTATCACATTGCATAATCTCTATTAATATCTCTTCTAGTTTGCACATTTTTTCTTCTTCCAGCCCCTCTCGAGCCCCCCTAGTAATTATTTCATTTTGATTATTGTGTTTTTCAATTCCAGAATTTCCACTTGATTCTTTGTAATGGTTTTTATCTCTTTATTGATAGTCTCCATTTTATGAGTCATTGTCATCTTACCTTACAATTCTTTAAGACTGGTTTCCTGTAATTTTCAAACATATTCATAATAGCTGTTTTGAAGTCTTTGTCTGCATAGTCTACAATCTGGGGCACTTGAAAGCAATTTTTATTTACTGATTTTCTCCCCCTGTGTATGGATCACACTTCCTTGTTTCTTTGCATGTTTCATAATTTTTGGGAGAAGATCAGATAATGGAGCAAATCTGGATATTGACACCTTTTCTTGGGGGTTCTTGCTGTTGTTTACTTGGTCGTTTTTAAAATTTGTTTAGTGACTTTGCTGAAATAATTCTGCAAAGTCTATTTCTCTTGTAGTGTGTATTCTCTGATGGCCTTGCTAAGACTCACCTTTCCTCACCCCTTAAAAAAAAAGTCCTTTAGCCTGGCTACTTAGGATTGCCCTGGTTTACAGTAGATGATTGTTCATTCAGTGTTTGGTCAAAGGTTGTGTTTAAGCCCATGTGCTAGTGAGACTCCCTCCCTAGCTGATGGGTCTGTATGCATTTTGGAGAGTACTTTCAAGTCTGCCTCCTGCCTGTCTCTGATTGCCCCTGAGCTGACGTAGCCTAGGGCATGCACATAATCTTCCCATTCCCCAGAGCTGATGTGATCCTAAGAGACCTATTCTCTTCTTTGGTTCTTTCTATTAAACTTTTTGCTGCTCTGGCAACTTGCTTGTATCATAGAACTATCCGCTTCCTTTCAATGATTCTCCACCAAGGTCTCTGTTTCCAAGGCCCATATCTTAGCACAGGGATCTAGTGGCTGAGATCTTCCTGCCAAATGGGTGACTTTATCTTAAAAAGTATTTTTCACCTCAGCTAGAATCTCCTGTTTGCCTGTTTTCTACTTTGGGCATAACTCTTGCCTTGAGGTTGAGATTGATCATTTCTAATCCATTTTATATGAGAATGGGCAAATTCCCTCAATTTTGAGTGCCTTGAATCTGCTACTGTCTCTGCTTTATTCCACTCATCTTGTGTGGATGTTTTGATGTTTACTCATTGCCTGGACTTCCCAGACACCTGCGTCACTCTGTCCTACTCTTCTGTCATTGTCTTGTTGCGTGGAATTGTACTTAAATCTTAATTTGTGTCTGTTTAAAATCTTATGCCCTGATATGGTTTGGCTGTGTCCCCATCCAAATCTCATCTTGAATTTCCATATGTTGTAGGAGGGGGCCAGTGGGAGGTAATTAAATTATGGAGGCAGGTCTTTCCTGTGCTCTCCTCGTGGTAGTGAATGAGCCTCACGGGATCTGATGGTTTTAAAAATGGGAGTTCCCTGCACAAACTTTCTGTATGCTTCCTGCCATCCATGTAAGACATGACTTGCTTCTCCTTGTCTTCCACCATGATTGTGAGTCTTCCCCAGTCACGTGGAACTGTAAGTCCAATTCAACCTCTTTCTTTTGTAAATTGCCTGGTCTCAGGTATGTCTTTATCAGCAGCATGAAAATGGACTAATACATGTCCATTCAAGTTTTCTGAGGATTTTTGAGGTCTTACACTCAGTGTTAATTCTCAAAATTTCCGGGGCACCTCAGTCTAGTTTCTACCCTTTTCCTACCTCCACTTTGCTTATTTGCCAGACATTGTTTCTCTCCTTTCATTCTACATCACCAGAAAAACATGGCTGCTGTGTGTGGCAGACTTAGTCAAGGTTTGAGGGTCAGGGAGAGTGATTACATTGCACAGTGAGGAATAGTTGGAATTCTAGACTAACATTCACTCTTTATAAATGTTCCCAGATTGCCTGAGGATTTGTCACCAGCTTTTTCACCATAAGCCCAGCTATGTTGCTGGCTTGCTGCTGCTCACTGTCTCTTTCTTTATCAATTCCTTCATTTGTATTTTTTTCTTTTCTCCATTCCAGGGTTCCCAAAGAGGGAGAGAGGCCTCTCTCTCAGTTCTTTTTTTCCTTCCTGAGTGTTGATTTTTAAAAATCGTGGTAAAATATAGCTAACAAAAAATGTACAATGTTAACTGTTGTGTGTGTGTGTTTTTTTTTTTTTTTTTTTTTTTTTTGAGTTGGAGTTTTGCTCTCTTTGCCCAGCCTAGAGTGCAATGGCGCAATCTCGGCTCACCACAACCTCTACCTCCTGGGTTCAAGTAATTCTCCTGCCTCAGCCTCCTGAGTAGCTGGGATTACAGGCATGCGCCACCGCGCCCAGCTAATTTTGTATTTTTAGTAGAGACGGGGTTTCTCCATGTTTGTCAGGCTGGTCTCGAACTCCCATTCCTCGGGTGATCCGCCAACCTCGGCCTCTCAAAATGCTGGGATTACAGGCATGAGCCACCGCGCCCGGCCCGTTAACTGTTTTTAAGGGTACAATTCTGTGACAATAAGTATATTCATCATGTTAGGCAACCATAACCAGTATCCAGCTTTTCTACCATTCCAAGCAAAAATTTCACACCCATTAAACAGTAACTCCTCATTCTCCCCATCTTCTGCCCCTGGTTAACCACTGTTATATTTTCTATCTCTACGAATTTGCCTGTTCTAGGTATCTGATCCTAGAATTGTATAATATCCTTTTGTGCCTGGCTTATTTCACGTAGCATAATGTTTTCAAGTTTTATCCATGTTGTAGTACATGTACATGATTTAAAATAGGCAAAGGATCTAAACAGACATTTCTCAAAAGAAGACGCGCAAACACCCAAAATGCTCAACTCTACTCATCATCAGGGAAATGCAAATCAAAACCTCAGCGAGACAATCATCTCACCCCAGTCAGAATGGCTATAATCTGAAAGACGAAAAAATAATAAATGCTGGCAAGGATCTGTTATAATTGAACGTATACGCCACATTTTGTTTACTTATTGTTGATGGACATTTGGGTTGTTTCTACCTTTTGGCTGTTGTGAATAATGTTGCTATGAACATTAGCATAAAATTATCTGTTTGAGTTCCTGTTTTCAATTATTTTGGGTATATACCTAGAAGCAGAATTACTGGATCCTATGGCATTTCTGCGTTTAACTTTGTAGGGAACTACTGTTTTCCACAGTGGCTGTGCCATTTTACCTTCCCATCTGCAATGTACAAGGGTTCCAATCTTGTTACATCATCACCAACATTTGTTGTTTTCCATTCTTTTGATGCCATCCTAATAAGTGTGAAATATCCAGCCCACTTTTAATCACCCTTCCCTTTCAAACTGCCAGGCAATAAATGAAGAATGAAGATTCTTTTTACTTTATGATGTAGAGCAAACTCTCTGAGAGAATAGGGAGAAGCTATGCATTATAAATTTGTCTACTTTTTAATTGTGAAATACTTCTAATATGCCAAAATGTTTAAGGGATCATAAACTCATGTTTTAAAATGAGATTTCTCAGAGCTTATCATTTTGCCATATTTGTTTCATATTTTGTCTTTTATAGTTCTCTTTGCCTTAGTGGACTTTGCATTTCATCAATGGTGTCTATAAGCTGAATGAGACAATTAGAATATTTATTCCCTGCCCTAGGCAGGGCATTTTCCACATTCAGAATGAAGCTTTTCTTTATATGTTCGCAGACCCATTTGCAAAAAAGTCTTTCCACATTTCCCAAGTTGCTTTAAAAATACCCTTGTTATAGTCGTCTTCTAAGAGGTACACCTCAGAAGCTCCATTTCTTTCACACGAGAAAACTAAAGTTTAGAAAAGAATAGAGGAAACATTTGAATCAGCAGATGGAAAATATGAGGATTAACCCATTGATGCCTGAGGTTGCAATTTTTTGAATTTTTGCAATCAGACTTTGGAAATGACCTTGAGCAGTAGGATATAAATAACTCCCACATGCTTAGTGTTCCAATAATGGAAGACTAGGATAAATGGGGAGATGTTATGCTAATCTTTTGTACACTAATACACGAGTTCCAGGAAATCTTGCTGCCATCATCTTTGGCATTGAATGAATTGTTATGAGATGGAATCTCTTTACATGACTGAGAAAGTTCTAGTACTTGTAGGTGCTTAAACTCACAGGAAGGTCAGAGTAGCAGAATGTGAGGAGGTGCAAATGAATGCAGGGGAGGGCTGGAGACACCAGGGTTCATGGCGTCTCTGGGAAAGGTGACACCCTACAATATTCGGAAAGAAATACAACGTTTGGGTTTAAAGATGATGCCAAAATTCTAGAAAGAATAGAAAGACTTAAGACAATAATGGTCACTGAAAAAAATAAAAAATGTACATTAAACTTTTTTCCAGCTAAGGACATTAACAATACATCATATTTAATGCTTTGTGGCTTATAAATATATTCATGATTTCATGTGATTATGATGATTACCCTGAAAAACATCTTTTTCTGAGTCTCATTTTGTAGATTTACAAAAAAGGAAAGGACACTATTTTTATTGCTCAGTCGCTATATGCTGGCCATGTTATAAAATTTATTTCTTGAACCGTCACAATGACCATGTAAGTATATTTTATTATTGCCACTTTATGGCTGAGGAGGCTGGTATCACAGGTGCTAAGTGGCCAGCCCAGGGGCATACAGAGAAAAGCAGAGCAGAGTCTCCGATTTAGCACTCTTGCTACCATCAATGTTAACTTCTGGAAATTCTTAATCTGAAACCATAAATTTGTGCTGTCCAGTATGGTGTCCCATTAGCCACATATGGCTGTTTAAATTTGCTGATTAAGTTGAAATGAAATTCAAAAATCATTTCCTTGGTCACGTTGGTAGTAGCGAATCCATATGTAGCAACTCGAATCTTGCCTCCTTGAAGGAAAGAATTTGTCCGAGGGGTGTAAGGCAGAGTGACAGATCAAGCCAAGTTTGAGCAGGAGTGAGAGTTTATTAAAAAGTTTTAGAGCAGGAACAAAAGGAAGTAATGTACACTTGGAGGAGGGCCAGGCAGGCAACTTGAGAGATCCAAGTGTGCTGTTCAGTACTTGACATGGGTGTTTTTTTTTGTTGGTTTGTTTTTTTTGAGATGGACTTTCGCTCTTGTTGCCCAGGCTGGAGTGCAGTGGCGCAATCTCGGCTCACCGCGACCTCCGCCTCCCGGGTACAAGCGATTCTCCTGCCTCAGCCTCCTGAGTAGCTGGGATTACAGAAATGCACCACCACGCCCAAAGAATTTTGTATTTTTAGCAGAGACAGGGTTTCTCCAGGTTGCTCAGGCTGTCTCCAATTCCCGACCTCAGGTGATCCGCCCACCTCGGCCTCCCAAAGTGCTGGGATTTTTATACATTGGCATGATCCCCAGGTTTGTATCTCTTCTCCTCTGATTCTTCCCTTTGGGTGGACTGTTCGCACACACAGGGGCCTGCTGGCACGTGGGAGGGGAGCATGCGCAGTGTGTTTACCCAGGTCATGTACGTGTTCGTTTGGGGCATTTTTCCCTGACCAGTTGAGTGTTCCTAGAGGTAGATCTTATACCAGTTAAACTCTGCCATTTTTCCTCTTAGTGCGCATGCTTAAGCCCACTCACCCATCTCCTGAGATCTTATCTGGAGGTTGCTGATCAGCAGCTTCAGGTGTTTTCTTTTTCTGTCTGTCTATCTATCTATCTATCTATCTATCTATCTATCTATCTATCTATCTGGAGACTGCCTTTCCTTGTTGCTGGCTGTGACCAATTATTATTTTAGAGAGACAGCTTAACAACTGCCTGACCATCTCCTGATGGTCACTTGACGTTCCTGGGGGTGAGGGAGGCTCTCTCCTGCACTGCTCAAGTCTGCCTAACTGCTTTCTCTAACAGTCACCCTAGCCACATTTCAGGTGCTCGATAGCCACCTGCAGCTGGTGGCAGCCATGCTGGATAGTGGAGCTGTGAAGCGTTTCGGTCATTGCAGAGGTTGTGTTGAACAGGGCAGCTAGACAGCCTGTGTCCAGTGTCTAATACCTTTGTTACCTGTGCATTTGCCAAAGAATGAAAAAAAGGAATCAAGAAAATGAGGTAGTGGAACAGAAAGCAATACCAATGAATCCAGTACTTCAACATGTGGGAGGAGGTAGCAAATTATTGAGTGTGTGTAAATCAGGGAATAAGGAAACAAAGGAAAGACCTCTTCATCTCAGCACATGGAAAGCAGCAGAAGGAGGTTGTGGGGAGGATGTATTGGTAAACGTGGTAGTTAGGGAATAAGTATTTGAGTGTCCCTAGGATGCTTAGTTCTATACTAGGTGCTTGAGGGTACATATTAAAAATAGACATGGTCTAGTGCACGGTTTGTGGATCCTATGATGTTTCAGAACTCCCAGAAAAGCAGCTGACAATGTATTGTAGAACCATGCAGATAAAAACCATTCATACCGTCAACAGTCATACAGAATATTGGCTATTATTTTCTTCCTTAACAAATGTGGGAGATAGTTTGCCTCAGGCAAAATAGTATTTCACACATGGTTTCCCCAAAGCCATGTGCATATTGAGAGCTCTTCTCAAAATGTTTGCATTTGTTCCTCCAAAAAGAAATTTGCATGACGTTTTAGAATTGCATTCTGTCTAGAAAGCAAATCCTGGCTTTTTATATTTAAATTCAAAGCTTTCTGATGTAAAATCTGCCAGAAAAATTTATGTTCCAAATTAGCTGCTTCTTTGAGCACAGCGGACTTTTTGTTTTTTTTTTTTTTTTGACCATTGAAATAATTTTTGGGAAAAACTTTTAACATCATGTTACCCTCTTTCTTGGTTGAGAAGACCATTGATGGTGACTCAAGGATCTGCCTAGTTTTCTACGTACAGAAAATTGAACCTGGATTCCATTTTGATGGGACTGCCAGGAGACATAGATGTGTGCTGGCCACTTGATGTCACAGTTGTTCTACATAAAGTCCATTAATACAGTATTTGACAGCACTAGGGGGGAGAAATCTAGACTCAAGACAGTTGATAAAGTAATGAGTAAAGATGGGTGAATTACTCAGGTTGAATGAAAACTCCTGGTAAAATTCCTCAAATTCACCTTCCAAATTGACTTCATTGAACATCATCAATGAATACCAATAGTTGTGAGCTCTGTGCTTGTGCTTGACCTTAAACATTGGTATTTGTAAAAGGAAATTAGATCCTCAGTAGCCTCCTCTTTGAATAGATACAAAAGTTTTTATGTTAGCTACGCGTCGTTTTCAATAACATGTTAATATACAATTGGAACTGAAGTTGGAAAGTCCAGTTAATATGCAGGGCAAACAAAAGCACCCTTTTGATATAGCAATTGACATGGTTGACGTGGCAATCATACCTATTTCTACCTGAAAAGGTTAGGCTTCCTTTTGCTATAGATTGAAGGTCAAGGAGAAAGTATTTGCTTAGCCCTTTGACACTGAAGTGGACTAACACCTAAAGCATCCAGGGTAAATAATTGTATCTCTCATCCTTGTTTTCAGAGTTGGAGCCAGTACAGCCTTCCTTAAAAAGAGGTATCAGATTTATTTGTGTCTTGCAGCCATGAGTCTTTGAATTTTTCACTTTTGGGACCAATTTCTCTTGTTCAATGGACTCAACATCCCTTCCTTGAAAATGCTACAGCAAGTTAAAAATTCTAGTTCTAGTTTTATTTTGTTTTTCCATACTCTCCATTGTAGAATACCTACCATGATTAATTCTAATGTGGCTAGACTCAAGCAACAGTTATGATCTGGTGGCAGAGATCATAACTGACTGTCAGAGATCTTAACTCACTTCTGAATAGCTATGCAGGGAGGCAGAACCAGTGGTACGGCTACCTGGTGTGGGTGTGGCAGATGGTTGCCGTAATATTCCTGCCTCCCATTATCATACCCATACTGGCTCTGGATTTAACTGTGTGTCTTGCTTTGTTCAATGGTGTGACAGCAAATGTGACATAGGCAGAGGCTTGTAAAGTGCTTAGACGTTTAAGCTTTTCCCTCTCTGAATGCTCTTTGGAACTCTGAGGCCACCATGCAAAGAAGCCCAGGCTGGAGGATGAGAGACCAGGTGAAGCAGAGACCAGCAATCTCAGCTGGGGTCCCAAGCTGCAACCACCAGACATATGAGTGAGACCATTAGGGCTCAGCTGATTCACCAGCTCACTCCAAAGCTCAGTCAAGCTGGGCTAAGGTAGCTACATCACCTTGCTAACCTATAGAACATCCAGTGAAACACCTTTTGGTTTTATTGATCTAATTTTTTTAAAAAATATTAGCAAATTTCTGCATTTATCTGTATTGTTTCTGTCTACTTTATTTGGCTTTTTCTTTTTCTACTTTCTTAAACTGGATGCTTATCTTATTAATTTTCAGTCTTTTAAAGAAGTTGAGAAGCCTTGCTTGAGAGGTAGAATTAACGGGATTTGGTGGTGGATTGGACGTGGGGAGTAAGGAAGTCAGTGGTGTCACAAACATCTGCTAGGTTTTGGAATACATTTAGATTGGCTTTTTTGTTGCTCTAAATACCCCAAATGGGTTGATCTCATTTGTGTCAGTTCAAGTTTAACAGAGGTCTTTGAATTCTCCAGATGGTATCATAGCTTTTGCTGTATTTTTGTGAGAGGAGCATAAAGATTGTACTGGTCTGACAGGATTATTTGAGAATTAAATGAGATAATATGAAACATTTGACATGCATGCTAAGTGATAGCTGTTATAAGTTACTACTATTGTTGCTATTATTATTCAGACATAGTGCAGATCCCAGGATGGACATTCTTACCAAAAACCATGATGAACCTGGCAGGATCTCCTACCAAGACAGGAACCACACACTCAGTGCTGGGTTCTCTGAAATGAGTCCTCGGCCGACGTCCAGCTTGCCAGACTCATTTGCCTTTGATTCATTGCCTTGATTGTATTTTATGTTTAAACCACATCCTCATCCTAGTCATTAGATCTTGTTCCTTGATATCACTGCATGCTGGTTCTTCATGATCTCTTTCTGTTCAGAACATGAAGAAATTCAGGTACCGTGGGGGCGTGGACTCAGTAATCACATGAAATTGTAAGTCTATATTCTGCATTATTAAGCTTCTCAAGACTGGATTTCTCTTAAATTTCCCAAGTCATTTAAACGTGAAATGAATGCTTAAAACAAGAAAAAAAAAAACCACGTCTTTATTTCCAGTGGACAGGGTTTGGCCATCCCTCCCATCCTATCCAGTTAGGAACTGGGGGGTCTCTGGAACAAAGGCGGGGTGTTGATCCCTGTCCTCCACATTGACGGCACTGGCCGCTTTGTCCGGAGCAGCTTTCTTGGCTCTTTGTTCTTGAATTCAATTTCTCTTCAATTTTGTTAAATTGTGATACAAAGTTACTCTTCTTTCTATTGTAAGAAACTATTTCCCTTTTCCCTTGTGCACTCTGTCAGTAATTACAATTCTTTATTTCCACACATTGTGCAAGCATGAGGTCTGGTATCTGTACTCATGCTTGGCGCTTTTTATTAGCTCCTGCTTTGCTTGCAACAGGAATGGCCTTCATTCTCTGTGCGGTAGATGGAAGGTATGCCTCGCTTCAGGCCTGATGACTGCAGGCGCATATTGGATGCTGCTGGGTGCCCTGTTGGTGCCCAACAAGTAAGCTCCAGTGCTGATGAGAATGTGCAGGCCAGCAGAGAGCCATCCATCACCTCCCTCTGTCGTGGTGTTGAAGCTGAGTGACGGTGGTACAGGAGGCACATTCGTGCCATCAGCCTGGTGGTTTGGGTAGTGTAGTAAGCAAAGACTACATTCGTTAAATCTTGATGAGTGTGAAATACCACTACACCCCACTTTTGGTTATTGCATCTGATTATTGCTGGCCAAAAGAACACAGCTCATCCATTCTGTTCTAGAATTCTGGCTTGGTTTGTACGTCCTTTATATATCACAGGAAACATGGTTGAAAGGGACTCCTTCACTACGCAGCATCACTAAAGGCCTTTCTGGTCACATGGCACTTGTGATACATGCTCTTTGTCGATGAGGAAAATAACCTTGCCTCAAGTAGGATCTTTCTCTTGTCAGAGCAAAGTTGAAATGCAGAAGTAATCAGTGATTTATTTTATATCTTTGGGTCACGAGCAGCAAACCAACCACCAGATGATGAAAGGGGACACTGAACATTAAAAAGAAAAAAAAAAAAGTCTGTGCCTGCATATGGCCTCCTGCCATTTTGAACTGGAGAAGCACAGAATTGAGATTATTTTCCTGGTTTTGCAAATTTCTTCACCTTTTGCTGCTCCCTTGATAGAAACTATAAATCGTCTTAAATTAAATAAGGTGGCTGATTTCATTCCATTTCTAAAAAAAATTTAGGTTTTGCACTTTACCACTTAAAAGCGCTCTGCATGTCACTCACACAAAGCATTTTGAGTTGAATGGGAACTACTAAGAACTCTGTTTTTTAACAGAGAAGATCGTGTTCTATCATAACAGTAACTGCTGCCACTGAAGTAATTTCGAGATGACATAGTCAGCTTTCAGTCTCAGGTGCCACAAATACAAGAGCCTTATTCTCCAAGTGCTTTAAGGAAAAACTGTGATTACAGTCTCTTCCATGGCTGCCTTGATTCAGAACCTGAAATTCTTTAAAAGCACCTTCCAGATTTGCACGGCGGAGGGAAATTTCATCTGGGCAGTTCTGTGCAGGATCTGGGAGGGGTGCTAATGGGGAGGGAGGCTGGGAGCACAGATTCTTACAGTTGGAAGAAATAACTACTTAAAGCAAACATTAATGATTTAAAATGTTATTCCTTCTGTGCTTTTAGAAAAAAAAAATAAAATTAAAGTAATAAAGGCTCACAGCCTGTGCCTCATCTCCAGTCACTCTGCTGAAATTCCCAAGGGGGTCTCAGCTCCCCTCTCCTCTCTAAAAATGGTGGACCTGGAACCACTTACAGCAGAGGTTTAATAAGAGGCAAATGTGTTTTATATTTTGTATCTTGTTAAGTGAAAAAAGATGGATTCTCTCAAGTACTCTCTTGGTGCAGATTTGAGTGGTCTGTTCACGTAAGCGTGGGGATGCTTCACCAGCCGGCATCCCTGTTCTAGTCCCCCCTGGCTACTTAAAATCCCCCCTCCCGTGCTAGCACCCCCCCACCCCAGAGCCAGCAGAGATGAAATTGCTTCATTTAGAGAATAAATCTGCAGATCCAGGAAACTTGTTTCTATCTGATTTGCTGATAATTTACTCCTCATTTGATTTGGTGGGGGGAAGGAAAAGGGGAAGGAAAAACGCTGTCTGAGCTCACCTACCCTTCCTCAAAGAAAGAGGGATTGCTGTACAGGCTGGAGAAAAGTCATGATTGAAAGCAGCTGAAAAAAATGAAAGATTTATGCAAAGGTTGCACATTTATTAGAGGAAAAAGAGGGAAAACTTTGCACCTGTGATGGAGTGACCCTCCCCTGTCCAGAAAAAAAATCTTCACTTCAAGTAGCTCATTGGGAACTGGGCAAGGGAGAATGATTTAAAAAATGTATTTTATCTTGGATATATAATTTTACAATGAGACACGTTCCCTTTCTGGTAATTTTTTTTTTATGACCTTTGGGTGCCAGATAGCGCCATTCCTGCTGTCTGCTTTCACTATTCAGCGTTGAGGAAGCCCATTATATCTGTCTTTGATCCACAGATCGGGATTGCTAAAACTGATGGCCACAATTAAAGACAGTCCTGTTGAAAACCTGACCTCTGTCTGCTCTCAACTGCATGTAAACTTTTCAATATGGATGTAATTTGGTATTAAATTACCCATGCTTTATTGCTTTTTAGTACAGCCCTGTATGTTGCCTTTTAAAGATAAAGGTAACATAAAAGAAAAATTGTGGTGTGTCTGCAAAATTATGTAATTATAAACTTGTTTTCCTACATTCAGAAAACCTTTGTGTGTGTATGCATCTATTGAAAAGTAATAGGCTGGTAGGATTGGAGAAGAAGCCTTTATATTTTTTCCCCCTGATCTGTTCAACTTAGACATAGGCTGTGCAAGCTAGGTCACTGTATTTAACTGTTCTCATCTTGGCTTTCAGAGGGTATTCTTGATTAAGAAGTGAGGTAGGTTTGTAAGATGTTGCTAAGCTTATTCTCTAGAATTGGCTAAATCAGGATGGAGTTTATGCCAAGGCTCTGAGGCAAAACCGACCTGTTCTTCCAAAGGTTGGGCCCATCATAGCCACATGGTGACGTCCCAAATGTCTGGAATGAGCTCTTGGATTATTTCAACCTTATTATGCTTGAAATTGAAAATGATGTCTGTCATTTTCACTTCTAACATTCATGTTGGTGGCTAATTCTGCTGAGGGAGGAACCCCAGAGGAAGCTAGAGAGACAGGAGCAGATTCCCTTTGACATGACAGAGCTGCCTATGCCTCTCAGTTCTACCAGCTACCGCTCTGTGTCTTCAGCCTCGAAGAGCATAAGCTATCATTAGAATTTGATGTGAATTTCTAGAATGGCATTTGCTGAATAGAGACAGAAGATCTCTTAGGAGGAATAGTTAAAATCACAATCCCATCATAAAACTTGGAGGAAGAAACACTCCGTAAACGTGCAGTAATTCCGTGTGCAAGTGGAAAGTTTTGAGCTTGCTTCCTCTTCTTGTTAAATATTCCATGGCAACGTTTTCTAGAAGATCTATGTGAAATGCCAAGCAGATAAAAAGCGGATACCAGAACAATTGACCCAAGGGAAGCCAAGTAAGTGGCTCTAGATACCTTAAAACATAA
This sequence comes from Homo sapiens, assembly GCF_000001405.40. Taxonomy (NCBI): domain Eukaryota; kingdom Metazoa; phylum Chordata; class Mammalia; order Primates; family Hominidae; genus Homo; species Homo sapiens. The sequence goes on along the minus strand of NC_000016.10, from coordinate 73,970,610 downwards.
GAAAGCAAAGGTTTCAAGTTGCGGGGGAAAGCCTCTGCAGAACTGAGGCCAGCCCATCTCACCTTCCTTGCCGGAACCACCGTGGAGTTGTGTGTCTGGCTTGCAGCTCCGCTGGCCTGATCCTCTGAGCACGCTGGAGAATTGTGGCCTGACCCATGTTATAATTCATCGGGTTGCTCTGTAACAATTGCATTTCATGGAAAACATAGGCCACGTGCAATTTTATCGGCTCTCATGTAAAGAGGTAATTCCAGAATATCGAGGAAATATTGAAAAGAGATTCCACGCTAGATTGTGATTTTTTGAGACAAGGTCTTGCTCTGTCGTCCAGGCTGGAGTGCAGTGATGCAATCATAGCTCATTACAACCTCAAACTCCTGGGATCAAGTGATCCTCTTGCCTCAGCTGTCCATGTAGCTATGACTACAGGCACACTCCATCATGCCTAGTCATTTTTTTTTTTTTTTTTGAGAGATGGGCTCTTGCTATGTTGCCCAGGTCCAGGTTGGTCTCAAACTCCTGGGTTCAAGTGATCCTCTCACCTTGGCCTCCCAAAGTGCTTGGATTATAGGCATGAGCCACTCTGCCAGGCCCCATTCTAGATTTAATCCCACCTCTCTCAGCATAGATTGCCTTAGGGACTGAAACCAAAGAGAAGGCTCAGCTCCAGGGAATTTCTCGCCAAGCTACAGTTTGAACAGGGCTCATTCTTTTTTCTTTTGTATCGTCTTTTCTCCGATGTATTTAGTAGGAATGATGAGATGGCCAGTGCATTAGATACAGTGGGGGTGAAGGGTCAGAAAAGGGGCTAGATCTGAGCTTCCCAAGGTGGTTGTCACTAGCCCCGTGTGGCTACTGATATTTAAATTAATTAAAAGTATCAAACTTCCAGTCCCTTAGTCACACCTCCTGTATTTCAGGTGGTCAATAGCCACACGGTGCTGGCGGCACCCATCTTAGACATTGCAAATATGGAATATTTCTGTTATTGCAGGAAACTCTTGAGCAGCACTGGGTTAGACTCGGAATCTCTGCCCCACTCTCACTTTGGCCAAATCACTCCACTTAACTTTATTCATCTGTAAAGTGAATAATAATAATGATAGTACTAATAATAGTACTACTAATAGTACCTTCTTCTTGAGGCAATTGTTGGGATAGTTGAATGAGAGAATGCATGTAGAGCGCTTGGTAGAATGACTAGAATACTGCTGCCCAGTAGAACTTTCTGCTGTGATGGAATGGAAATGTCTTATATCTGCATTGCGCATATGGTTGCCACAAGCCACATGTGACTATTGAGCACTTAAGATGTGGCCGATGTGATTGAGAAACTAAAGTTTTAATTTTGTTTACTTTTAATTAATAGAAAATTAAATTTAGGGCAGGTATGGTGGCTCATGCCTGTAATCCCAGCACTTTGGGAGGCCAAGGTGGGAAGATTGCTTGAGGCCGGGAGTCTGAAACCAGGTTGGACAACATAGTGAGACCTTTGTCTCTACAAATAATAATAATAAATTAGCCAGGCATGGTGGCACATGTCTGTGGTCCCAGCTACTCGGGAAGTTGAGGTGGGAGGATCGCTTGAGTCCATCCAGGTGGTTGAGGTTACAGTGAGCTGTGATTGTATCACTGCACTCCAGCCTGGCTGATAGAGTAAGACCTTTTCTCAAAAAATAAAAAAATTTAAAAAAGAAATTTAAATATCCATGTGGGGCTGTGAATACTGTCCTGGGCAGTGCAGGTTTAAAACAGAGCACTTGCTGCATTAACATTAGATTTTGTTCCTGTGGATTCTTTCGGCAACCTGCAAAAGGTGGATAATGATACATCACAGGTTTTTTTTGAGGTTTCTGTAAGAGAATGTTCACAAAAGCACTAAATAGTTTCTAGTTATTAAGATATTTTTGTTACAGTGTGTTAAATTTTCTTGCAAATCTAAGGCCTGTGGAAACAGAAAAGTTATGAATAGGAATCACAAGGTATTATGAAATAATAAAGGGTCAAATAATATAGCTATGTTTAAATGCTCCAGTAAGTTTGAATTCTAAGAATGTTAAAACGTATGAGTTCAGAAGACTAGTGACAGGCTCATCCTTTTTTTGGTCTCCTTAATGTTGTGTTACCATTCATATATGGGCTAAATCTGATATTTTAACAATGGGCTTTGGGTCAGCTGAGTTGCTTTTTAGTACTGAATATTTGAATCTGGCAGTATTGACGCTTATTTTTGCAGACAGTCGTAGGTTTAGCCACAGAATCCTCTTTTTAAATGCAGGTACTTGAAGCTGTGCAATGGAAGGGAGACCCTATCATACTAAAATAAAGGGTTTTAGCCAAATCTGCAAAGCAGGCAGATTTGCTTGTGATTTCCTTACTTGTAGAATTAGTTTGGAGCAGTGTCTACAAAATTGCACTAGTGTTTGACTGTGTATACGCTTGTGTTGTTCGGTGGGGATTTGTTGTGCTGTTGCAACTAAATCATAAGCTCCTTGAAGACAAAACCCAAGTCTTATACTCACCCCACATCTAACACAATGCTGTTGGTAGATATTCTATAAATACTTGTTGACTTACTGTTGATTTTTCTCTGTTGCCTTTTTTTAAAAATAACACCTCATTTTATTATGTAGTTGTGATACAGTGAATATAGTAAGGCCCTCTGTGACAATGAATAATGATTCTGCATTTATTTATATTAATAAAATCTCTGGAGGCTTTGCCACGGTGTCCCAACAACTAACAGGAAGCCCTAATTTTAGGAAAATCAGATAGCTTGGGTCATCAGCATTGCCTCTAACAACTCTTTAAATCTTCACTTATTTGATCACTACACCTTTTCATTTTAGGAAAAAGATTCCATTTTGTCCTGAAACATTTGGTAAAAATTACAGTGTCTATTTAAAAAAAATCATTATCAATTAAAATTAAGCTTGTAAGAGAGGCTGCAGTTTGGGATAACTTTAAAGATCCAGTTTTGTAAAAGATCTGAGGATAATGTAGCTCCTCCTGCTAAAATATTCCACCAAATTTCTTGGTCCATGTCCATTTTAGCGTTTCTTTGCTTAAAAAAATGTTTTGGAAATTCACCAGAAAAGCCAGTTGTAAGAGATGTGTGCCTACTCAAATAGACTTGACCTCAGCCTAGAATTTTAGAGTTGAAAGGAACCTTGGAGCCCAAATGGTCTGGTACTACAGAGGTTAATTAACTAACACACGATGACACACAGCCAAGATCAGGTTCAATTCAACTCTGAAGGGCCCTCTTTACTTGCCAGTGTAGACACAAGACATGATTCACTTACATAAAAATGCATCATGAGCTCAGTGCTAGTTTAACCCCAATTGTTACAGTTGTGCTACCTTGTGGGCCCTCTGCTACATTTTTATTAATCCCTAACTCCTCATTGAGATTACTTTATTTAAATGTCATCACCCAGCTCTAAAATATGCTTTCAAAATAACCGTAGTGGCCATGGGATACAAAGTAGTGGGAGAAAAAAAGGAAGCAGTAGAAGCCAACTGCTGTTTGATATGTAGACACGTTTCAGTCCCCCGGGACCCTGGTGGTGGGACTGAGTCAGGCTTTACAACCAGGCCTGGACATCCCAGCTGTGCGCAGCATTCAGAGGGGGACTGCCATCGCCACTGGCAGGGTTGTGCCTTGGAGGCATTTGGGTCATTGGTGGAGTAGGATCAGAGGAAAGGTATAAAAAGTGAGATGAAGCAAAGGGGTCTATAAACTAAAGTCTTATGATACAAGGTGGGGTGGCGGAGGCTCCTGGCATTACAGAGAAGATCAGAGTGAGTTAATAAGTTTGGGGTGCTGGCGACTGAAACCAGATCACTGGTGCCTGCCAGCTGGAGAGGGGTGTTATCCCAGGTGGATGGCGACCTGGTCAGCTCTATTACAGCGTGTGCCTTAGTATTCATTTCTCTCCACTCCTGTTCACTTTTTTCAATCCTTTATCAAAAGACAATGAAGGGTTGGCCTTTTCTCTCCCATGCTGATATAGGTAAAGGCACAGAGTGATGGTGCCAGCCTTAATTCCCCAAAGAAAAGGAGATCCAGATTTATGTGAATACCTTTAGTTCTGAAACAAGAAAAGATAAAACGAGTTGCATTCATGTATTCATGAAGCAGGCAGCATGTGTACTGGCGAATTCTGTACAAATTCACATATTATTCCATCCCTCTTATTTCTGAAGGCCCTGTGTTCATTTCCCCTCAATAACATGAAAGCCATTTTAGCACGACTGAATTTCAGATTTAAAACGAGGTATGCACAGTGCAAAACTGTCTTTTTTGTGTGTGTTTGTGTGCAAAAAGTTGATTAAAAGATCAGCGTGATTCCACTGGGAACAAAAGATTTTTTTCTGATTTATGAGATTTTTCTATCAGTAAAACTAAAGGATATCTTCCAGCTAGGAGAATCATGGTCACGGGTCAGTATTTTGACATCTTGATAAAGATGGTGAGCTGTGACAAGCAGCCAATTTTCCTTTCTTGGTTTGTATCACTTGGCTTGCCTGTCCGTTGAATCGTGTTCTATCTTTGATAGCTGGAAGGACAACTTTAATGGGGACTGGGGAAGAACTGGGTCTAGAACAGTGGTCCTCAAAGGTTTGTTTGTCCGCAAATTACTCAGGGGACTTGTTAAAATAGAAGAAGGTTGTGATTCAGTGGTTCTGGACTACAGCCCAGGAATCTGCAATTTATATACATAGCCCAGGTGATTCTGATCTATGGCCACACTTGGGGGGGTATTGGTCTAGGACAAGGGTGGGGAAACTACCGCCTATGGGCCAAATCTAGCCCATTGCCCATTTTTGCAAATAAAGTTTTATTGAAACAGTTGTCTTCATTCGTCTTTGTGTTGTCTGTGGCTACTTTTGCAGCATGTGCTTGTACCTACATGGCAGATACATGATAGTTGAATAATTGCAACAGAGGCCATATGGCCCACAAAGCTTAAAATATTTACTAATATAGCCCTTTATAGAAAAATTTTGTTGACCCCGGTCTAGGAAGAGAGACATTTTTTTACTTGCTGATGTAGGTCAACATTATGTGTATGTATGTATTTGTATGTGTATGTATATGTATATATGTGTGTGTGTATATATATAACTGGCTCTATAACCTACTAGACTTGTGACCATGGACAAGTTACTTAAGTGCTTTAAGCCTCAGTTTTCTAATCTGTGAAAAAGGGATGATGGCAGTATCTACTCATGGGGTGAAGATTCTAAGAGACAGTGCAAATGAAGTGTTTGGTGTTGTTTCTGCTCATGTGAAATACCTAGTGAATGCTGGCTGTCAGTATCATTGACATTGTCATATGTGTGGCGTGTCACTACTAAGCTGTGGGATATTGAGGTCAGCAGATTTTGCTACTCTGACTGTTTCAACCTCCTGGGACGACAGTGTTCAGCACTTTGGATAGCCCAGACCCGGGGTCTGTCAATTCTGAACGAGGCATTTTTTCTTTTTTTTGGAGGCATGATCTTCTCTTATTAAATGTCATTTCCAATTTTCCCCTTGAATACACAATTTCAAGGAGGTGCCTGTACCTTTGGAAGTGGTTATTCCAATCTCTTTTGAAAAATATTACTTAATTGTAGCCATGAAACTCCATTCACCATCAAAAGTTCCATCAAACAAGAGAGCCAATGTATGGCAAATTAAGATAAGGACTGCAAGGAACCCACATGCCTTGCTATGCTTCCTTCAATCTACAGTGAATCATTGATGGTGGATAGGATACACATGCAGATTTTGTATGCAATTGTGGGAAGATCTGCCTATCATTCAGTGGCTATTTTCTTGCTCTGTTCATTAACCAAGGGCTAAGCAAAAAAAAGAAAAAAGAGCTGACAATACAAGATACAGTTTAAACATTATCTTTGGCTTTTATTTTAGAAAAAAGACTGAATTTGTCCTTGAAGAAGCAAAAAAGATAAAGTCACTGTCATCACTGACATCATCATCAAAAGTTTCTCTTGTACCTATACTGAGGGCAGGGACAAGCGTGGGACTCTGGAACACTCCTCCAACTCTATTCTAAGTCATTGAGTCTCAAGAAGGAACTGTTTTTGCTTCCCGACTATGGACATTTTGGTTTTCATAGCTCAGAGAAAGGGGATACAATTGGTATCTAGTAGGTAGAGGCCAGGGATGCTGCTGAATATCCTACAATGCATTGGACGGCACCCGTCCACTCTTCCATGGAGAATTATCTGGTCCAAAAATGTTAATAGTGCTGTGGCAGAGAAACCTTGATTCCTGGGGAGAAAAATCCATGTCCTGTAGTTGCTGGGCTAGCTCCTGACATTGGTAAGACAGGGGATTATGACCCATTTCTTGCCTCGAGGCCACCTCCAAAATCTTTTTCCTCCCTTGCAGGCTTGCTGCCATTGACTGCATTGTTATACCCAGAAAGTATGCTTCTTGAATAAAGCAGTTTTTAAAGGTAAAACATATTTACCTGGGGAAGATTGTAACAGAATGATTGAATCAAGATATGATCCATAGAATTTTGGAGGTAAATGAATCCTGTCCTTTGCTGTCTTCTAGTCCATGGTGATTCAAGATGATTTTGACTCGCTTATAGCCAAACATTTTAAATTTTAACCATCGAGTATTTAGTTTAATACATGATAAGACTTATTTAAATATTGATGTATTAAAATGCAGCTAAAATTGGAAATTTTAATAGTTAATAGTATTTAACAAAATGTTAGATAAGTATAATTGACATCAAAACTTTTTTCTAAAGATTAATTTTAGTGAAAATAATTGTTTTAAAAAGTGAGTTGTTCTAAGAAGAAATATTGGGTAGCACTTTGATGGTATAGGCTATACCAAAGCCACGAAGGTGACATTAGGATTTCTAAATTCTGTAGAATTCTAAGGTAGTCTATCCTTCTCGTTTTCATATATGATGATGCTGTTAATAATAATGGTTTAGGAGCACTGTTCTAGTCATCTATTACTATGAAATAAAATATCCTAATGCTTAGGGACTTAAAATAACGGTAACATTTAGTTTGCTCATGAATCTACGGTTTGGGCAGGGCTTCCTGGGGACACTCATATGTCAGTTGAGACGGATGGAAGCTTGGGGCTGGAATCTTTTGAAGGCTTACTCATTCATATGTCTGGTGGTTGATGCTGGCTGTTGGTTGGGACCTCAGCTGGGGTTGCGGCCAGTATATGTACATATGGTCTCTCCACGTGGTGTTTGGCTTCCTCCCAAGATGGCGGCTGGATCCCAAGGGTGAGAATCTGAGATGGAAGGCCAAGCAGGAACTGTATTTCCATTTATAACTTAGTCTTAGATATCATACAGTATCACTACCACCAGAGTCACAGAGGGTAGAGACATAGACCTCATCTCCCAGCAGAGTGTCAATGTCACATTGTAAGAATAACATGTGGCATGAAATACATCTTCAGAAAAATTATTCTGCTGTTAGTGTCATTACATATATTAGTATTCTTTAATTCTTGCAATAATCTTGTGTGAATCCTTTTATCATCCTTCCCACACCCTTCATGTTCCATGTAATAAAATTGAGGCTCAGAGAGCTTAAGTGACATGCTCACAAACATATAAAGCTAGTTTGTGGCTGAAACAGAGCAGTTTTGGGTCAAGAAGCACACTTTCTTCACCTGGTTGCCAAGTTCACAAAGTTCCTTCTCACATTGACTCTCATGCCCTCAACAAGATGATTGCCTTCCCTCCACCTGGGATCATCCCTGTGCAGTTCTCAAAGGGGCCTAGTTATCCCTTAGAAACAAAGACCCCCATGAAAACTCCCCCAAATGTCATCAAATCCTGAGATAGTTTAGTGAGAGGCTATTTCCTGTTTTTGACTCAACACACTTAATTTCCTTTGGGCCCTCAGACTAGAAGAACAAAATTATTTTCCTAGTCAGCCTACTGTAGAGATAATTGTGTTGTCCACACTTCCTTGAATCTTAATACTTTTAAAAGTTTTTAATTGTGAAATATTTCAAATATATGAAACAGAAAATATCACCTACCACCTAGCTTTTATAGATCTTTGCCATATTTATTGCTTTGTTTTAAAAAATAAGGCATTACAGACATCCAAGTCCCCTCTCTCTCCCCCAGAGGTCCCCACTGTTCTAATTTTGTCTCTCTCGTTCCCAGCGGTGTTTTGATTCTTGCTACCAATGTATATATCTAGAAATAATACATGTTTTAAAATTTTTTCATGTTTTCAATATGCATAAATAAAAAAATTTTGTTTTCAATATGCATAAACAAAAATAAAAATTTGTTCAGCATTTTATTTTGGGGATTTATCCATGTTTACACTTTTAGAAATAGTTTATTTTATCTGCTGTATAGTATTCCACTGAATAAGTAAACTAGTTTTACAGGAATTGCCAAATGCTCCCCAATTTTCTTTCCCCCCGAAGTTCTAGTATATAAAACTTCAAATTTCCTCCTTCCTGACTGACACTTGATGGAATTAGGCATACTTATTTTTCTTTAAAACAATGGGCTTTAAGCCTTAAATGGCATTTTATTTTTGTTTTAATTTTGTTTTAATTTGTGATTACTAGTGAGTTTGAATATCTTTTCATAAATTAACTGCTCATGTGGACTTGTTAATTGCCTGTTCATTTGCTTTGCCCATTTTTTAAATCAAGTATTTCTTTCTTTTAAATGTGTAGGAATTCTTCATAAATTCTGCATCACAATACTGTTTTGACCATATGTGTGGCAAATGTCTTCATCTGATCCATGGCTTGTCTTTTCACTTTGTTTATGGTATGTTTTGTTATACAAAAGTTTACATGTTAGTGCAACCAAGATGGTTTGTACTTTCTTTGTCTAGCTTAAAAAATTCTTAGGCTGGGCCGGGCACAGTGGCTCACGCCTGTAATCCCAGCACTTTGGGAGGCCGAGGCGGGCGGATCATGAAGTCAGGAGGTCAAGACCATCCTGGCTAACACAGTGAAACCCTGTCTCTACTAAAAATACAAAACAAAAATTAGCCGGGCGTGGTGGCAGGCACCTGTAGTCCCAGCTACTCGGGAGGCTGAGGCAGGAGAATGGTGTGAACCCAGGAGGCAGAGCTTGCAGTGAGCCGAGATCCCACCACTGCACTCCAGCCTTGGTGACAGAGCTAGACTCTGTCTGCAAAAATAAAAAAATAAAAAAATAAAAAATAAATAAATAAAAATTCTTAGGCTGGCTGCAGTGGCTATGCCTGTAATCCCAGCGCTGGGGGAGGCCGAGGTGGGCATATTGCTTGAGCCCAGGAGTTGGAGACCAGCCTGGGCAACATGGTGAAACTCTGTCTCTACAAAAGAAAAAAAAAATGAAATTCTTCCCTTTGAGATGTCCTAAGGCTATCGTTCCATGTTACATTCTTCATGTTGGATGATTTTGCTTTTTCATGTTTAAATTTTAATCCACATACAACTCATTTTTTGCATTTTGAAAGAAAGTTGCCTAATTTTCTACTTTTGTCCGTGGGTAGTTGATTGTGCCAGTACCAGTAGTTGAATAGTCCATAATTTCTCCCATCAATTTGCAGCATGACTCTGTCATATAACAGGTTCCCACATGTGTATGAGACTATTCTAAGTTTTGCATGTCTAGCTTTATGCTAATATTACGTGGTTGTAATTATTTTAGTTTTCTAATGAGTCTTGACATCTAGTGAGGTATGAAGAAAAGATCATCCTCCTTATTAATTCTTTCTAAAAATTACCTTGGCTCTTCTTTACTCTTTGCTTCTATATGAATATGAATATTGGGATTTGCTAGCCAGTTGCTAAGAAATGCCCTGTTGGAGCTCATGTGTGTATGTATATATATATATAAAATTATACTTTAAGTTCAGGGGTACATGTGCAGAACGTGCAGTTTTGTTACATAGGTATACACGTGCCTTGGTGGTTTGCTGCACCATCAACCCATCACCTACATTAGGTATTTCTCCTAATGTTATCCCTCCCCTAGCCCCTCAAACCCTGACAGGCCCTGGTGTGTGATGTTCCTCTCCCTGTGTCCATGTGTTCTCATTGTTCAACTCCTACTTATGAGTGAGAACACGCAGTGTTTGGTTTTCTGTTCTTGTGTTAGTTTGCTGAGAATGATTGTTCCAGCTTCATCCACATCCCTACAAAGGACATGAACTCATCCTTTTTTAAGGCTGCATAGTATTCCATGGTTTATACGTGCCACATTTTCTTCATCTAGTCTATTATTGATGGACATTTGGGTTGGTTCCAAGTCTTTGCTGTTGTGAATAGTGCCACAATAAACATACGTGTGCATGTGTCTTTATAGTAGAATGATTTATAATTTTTGGGGTATATACCCAGTAATGGGATTGCTGGGTCAAATGGTATTTCTAGTTCTAGAATCGCCACACTGTCTTCCACGATGGTTGAACTAATTTACATTCCCAGCACCAGTGTAAAAGCATTCCTATTTCTCCACATCCTCTCCAACATCTGTTGTTTCCTGACTTTTTAATTATTGCCATTCTAACTGGAGCGTTGATTGGTATTATATTTAATTAATAGATTATTGGAAGGTGCATTTCCATCTTGAAATAGAGTCTTGCCATCCATGAGCAAACTATAGCTCTCCACATCTTCAACTCTTTCACTGGACCTTGAAGACTTTCTCTTCCAGCAGCTGCATGTGGGGATCAGTCAAATAAGCTTTTCTGGAAGTGCACACTGGTTCCTCCCATTCCTGCCAGTTCCCTAAGCCCAGCAAGGATCCTCCCTTATCCATGCTCTGTTCTGCTTCCCGTGGATGAAGGCACCGTGGATGTGGGGATCCTCAATGCTGCTTCTGGTCAGCCGTCACTTAGGGTTTTGCTGCTGGAGTCCAGCTGCTCACATGAGAGTGGAATAGAGGACTAGAAATTGGAGGCTAAGACATAGGCAGTAGGTGCGGAGAAGAAACCTGACAACTCCAGCCATTGTGGGTGTACAATTATTTCCTGGGCCCAGTTTCTCTCTATGTTCTAAGTGTTTTGGAACATAGTCTCCAGATATGCTTGGGTTGAAATCCCATCTCCACCACACAGTAGCCAGGGAAAGGAGCTTAACTTATTTGGAACTCAGTTTCTTCATTTCTAGGGAACCTCTGGGGGTGGTTGTGAGGATTTAAAGGGGTAAAGTCGGTAAAGTGCTGAGAACAGTGCTAGTACTGGACTCTTAGGGGCTTATTTGCTGCTCTATTATCACCATTATTATTGTTACTGTTACTATGGTATTGAACTATATGGATTGAAGTTGATATTTTCCAATCTGTGCTTTATTTAGAAATGAACGTCCAAGGACATACTCTGTCTAACCTACTGGAGGTTGACAGCATCTATTAGTGTATTCAAGGCTCTTACCTGTAAACAAACTGTTTAAGCAAATGATTTCCAAACTCACCTGTCCGTTGAGCTCCCTCATTTTCTGAGGAATACCTGTTGAAATCTGCAGTTAGTATTCCATAAAAGACAATTTGAGGAACAATGCTTGTAAAAATTATATATAGTACAGGAAGAATTAGAGTACAAGAAGACATCCCAAGAAGGTATATTCTTAATGGAGTGTTTGAAAACAGAGGTTAGCTAAAGCACATAGAGTGGTGTTGGTGAGAATTCTCTGATTAGTTAAAAAAGAATCCCTTAAATATATCAAAAAATCCATACCATACGTTAGCCAAACAGCTGCCACCAATTGCAAACACATTCAGGTAATTTAAGCCATTGAAAAAGGAGAGGCAGTTTTTTTAAAGCAAAAGTGTCCTATTTTTGGTGCTGATATTGTAGCCTGGTGCCAAGGCAAAATTTGATTCATTTCATAGAAGCCCTGTTGGACTTTTTCCTGAAGGTAGGAAGACTAATTTCTTGGTATTTATCATAGTTTATTTACTGTCTGTTTTTGTTTCTTCAAATAACTCCAATTGTAGTTGGGAATGATATTTTGGGAACTTGGGGAATGCTGTTAGGAGATATACTGACTTTTCCCTGTGCCCTTTTCCCCTCATATGTATTTTGTTATTTCCATACACTTATTCCTTACCAGAAACAGCCCATGAAAATGTCTGATGAGTTAATTGCTTTGAACCAAGAACAAAATGCAAAAGCAAGGCAAAGGGGAGGAAGCTACACACCGCCTACGTGCCCCCTATTGAATTTTCCAGAATCATAAGATCACTGTCCTCCCTACTCTTACAGGGCTGAAGGAAAAGTGAACATGCTAGTTTTTTGGTTTTCTTTTTCTTTTTCTTTTCTTTTCTTTTTTTTTTTTTTTGAGACGGAGTCTTGCTCCGTTGCCCAGGCTGGAGTGCAATGGTACTATCTCAGCTTACTGCAACCTTCGCCTCCCAGGTTCAAGTGATTCTCCTGCCTCAGCCTCCTGAGTAGCTGGGACTACAGGCGCATGCTGCCACGCCCAGCTGATTTTCCTCAAATGTTCTTTCTTAGGATAGCTTTCCCAAGACTATCTTTGACCACTTTCTAATTTTCCCTCCTCTCCCCACCACCCCATGACACTGTTTATTACAGTAGGATGGTACCTTATTGTAGGCTTCTAATGGATTTGAAAGCTGCCAGGGCAGGGACCTTTTAGAGAAGGTATAACAAAGCAGGGGACTGGACCTGCGGAATAAATTCTGGGGAGGGTCATTGGTCTTTACACTGTTTCCTCATTTCTCCAAAATGCAGATTAGGCCCATTAAAGTGCTCTATAAGATAAAGTAAGCAGTAAAGCCCAGATGATTTGCCGATAAGCTATAATATCTCCAGTTCACATGTGTTAGAATAAAATATCTAGCCTAAGTTCTATGTACTTCTAGAATCTTAAAAACAATTATAGCCTTAGTTTCCATGGCTTGTGTTAGTTCTTTTAACAGACTCATGCTTTTAAATAAGATGTCTTGGGTCAAATTGAATTAGGAATGTTTTGTTGTTTTACAGTTTTATGGATGGTGTTTTATAAATGTCTCCTATTTCTTCTCAATCAGACTTCATAAAACTGCTTAAAAATCAACGAATTAGTTAGAAATCAAGTTAAAGTAATAACTTTTGATTTATCTGTCAAATATATTTTTCATGGGACTTAATCACCATTGTTTTTAAACAGAAACATTAAAATACAAAATGAGGCTTGTTTTTCATTTTTTAAAAAAGGAATCAGTAACACTTGCAATGTGTAAACATTGTTCTCTGGTAAATTATAATCAGATTGCTGTTGGATTACATGTACATTGTGCTAATGCTCAAAGATTTTTTTCTAGTGATGTCATTACAGGGTATGAGTAGACAGGATCTGTCACTATTAAAAGAGACTGTGCTAACAATTCGCTGCAGAGCAAGGGTTACCCCAAGTAACAAGGGGTAACTTGATTGGAGTAGGATTGGTTAGAATTTGTAAAGACGCACTTCTTTGTATTGAGACGAACTTTTATATGTTATATCCTAACTCCTTCCAGGTCAAGAGTCATTAAACACAGAGCATTTTATTCATTTAAAGAGTATCTTCAGTGCCGCCAAATACAGCTCTGTGTACCATTGACTTTACAATAGGATCAAATGATAGAAAAGTTGAGCCTCGCAGAAGAAAGTTTTTCTCTTTGTGCATGCCTCTGTTATCATTGTAAAGATAAAATAAGAAGTGAATGGTCACGCAAACGGGTTTTAAAGCAGATGCTTTTTATTTCATACTCTTTCTTCCTGTTTTTTACTCCACTATGGTGAATGCCTTTGGACTGGTTTTCATTGAAAGAGGACAGGAGGCAGCTGTGATTCTGATGTGTCCACTAGTGGGCACTGCAGTGCTTCTAACGTTCTGTATATTTTAAAATCTGGGCACAGGATAAAAAAATCGTATAGTGAATGGTGAGTTTCCGCCCCTTCAGAGCTTCTGTCCTGTCAAAAAGACACCAAAAATACACTTGGAAGATTATATCTACTTAAATTATTTACTAAAATTTTAGAACAAAATAGCATGCTTGAGATTGTGCCTCAGTTTTTTGCTGGCATTCATTTATATTTGTGAATTGTCACATTTATTCTTGTTTGACAGGCATACACTTTGAAGTCCACATTATGCAAAAAAGGAAAGGTACGTAATGCCAGAGTCCAAATTAACAATATTTATTAGGAGAAAA